>NC_000021.9:38294111-38604065 GCF_000001405.40 Homo sapiens | reverse complement strand
CGTGTTAGCCAGGATGGTCTCGAACTCCTGACCTCATGATCCGCCCGCCTCGGCCCCCTGAAGGGCTGGGATTACAGGCGTGAGCCACCGCGCCCGGCCAAAACTAGTACATTTTTTAAAAGGAGGAAATCAAGATGCCAATACGTGAAGGCATTAACAAAGGAGGAAAACCTCTATTCTCTAATTTCATCAGCATTTCAGCAAATAAAGGACACTTTAACCTCCACCCCCAAAAATCTGAGGACATAGTTTCAAAAGAATGTGACTTCAGTTATGTTAATTTCGCCTAAGAGTACTGTTCTTCCGCTTTCCTCCTATTTTTCTAAGGATGATTGAAAACCTTATCGGGGGCCCTTCTTGATCCAAGAGCAAAGTTGGGGATTCCCTGCCTTGGGTGATATCTCGAGAGACTTACTTAAGGGGAATGCTGTTGGTGATTTTTCTTGCAAAATAGCAGACTCAGTGAGAAGGCTGGCATTTCCAATGATGGGCCCCAGATTCGCCACTTCTTTTCACAGGTGGAAGTCCTTCATGCAGCCCCAGAGCAAGGAACTGCAAAGAATGACTACAGGGTGCGCACCACCACGCCTAGCTAATTTTTGTATTTTTAGTAGAGACAGGGTTTCACCATGTTGACCAGGATGGTCTCGATCTCTTGACCTTGTGATCTGCCCACCTCGGCCTCCCAAAATGCTGGGATTACAGGCGTGAGCCACCGTGCCTGGCCCCAATCTGTTTGTTTTAATCGGATTTTATCTGAAAGTCCTAAAACATGTTCAAATATGGCCACTGCTAGAGACCTTGATGTCTTTGCCATTCACATTTTCATTAACAAAGGACTTGCTCTGGATGTAAGCTGCGTTTCGGGTCTCTTCATGTGGCAGAGGTGTCTTTAGGGGTCTAAAGACAAGTTCTTGAGGAGACCCAGCTATGAGCTACAAGTTTAGCAATTTGGAACTGGCTCCATTTGATGTCATTGAGTATTCATAGTACCTGGGGGCTGGACAGGATTTTGAACATTACCTTGCCTGTGCTCCTGCTTGAAATCTGTCTGAGCTCACCCTGCCTTTCTGGCAGATTTTGTTCTTGCCTGGACCCTGGCTAGGTTAACTTTCTGAGTTGAGGCATGAAGCTCAACTTTTTCAATGTGGTTTGCCCTTCACTTCTCAGAAGGAAATTCATTCCCACTGGAATCGTCGTTTTTTTCTTGAGGACTCCACCAGCTCTTGGCGTTCTAGGAGTAAAAGGCTCATGTGTTTCCTTCAGGAAACTTCTAGCTGCTTAAAGGAGCTTAATGTGAAGCATCAAGCCACTGAGACGTGTTCAAAGATTTTCTTCAAAATGGCTTGAGAGGGAAAAAAATCACAAAGCCCACAAATGAATGTATTGTTAAGCATGACTTCTCCAGTGTGGTTGCTCTGTGCTGCTATTTACAAAATGGAGCAGTGTTTTTTAATGATGAGGGAGGATTAATTGCTGTAAATGCACCAGTTGCTGCATTTCCCTTCCTTATCCCCTGCCCCGTTAAAGTCCACATTTATCAAGTCATTTGATGTTTGAATATCTGGTGTTTGTACAACTGTTTTGGTTTACTTATTTATTTATGTATTTATTTATTTTTGAGACAGAGTCCCGCTCTGTCACCCAGGCTGGAGTGCAGTGGCACAATCTTGGCTCACTGCAACCTCTGCCTCCCAGGTTCAAGGGATTCTTCTGTCTCAGCCTCCTTAGTAGCTGGGACTACAGGCACCCATCGCCATGCCCAGCTAATTTTTTTGTATTTTTAGTAGAGACGGGGTTTCACCATGTTAGCCAGGATGATCTTGATCTGCTGACCTCGTGATCCACCTGCCACAGCCTCCCAAAGTGCTGGGATTACAGGCGTGAGCCACCATGCCTGGCTGTGGTTTCTTTATTTTAAAAATTCCTATGTTTGCAGTGAAAGAGCCAAAAGTTAAAAACTGAGATGCATTAGAGAAGCAGGAGTTTATGCCACATGCAAAGAGCAGGTAAAAAGCACTCAGGAAGACAACAGAAGTGACTCAGAAGTGTTCTTTATGAAATATGCTTCTTTAAGGATTGCTTGAATCTGGGAGGTGGAGGTTGCAGTGAGCTGAGATCACACCACTGCACTCCAGCCTGGGCAACAGAGGGAGACACCATCTCAAAATAAAAATAAAAATAAAAATAAAGTAAAATATGCTCCTTTAAAAAAGTGCTGGTTAAGCTTTGACTACACCTCATTTAAAATTTTTTAATGTCAATAAATTTATTTTAAGTTGCTTCTAGGAGAAAACTGTTACTATTTTAAAGTTACTATGTAGGAGAAAACTGTTATCCTCTCTACTTAAATCAAGATAGTGACTGGAAATGCTGGCACATGGAAATAGGAGGGTGAGTGCTTGGAGTGTAACACTCATGGGTGCCTGTCAAAGGAATGAGAAACTCGGGGAGTCAAGTAATCTAAGAATTCAAACAGGGAAAATTCTCCTTATACAGGAACAATATTTAGTTGTGATTCCAATCTTCACCTTGTATCTCCCCTGTTTCTCTGGCTAGCCTTTGGCAGTGAAACCTCAAAATAAATATTTATTCATTTATCTCTCTATTTTTCTATTTCTCTGTATGATTTTTTTTTTCTTAGTGAGCATGTCTATGACAATAATATGGTGTTGGATTGCTTCAAAGTTAACTCACCACATTGCCTTTGCCACCAAAGAGATCTGCCTTTTCTTTAGGTTTTGTAAAACGTTGTAGGTATTTTGGGCCCACAGTGTACAACTGAGCCTTCAGTTGGGATTCAGTGGGGATTCCTATCAGTGGTGTTATTCAGACATTAGGTGGGATTCCTGCCTGATCTGGCTGCCGCGTTGTGGACTCTGTCATCTGAGTTGTTGGGGGAAGGCGTCCTACTGACCGTTCCATCCTGTCAATCCTGGAATCCAGTGATCCCCTTGACATCTGTCAGTCCCGGCAATAAAAGCTGGTGAACTCTGTGTCCACTGGTGGAGGTGATAACCCTGGGTGGTGTTTCTTCCTTGTAAACCTGATTGTAATGCCCAGAGAGAAAGGAAATCTAATAGTGGCAGCCATCACCATTAGACTCTTGGAGCCAGAGATTTCCAGGGGGGGTTAGATGCATGGATAGGTTGCAATCCCAGGCTTGCCTTTTTCAAGGAGCGATAGCAGAGTTTTGAAATCATCTGAAGTCTCAAGGGATGTCTCTGTGGCTCTTATAGAAGATGCTCTGAATGTGTGTTTAGTGGTTGTCCAAAAAAAACATAAAGAATACAAACAAAAACCTCTTGGCATCTTTAAGCCAGAAATGTGCCTTAATTGTTTAATTCTACATTCAACTGGTTCTGTGATTCCATGCTTATTACGATTTCTTACTTTTGCAGCTATTGGTCAAATAAAACGGAGCCCCTTGTCCCTGCCCTTTATCCATCTTAAGAGCAAGGAGGTGTGGTCAGTGTTATCAATGAGGTCCATGTGATGTTGGATTCTACAGTTCTGCCATGATGGGAGTCGCCACATGGGATGGGGTCCCTTTACTGTCCCCTCTGGGCCCCTTCATTGCACTCTGGAGGGTCTTTCTCCTGTGGAGCAAACAGGGACCGGGAGACACTAGGCTGGAGCTGTCCTGAGTCTTGTCCTTCAGGGGACGTTTTCTGTCTTACCCATCCCACCTTGAAGGAAAATGGGACCCCAGCTACAGAAATCTACGTAGAGCTGGACATTTCTCCCAGCTACTGGCCTGCAGGCAAATACTTCCTGATTCTGAGGTTGTCAAAACTGCCTTGATGCCCAGCCATTCTCAAACCTGGGTGTTTTCACTTAATACCTTCGCCAGCCCCAGGGTAGCCAAAGCCGGGGCGGGGTTGGGTGGGGATTGCGGGTAGGTTTGGATCTCCTTGTATCTGTAGACTCTTCTGCCTCTTGGTGTTTGTCTATCTGATATGCTCGCTCTTGTAAACTTCCTGGCCCTGTCACCAACCTCGTGCCTTATAGATCACTTCTTTTGCCTCCTCTTGTTTCCTCAGCTCTTTCAGAGACCCAGTGGGCTGTTGCTCACTCTTGGCCTGATTGGTTTTGACACTATCCTATTTCCATGTGGCTTTGCTACAGGTTTACCTGGCAGGGCCACCCACCCAACATATGAGAAACTGGGCTTCTTTGTTTTCTGAATGAGCTGTTCTCAGTAGGTTATGATGTAGGTGCAACTTTACTTCCTCCAAACTCATGCCTCAAGTCTGATAGCTCCTTCCTGTCCCTGTTCCGAGTCTCCTCAGGCACCAGACTTTCCCTGTCACTTCTAGATACAGTGAACAGTCTAATTTCCAAGTATTGAGAGGTCCAGGGAAGTTGAATTTTTAAAAGCCTATTGTTCGTCCTGTTTCAAGATTCTTTGCATCCGGAGCTGGTGTTAGCATCGGAAACGCCTCTGGGGCCATGGCCGGCTCCCAGCCTCAGAGGCTTGCACACCCACTCCTCTCCTTACCACTGACCTCTGCCTCTGGTTCTCCAGGGTTGGAGCAGGAAGACAGGACAACAAGGGCTATTAATGGGGTTACTTGGCCATGCATCATAATTTGGTGTCGGATTCCCCTCTGTGAAGCAAAGGTCTAAAAGCTGCCCCTTGTTCATGGAATGCATGGGAGGGTGCGGAAGGGCTCTTGCAGTGACATTGCCCCACAGCTCTCCATGGCAGGGTGACATCCCTGTGTGTGTCTGCTGATGGTACCCTTCCCCTAGCTTCACCCTGGTACACCTCCAGCCTCTTTCTGTCAGGGCTGGCTCACCCCTGCAAGTCCAGCCACCTGCCATGGGTCCCTGGGTACAAGGATATACCCAGGCCCTCTCACCTCACCATGGATGGAAGCTCAGTGTGCCCCCCCATGGCCTCTCCTTCTTACCTGTCCCCAGGCAGCCTCTGCAAACTTCTCTACCTGGAAGGCAGTCACTAGCCCCTGTGCCCTGGTAGCTCAGAACCCTAGGGGAACCCTTGGAGGCAGCCTAAATGGTTTTTTTGAAGCTTCCCTCACTGGCCTTGAGGTTGGTGCATCTGCACATGGATGTGAAATTTCCCTGCCTATGTCCCCCTTTCCTTTCTTTCCCTGGGGTGGAGAGAGGTGCTGCACAGCCTCTGAAACTTTCTCTGAAGGAATGCCAGGTCTCTGGTCTCTTCTATCAGTGCCGGTGCACAAGAGCTAATTGTGCAGATGTCTCCCAACTCCTCCTTTGGTTGATTGAAATTGTGGGAGGATTTATACTGTGCAGAAACCAGAAAACTCTACACATCCACCCTGCTCCCCTCTGCGACTGTGGGAGCTGTATACTCAGCATTGACCAGTTTCTGACATATATACCCTTGAGGCCGGGAAGGCAGAGGGGCAGGGACTTGCTGTTGTTATTTAGGTCACTCCTTAGAGAGTTGTGCATGGATGTGCGGGCATCCTTTTTTAGAGAGTGCACCGCTGCTGTGCTCTGTGTGCTATTCTGAGCCTCAGCCGATGGCAGGAAATGTCCCATTTTGCACTCAGTTACTTATGTGGCATTTGTGATACATTAGTGCTGTGCCTGGTGTTTCTTTCATGATATTATTCCCTGTTTTCCAGGTTAGGAAACTAAAACTCTGAGAAGGTGGACTTGTTCAGGGCCAGGTGGATGGTCACTGCTAGCCTCTGTGCCTGCACTCTGCTGCCTGCGCTTCCATGCCTGTGACCCTGTCTGTGGGGTTCACTGAGCCAGTCTCATAGTCCGGCTGCTGACTCCAGGAATGGGGCATGGGGCCCAGGAATGCCTCAGCGATTCTGATGCAGGTGGCATCAGATGGTTGGAAATCACCTCTGCAGCCTGACAGGGACTGGAGTCTTGGGGTTCTGGGAGAAAATGGGTGGTTTTTAGAGGGAAGCCCTCCTCCTTCCTGTGCTAGAGCAAGGTCGGGCTTACAGTCCTTGCTATGTGTAAAGGACGTGGCTGGTCCAAGATCAGGGCTTTCCTTAACTCCATCTAGGGAGCCCAGTGACTCTGGTTTGCTGAGATTGACCTCCACACAACCTGAGCACCTAATGCTGTCAATTTCTGCTGGATTGTTTTGTGCTTATTAACGAACTCTCAGTTATTTCCCACATAATCGACTTTAAGTCAACGGATTGCAAATGTTAATTACATCACGTAATTTCTAAATTATATGATTTTATAATTTCTAAATTATATGATTTTATAATTCTGAGTTTTATTGGCAGTTTTGGTAATTTACTCTGTGCACATTCAATTTGCCCAGTTGGTGTGGGCTCTGTGATGTGCTGTCTGGGTTCCCTTCAGGAAGGAAGGACTTATTCCCTCAGATGCTGGGAGTATGGTTGGAAGATGCCTCAGCTGTCAGCCCTCTTTGGGAAGTGCCTGCTGATGATGACAGCCCTGTCCAAGCTCATGCCTCGTTCCCAGGACATCCTACAACCAATGACTCATCAATGCAGGAGTGTCAGCCAGGGTGCTCCAGAAAGATCCAACAGGATGGATGTAGATAGATCTTTCTCCCTCTCTCTCTTTCTCTGTGTGCGTGTGTGTGTGTGTGTGTGTGTGTGTGTAGATATATATAGATATCTCTCTATATTTCAAGTTCCTTAAAATAAATCTTATTACACCCATCTTTATGTCCATACATAAATGTACACACACGTGTGTTTATATGTATATAGATATAGAGATAAAATGAGATATCTATGTATGGATGTATATGTATGTAAATATATATAGACAGATAAACCAATTTCTTAAAAATACATCTCATTATATTGATCCATATTTATAACTGTGTACATATGTGTATATACATATGTATGCATCTAGATTCAGATGGATGATAGATATAATGAGATGTATTTTAAGGAATTAGTTTACACAATTGTAGACTGGCAAGTCTGAAATTGGGAAGGCAGGCCAGCAATGATCTTTCCTTTTCTCCAGAGTGGGCCACAGCCCGGTGCTGCAGGAAGAAGAAGATATTACCATTAAAAAGAACAGCCAAGCTCTCCTGGATAAAAGGAAGCCCTGGGAAGTTGGTGTCTGCTCAGATTACCTACACAAGAGTCTCAGTGCTTTTTGGGGAGACTGCCTTTTGTTTTCAGAAAATGTAGGTGGATGTGACTGAGTTGAAGGTGGGTGGTGTGATGTCTGAGTCTTCCTGGTGTTGGTCCACCCCATGCCTTAAACACCACTGTGGGGAACCTCTCCTGGGAGGTAAACCACTTCCAGCTCAGCCTGAAACCAACCATGTTCTTCAGTCTTCTCAAGAAGGCCATCTTGGCTGGGTGAGATTTTCAGAGGTTAATTCAGAGACTCGTTGCCAAAACTTTGCATTTCAGAGATGTCCAGGAAACTAAGGAATTCTCCAGAGAAACTGGGAGGCATTACAACAGATATTAGCTTGCATGTACCTGTGTAGTTGAATTTCTGTCATCAGGACAGAAGGATTAGTTCTGTCAAGTAATCAAGTGTCACACGGTTTGGCTCACAAAGGTTAATCTTTCCACTCTTCCTGGGCTTTGACTGTGAACAAGTATCGCTGGATCACAAAAGAGAGGGCCCTGTGGTGGAGATGACTCACAGAAAGTGCCTCCTGTTTGCTTTCTCTGCTGTTGAACCAGGATGTGCCTTTCTCTACACTTAGCAGACAGTATGGTCCTCAGGAATACACAGAGGCTGGTTTTGAATTCCGAGTTTGAATTTGTGTTCATTTGCTTACCCTACCTGTGATCTTCACATGCCTCAGTTTTCTGAGAAATGAGAACAGGAATAATCACCTTTCAAGCTCTCTCAATAAATGGACCTAGTGATTAAAACTATGAAAGGCTCTGCCTGCACCTTGCACTGCTGAAGAAAGCTGTTACCACGACACAGAAGAAGGGCAGTAGCCTTGCTGGGTTAACTGGGTTCGTGATGAGCTTATTTTTTACAAAATATTAAGATGTTCTAGCTATTATAAAAAGAGACCCCCCCCCCCCAATCCCACACCAATTTTTATATAGAGAGGATCTGGTCCTGGGATTGCAAAACCTGTTCAGATTCCAGAAGGCTAGGCCAGCAAAGAAAATTCTGGTACTTAATTGTGCCTTTCTCAGCAAAAGAAAAAAAATGCTGAATAAACCTCATAATGCACCTCATGAATGCTACAAATTGAAAACTCAATGACATTTCAAGCAAGAAAAGAACCCCCTAGTGATATGTTGGTTCACCAGGCAGGTGTGTGGGAAGCCAGATGGCCAGCGAGGTTCTGCCCTCCAGGAAGGGTTTGCCCTCCAGGTGCGGACCCTCTCCCCATGTCACTGAGAAGCTCTTTCCATCTCTCTCCATTCTTCATCACAGTCTCCATCTTAAAGGCTACACACTGCCTCTGGAAAGTCTTGCTGTTCTTTAAGGGCAGAACACTTCAGAGCCAGCCTCCACCGCTCCCGCCCTGCTTCTGCTCTGAGGTGGCCCCAGCAGGAGTACCAGTCCTAGACCCTGACTGAGCAGAGCTCCCGGGCTTCCATTGACCAACCTCACAGGCCCCGGGGTTCAAGGATGCACATGCTCATTCTTGGGGCTGAAACAGAACTCCCCATCTTCACTGAGACCCACATTTCCTGGCTTTCCATCCTGCTCTCCTCTCTTCCCTGCACCTTCTCTGCTTAATTGGCCACCAGGCTCTGACATGTCTTCTCATCTCCACCCTGTCTCTTGCATTCCGAGGCTTCCCCACCTTCATTACCTTGGGCTGGATCGTGGCAGCCATCCTGGAACTGGCCTCTCTGCCTCTGGCCTTCCCTCCCTGTAGTCTCCTGCCTCATGAATCTTCCCAACAGCCTCTTTGGGAAACTTTGCTCGGCAGGTGCTCCAAAATCTTCAGCTATTTTCACAACAAGGTTCGGACTTCCTAGCCTAAAAGTCTAGACTCTCCCCACGTCTTGGCCCTTTGAGATCCACACAAACCCTCATCGTCCAACCAATGTGCCTGCCATTTCCCTCTTGCCTCGGGCTCTCCTGCTTCTTCATTTTTCTGGAACTTCTGCCTGAGAGACTTGTCTGATTTCTCTCCAGCCTCTCTGTTCCAGGCCATTGTGCAAAACCCCTCAACTCTTTTTTTGCTTGGCAAATCCCTTCTCAGCCATCTCAGGAGATGGCCAAGATGGCAAAATCATTTTTACAGTTTCGACAGGGGGCTTCTATTAAATGGTCTCATTGACTCCTCACGTAAAGTAGCTGTGTTGGCTCCCTGTACAGAGTCTTCTGCAAGCTGCATTTGATTTCTGTTTTGCCTAAGTTATTATTGTTGTCTGGATTGCCTTCCTCTCTGACGTCCATATAAGTTCTTCCTATTTTTCATGATCTGGGTTCTGCTATTCAAGGCTGAAATGCCCTATTTTCCTCTCCTTCAGATGATTCCAGTTCTTCTTACTGGAGCAGCTATGTGGCCCCTTCATCTGCATCACAAAACCTGGGTCCACAGCCTTCCTCTCCTGCAAGGCATGTGGGCTCTTTGGGAGTGAGAGACACACCTTGCAACTTTTCTGTCCCATATGGCCCCGTCCACAGCTCTGTGCATGGGGTGAGTGCTCAGTTCATACTTGTTAAAGGATGCTTTGATGATGGAGTCCATGGAAAATTCTATATAGATGCAGTGCATACCTATGAGGCTTCATGGGTTAACGGGGAGGCATGTTGTCAACCTCAGGTCCTGAGTGTCGGGGAAGCATGTTTGTGGCGGGGTTCATGATTTCTATTTTAAATATGAAGGATGATTTTTAAATTTTTATTTCCCAATTGTGTCCAGTACAAATGAGGTGATCTTTGTGCAATCCTTGTAAACCAGTCAAAACTCAGTGGAAATGGAAAAGCTGGTTTCATTGCTCCTGGTGGCTCAGTACCCATCACTGAAATCCCAAAGTGTTTTTGGCAAAGCCGATGGGTATAGAACTATTTTCATGATGAGTTCAAGGTTCTTTGAAATTCCCCACCCTTAAAGAGCACAAGGAAACCTTTTCCTGTTGGTATTCTCTAATTTTTTTTTTGTCAACAATGTGATATACGAATTGGGAATCTGAAATATTTTTTCTTCTTTTTTCTTTATGCTTTTAATGCTGCTTGATTTTTCTTAGGAAAGGTTCTCACCTCTATCTGCCTCTCTATACTATATCTGCCTCCTACAAGTATCAAAGTGATGCTGAAAGAATAAATTTTATCTAAAAAATGATAACTTGTAATAAAGTCTCTTATATGTAATCTCTCTTTAATATGACTTGCCATTTTTGTTCTATTATAGATTATTTTGTACTTGGGAGTTTTGCTTTATCTAAAATATTGAGATGCTAATATGATATTAGCTAATTGCCAATTGGGTATTTTATATATAACCTCAGAAGTAATTATGTATTTTTTTTCTGTCCAGTATTGTTCATTTGCAAATATAAAACAGATCTCATTGCAAAGATGGTTGTCTATGCATTTGCTTCTTTAAGATTTGACCTTGTAATTATATCGAGACAAAATTCATTTTGAAGGTCAAATTTGCCTCTAAAACAGACTTCAAGATTGTGTTCTCAAAGATATATTGTGTTTGATGAACTTTCTTAGAAATACATAATGCTTGTTTAATCTGTGGCTTGCTTTTCAGTTGTCTGCTCTTGTAAAATGACTAAATATTTGTTTTTCCAGTTGAGCTTAAGGAAAAAATCCCTGGTAAATGTGTTTTCTTGAACAGAAGGCTCAGTGTAAAGCAGGAGAGAAGTCATATTTATAGTTGCTTTTACTTTCTTGATGTCATCCGCCTTTCAAATGCTGTCTGTTTTCCTTCAGATCTCTCGTTTTTACAGGGGGGCCCCAGGCAGACCCTGGTTCCCACACTGAGGGACATGGCGCTGTTTTGCTGCTGTGTGTTTTGTTCTGGTGGAAGCTGGCAGCCACCTCAACTCTGAGATCAGCTCAAATGCTTTACATGCAAAACGGCAAGGCTGAGAAAGAACTGAAAGTTTCCTTGGGTCCAAGAACGTCTTGGGCTTTACAAACTGGTGCCCACAGGCACATTAATACCTGTGTTTATTTTTCTATCTCCTGACACACACATAAAAAATGGGAAGACGCACTGGGGAGAAAGGTTGATTGAATGTCATGAATGAAAGAAAGGTTGACCCTCCAAAGCAACATGAAATGAAACCAAACCACAATAACAACCAAATGAAATAAGACTGACAAGAAGTATGCGGTCATGGCCAATACATGGCTCAGACATGATTCATGGAGACCCTTGAAATTTTCTTCCAGCAAAACTGCACTTTAAAGGTTTAAATGTTCAACATTTCTCTGTGACTTAGAGTAAAAGGGGACCCTTTAGGGAATTGTATAAGAGTCTAAGGATTGCCTTACTGAGTTCTAAAGTATAGCAGAGTTAGTGGTGCAGCAGTTTACATAGGAAAAGCACACACACACACACACACACACACACACACACACAGTGAAGGGAGATGACAATAAGCAGCCCACATTTTGGGCTATTAACCAGGTTTAGAAAGCAAAATTGCTCAAGTGGGAGTAACTGAAGAGCACTCAAGCCTGCCACTTTTCCAGATTTGGAACTCCGCCTCCCTGGTTTCTCCTCTCATCACAGGGTCTCAGCGCCTAGGAGAGCAGCTGGCTATGCTGGCTTCACAGCTTTCCTCTGAACACTCTTTTCTTATCAACAGTTCCAGGCTTCTTGGTCTCTCTTTGGCTTCTGGAGCCCATGTGTGCTAGAGCTGGCTCCTCCCAACTCGCTAGAGCCGGCAATGATGCGTTAGAGCACATCTTTTCCCAACTCTGCATTCAGGGACTCCCCTGGGTTCCTTGCAGTTGCCCATGATGGAAATATTGACTCCATAGAAATGACCAAGTGCTTCAAATCAGGAGTTTTCCTGTGAGAGCCTGTTGTTAGCCATCTGGCAGCACACCCCTTCTGAGACAGTGGGGTCCCACCTTCCTGCCAGAACTGACCCCACCATTGTGCTGTGAAACATGGCATTTCCTCTACCTCTTCCCCAGACAGTAACGTCCTTAAGTGCCCTGGCTCTAGAATCTCTATCTCCTCTACTCCACTGGCTCCCTTTATCCTGTCTATAAACATACCTGCTTTTCTCATCCTTCAAACAGACTGAGCAAATAAGATAAACCTTCTTTTCATTGGTTTGTAAATGCCTTGAGGGCAGGGCTGAGTCTTGTGCACTAGTGCATCCCTAGCTACTAGTAATTTCTGAAGTACAGTAAGTGCCCAGCAAATGTTGGGTGGGTGAAGCCAGTTAGTGCTTTTCATTTTTGTTTTCATTGTTTTTTTGGTTTTGTTTGTTTGTTGGTTGGTTTGTTTTGAGGAGTCTCACTCTGTCCCCCAGGCTGGAGTGCAGTGGTGCAATCTCAGCTTGCTGCAACCTCTGCCTCCTGGATTCAAGTGATTCTCTTGCCTCAGCCTTCTGAGTAGCTGGGATTGCAGGTGTCCACCACCATGCCCGGCTAATTTTTGTATTTTTAGTAGAGATAAGGTTTCACCATGTTGGCCAGGCTGGTCTTGAACTCCTGACTTAAAGTGCTGGGATTACATGCATGAGCCACTGCACCCTGTGGCATTAGTGCTTTTCTTTGAACTGCCACTCCCTCCCTAACTTTGTTGCTCAACTTCTTCTATGAGTAGCCTACATTGCCCTTTGCATATCCTCCCTGTTTTTAACTACTGAGCCATTTGGCTTAATGCTGTCAGGCTCCTACAACATTTTTAGAGGACAGCAAGAGGTTTTAAGTTGCCAAATCCAGGACCTGTTCTCAATGCGTATGGTTGGTTGAATGACTTTCTCCTGGACATGAATCTCTCTGCAGTTGCGACACTGAACTTTCCATCTTACTGAATGTCCTTCCTTGGCTTCCATGACTTAGATCTTTCCTAGTTTCCTCCTTATGCTCTGACTGCTCCTCCTTGTGTTCTTGGCTGTTTTCCTTTTCCTTCTCAGTCTGAAAATATTTCAGACACTGCCTTCAATCCTCTTCTGCCTCCCTAACTCCCACTTAGACTCTTTTGCCCCTTTCACCCCTGGACTTTCCAATAAAGAAAAAAGAGGAAGGATTGCAGAATTTCTGTTTTTAAAAAGCTCTCCAGCTGATTGTCATGCTCAACCAAGCTACACTCTGGCATTAAGGATCAAGCAAGGCAATGGGGGAGTTGGCATTTGTGATTTTTTTCTTTACAACTCTGTCTCTCTCACTAGGCTCTGAACTCATTGGCAAAGCCCAACCCTAGTTAGTGTTTAGCTCAGTGCTTGGCACATGGAGGGAACTCAGTGCGTATGGATGGATGGATAGATGGATGGATGAATACATGGATGGATGGGTGGATGGATGGATGAATACATGGATGATGGATGGATGAATACATGGATGGATAGATGAATGAATACATGAATACATGGATGGATGGATGGATGGATGGATGGATGGATGAACAATTGTATGAATGAATGGATTTGAAGGGCAGGTTGAATTTAGATCATGGAAGAAGACAACATTATCAGTGAAATCATCCCTTAATTATAGAGACAAATCATTCAACATTTCTGAGTTCATACTCTGTGCCTTGTGGGACATACAGGTGAAAGACTCTTTCCCTGCAGCGTGCTTCCTTGGAGAACACTTCCCTTCTTTCCTCTCCTCATCTATTTCCTCCACCTTTCCTGCTCTCCTCCCCATTCCCACTTACTGAAATGCTAAGTGCCCATCAACTGCTCTGTTGCTGCATCTTTGGTACCTCTCTTGTGACCCTCACCACATTATGCCTCCACTCAGTAATTTAATTTAAAGTATAACCTCTCATCATAGCCTTTGTTTATTGAGGGGAGGTTCCATGCCACCTCCAGTACCTGGACACTCAACATGTGGATAGACTGAGATAGGCCACTTATCATGGTAATAGTTATTTACTAATTCTTAGATACGGTGTTGTAAGTATGGAGATCTATGAGCTGAGCTAATTTCCAGCAGATCATTTTATTTTAAAATTAGAACTGAAGAGCATACTCAGCGTGTCTGCGTGACTATGGATACAGATGGTAAAAGAGCTGAAAGCGACTTTTTTGAACATGGCTACTAGAGTGTATGGGATACTTTTGCTGCCAGTAATAACAATAACAACAAAAATGACCCCAATTCAAAATGGTTTAGTTAACAAGGAAAATGCATTTGATGTGCCTAGCTGCCCTGCCATGAGATGCCTTCAGAGTTGGTTTATACTCTTCCCTACCATAGGTAGAAACACAAGGACTTCCCTCCTTTCCCCCAGATATCCACAGCACATTGGTTTTATCCTCAGGTGACCTCTTCTCATGGTCCTGGGATGGCTCTCACAGTTCCAAGTGCCACACAGACAGGACTACTACTCTATGGCCTTTCTTCATCAGCCAACACTTTTCCTAGAAGTCCTCTAGCTCGCTTCCCCGAGTGTTAGACTGACCAGAATTATATCATGTGCCCTTCCCTAAACCAATCCGTGGTGAGAAGAGATGGTGCCCAGTGATAGGATTTACACTGGTGTTGGGGCTGGTCATCCTCCGTGGGTCATGTGGGGGCAGGCAGAACACCCAAGCAAAATTATGTTTCCTTCCATAAGGGAGGAAGGGCAGCCAGTTACGTCTGCTGCCATTGCCACCTGTGTGTGGCTATACATGGAAAAAGCAGGCTGCTCTGTGGCTGTGTTCACCATAACTGTGGGGATGGACGGCTGCTGCTGCTCTGTCCTTGGCATTGCTGGTGGGAGTGGAGCCTTCTCCCCAGGCTGCTGTCACGCACGTGGGGTCCAGGCTACTTCTTGGAGTGAGGGTAGCTTTTCTGGAGTTTTCTTTCTTCACAGTAGCCAGTTCCACCTATGGAATATTCACTGCTGCTTACACGTGGTGGCCAGGGAGATCTGTGCGTAGAGAATGGTTCTCTTGTCTAGTGTTTTGGGGAACAAGGTGGTCATTCATTCCTGAATTTAACAATGCCTTTGCTGGGCATGGTAGCTCACCCCTCTAATCCAAGCACTTTGGGAGGCTGAGAGAGGAGGATTGCTTGAGGCCAGGAGTTCGAGATTGGCCTGGACAAAATAGTGAGATCTCATGTCTCCAAAATTTTTTTTTTAAAAATTAGCCAGGCATGGTGGTGCATGACTCTTTTTCCTATAGTCTGAGCTAGTTGGGTGGCTGAGGTGGGAGGATCACTTGAGCCAGGGAGGGTCCAGGCTGCAGTGAGCTATTGACACCACTGCACACCAGCCTGGATGACAGAGAGAATCCTGTATCAAAACAAAGACAAAAACAGAAAGCAGTGCTTTGCATCTGTCCATCTGGACCATCAGCAACCCCTTCTCATTGAACTTGCACCACCTCTCTGGAGTCAGAGCCTCTTACTCACAGTTTTCAGATGAGCAAACTGAGGCTGAGGGAGGTTTTGTTGGCTGCTAGTGGGTCAGCATAAACTTGGGGCCCCAAGCTCAAGGTTCTTTCTGCCTCACCATGGCTGCTTTGACACCTTAAGCTTACCCTTCAGGTACTCAGATGTGTTCAGCTTTGGCCATTTCCAGTCCAGATTTCCTGATGATCTGGTGCCTTCTTCTACCTCCCCATACAGAACACAGAACCTGACTGAATACTGAATCCCAGGGGTCATGTGGTTTGTCCCACTGGCCAGGGGCAGGGCTTGGAGGGTGGTGGTGGTGGTGGGGGGTGTCTCTTCAGGTCATGTGACTCCTTGACCTTGGCTTTCTGCCGTTGCTGGACCAGGGGTGATTGAGCTGGGGTGAGCAGTTTGCACTCTTACCAATGTTCTCAAACGACTGTATTTTTGAGTTCTTGAGTCTGGTTTACATAATTTTCTGACTTTTTTGCTTTGATGAGGCCAGCTCACGCGGCTGGTAGTGTGCCTTTCTCTGGCAAAGCTTCTCTTCGTGGACTTCGTGACATCTTTTTGGATCCTTTGTGGCTTCTCAGCTGTGTTACACATAATTTACGTTGTCAGGTAAATGCTCTCAGGATAAATGAAATATTAATAACGCCATAATGCTAATTTAAAAATACCCATTGCACATATTTAAGAGAATCCTCTCTGGGCTTGACTCTGGGCTTTAAATCAGGCCCAACAATGTCTCAACCATAAATCAAATTATCCTTTCAGCCTAGTAGAGGTTTTGGCATAAAAACCTACTATAGAATAGCATAGTATAGGAAATCTTAGTTCACGCTTTTAAAACTTTTATTCCCTTTGCAGAAATTGGAAACCAAATACTCCTTTAACCACTTATCCATGCAAAACAGTTAACCAAGCAATAGTCAATATTGGCTTTTGGATTTGGGGAACATGTTTATTAACTCAAGATTTGCACAGCTTTGGCCGGGCGCCGTGGCTCACGCCTGTAATCCCAGCACTTTGGCCGAGGCGGGTGGATCACGAGGTCAGGAGATTGAGACCGTCCTGGCTAACACGATGAAACCCCGTCTCTACTAAAATACAAAAATTAGCCGGGTGTGGTGGCGGGCGCCTGTAATCCCAGCTACTCGGGAGGCTGAGGCAGGAGAATGGTGTGAACCTGGGAGGCGGAGGTTGCAGTGAGCCAAGATCGTGCCACTGCACTCCAGCCTGGGCGACAGAGCGAGACTCCGTCTCAAAAAAAAAAAAAAAAGATTTGCACAGCTTTGCAAAGCATGATCTACTGCACCGTCCCCCTCCCCCATCCCCTTGAACATCAGGCTGCCGAGCAGGGAAGGCCAGCTCCTTGGGCCCATGTATGACTGGATGGGAAAAGAATACATTACAGTGAAATAAATGCTTTAAAAGCATGTTTAGGATTATAAAATGATTATTCCTTAGTTTTCTCCCCTGATTATAAAGATGAATATTTTTGGTTTAGAAAATTTGGAAAATACACAAAACTATAAAGAAGGAAATAGGAGTTCAACTTTTCAGATGCTATGTATAAGTGAGAGGATGCAGTATGTGTCTTTCTGTGCCTGGCTTATTTCATTTAGCATAAAGTTCTCCAGGTTTGTTCATGTTGTCACAAATGACAGGATTTCTCTTCTAAATGCTGAATAGTGTTCCATTGTGTATGTGCACCACTTTTCTTTATGGGCGTTTATGTTGATGGACACTTAGGTTGATGCCATACCTTGTCTGTTGTGAATAATGCTGTAATGAATTTGGGAGGGCTGGTACCTCTTTGACATACCGATTTCATTTTCCATTTTCTTTGGATCTATCTCCAGAGTGGGATTGCCAGCAATCATGTAGTATTTTGATTTGTAATACATACCAAATTGAGTTGTAGTACATTTGTAAAACATATAGTATTTTGTTTTGTAATTGATCTTTGTGTTTTTGAGGAACCTCCATCCTGTTTTCCATAATGACTGTACTGATCTACGTTCCCACCAACGGTGGGCAAGAGTTCCCTTTTTCCACATCCCCACCAACACTTGTCTTTTTGATAATGGCCATTCTAACAGGTGTGAGATGACACTCATCATGATTTCGATTTGCATTTCCTTGATGATTAGTGATGTTGAGCGTAGGGGAACTGGGGAGATGTTGGTCAAAGGACACAAAATTTCAGTTAGACAGGAGGAGTAATTTCAAGAGATCTGTGACTTGAACTTGAATAGACCTATGATCTATTGACTGTAGTTAATAACAATGCATTATATTCTTGAAAATCACTAAGAGTAGATTTCAAGTGTTCGCACCACAAAAAAATAAGTATGTGAGGTAATGCAGATGTTAATTAGCTTACTTTAGCCATTCCAACATGTATATATATATATATATATATATATATATATATATATATATATATATATATATATATATTTCAAAACATAATGTTGTACACGGTAAATATATATTACTTTTATTAGTTGGTTTAAAAAATAAATAATTTTAAAAATATTTTAAAAAGAGGAAAATAAGAACTCCTATTTCACACTGGAAAGCCAAAGACCATGACTGTTAACCATTTTGATAACTTTTCTCAGGTCATCCTCTTTCCTTTCCTGCCTTCCCTCTTTTATTTCATCCACTTATTTTTTTTTCTTTGTGCAATATTGGGATGATATTATGTACGTGGTTTAGTACCCTGATTTTTTTCCCCCAGTAATGTGTTTTATTTTCTGTATCACAACAAATGCTTTTCTGTGACATCTGGGCAATTTGCCTCTATGCATAGGTTTCGAAGACTTCAGGTGGAGTTGGCTGGGGGCTTCCTAAGTAGAGTGGGAATGTCAACTGGCCTGTGGAACCATTTAGAAATAATTCTGCCCATTACAAATATTGATTTGATGCAGTGCTTAAGATGTTTTCTAATTTAAAAATATTTTCAACGGAAACAGATGCCATTTACAATTTCTCATGTTGTAAGGATTCTACTAAATATATTATTTGGGGATTGAATATTTTACTTGGAAAGTTGTGTAAGAAATTCCTGTATCTAAAAAAAAAAAAAAAAAAAAAAAAAAGAAGAGAGAGAGGGACTGGATTTTGGAGCCGTGCTACAGGCATATTGTAAGAAAGATTTTTTTCTTTCTATCTTTTTAGCTAGTTAGTGTTCTAAGATTTTAAAAAATACAGATCCTCCTAGCATTTACAAAGTAAAAGGGTTGTTTCTTTTCTGGGACTATGACAATTGCTTAATTACAGTTCTCGGGATGTTTTCTAAATTCTAAATCCCACTACCCTGTTCTGAGCAGCAGAAAGTGCTAACAGAATGATCTAGGGAAGCCATTATTACCAAAGCTGGGGGCTATAAGGAAAAGAAAACATTTTCAAAATATTTTCTGTGCAAAAGCATCTGTGTGCTTCAGCATGCCAGTTAGGCTTGGCCTTGCTTTCACTCCCGATTTTTGCTTCATAATGCTGGGCTTCCCTCAGAGGAGAGGAATGTTGTCCCCTCTTTTTTTAAGGGGAAGGATTTAAGTTCTTTCCCCTTTTAGGATATTTTAAAATAATGTTTAAGAAATAGGTTTTGTCGGTACATGTACAGTTGATCCCTGGTATTAATATTTGAAAACAAAATAAGGTTTAATATTCTTCAACTTATATTCAGGTTATTCCAGGATCTTTGGAGACCCGAGGAAAGCCGTGTTGACCAAAAGCAAGACAAATGACTCACAGAGAAAAAAGATGGCAGAACCAAGGGCAACTAAAGGTAAAATGAACAGAACCCAAATAATCTTATGCTGCCTAGTCAGGACCCCTTTTAAAAAATGTGGATATGTAAATATTTTGTATCTTTCCTATTTGATTTTCATGGTTCCAAACCTCCACAGACCATTTCTGGATTCTTTGCTGTACTTGGATGAATTATGTTGGTTCTACATGACACCCTTGACTTCCCTGAGATAAGATGCCCCATTGCCCAGCACTGCCTGTTCCTGGCCCTACAGTGTGGAGATTTTAGAATTACTGCCTTCTCAGTTCTATAGTCTTCACAGCCCCTCTTTTCTCCATCACTGTCTACTCTCTTCTCCCTTTTCCAGAGGAACCAGAAGCTAGGTGTCTACAGACTGGTGCTTTTACGATATTTCCATTTTTCTATCATACTACTACATTTGGCTTACAGTCATTTTGTGGTTATTTCACCTGAATGCAATTGAAACCTTCTTTCAAGGGGCACACCCAGGCAGTGAATCTTTGTATTCACAAAACATGCCAAAAAATAAAAATAAAATCCAGTTGAAGAAGGAGAGGGTCAGCTCCCTCTCTCTAAGGCATGCCCATGAGGCCAGCTGGAATGCTAGGGCTCCCCTGGAGAAGCACCGCAGGGATCAAGGTTATGGGGGTGCTCACATGACACTCATGCAGGCCGCAGAATGTATGAGTCCCTCCCTTGCCAGAATGAAGCCAGGGTCGATCAGTGGAAGGAATAGTAGTCCATGGAGCCTGAGACATGCCTTGACCAGGGTCAGAGTTCAGTGAGAAATGGTACAATTAAAATGGATGTGGCTCTTGAGGCCATGCCCTGACTGTGAGGCCTCTAATCTGCATTAGTTAAGTGACTTTCGTAAGTCCCTCCATAGAGGTGATTTCCTTTCCCAGTGCTGTTGTAACAAACTGCCATGAACTGGGTAGCTTAAAACAACAGAAATTCATCATCTCACCGTTCCGGAGGCTGGATGTCCAAGATCAAGGTGTCAGCCCAAGTGGTTCCCTCTGAGGGCTTTGAGGAAAATCTGTTCCAGGCCTCTTTTGTCTTTTCCCTGTGTCTTCACACCATCGTCCTTCTATACAGGTCTGTCTTTAAATCTTGTCCCTTTTTTTGTAAGTGGATCAGTCACATTGGGTTAGGTCACTAATGACCTCACTTTAATTTGATTGCCTCTGTAAAGGCCCTACCTCTCTATCATCACATCCCGAGGGACCGGGGGTTAGTACTCCAGTGCATGAACTGGGGGAGAGAATTGATACAATTCAACCCATAGCTATAAGTATTTTTATTCATTTGGAAAGATGAGCCATTTCCTACTGAAGAAGTCCATTTTCTTATTTTTAGATAAATGTGGGAGATGCATTCAGTTTCTCATGCTGTCTTCTGTCTCCCGCTGGTATTCCCTGCTTAGCTTTGGAGTGCAGGAGCCAGGGCTGGACTGGGTTAAGGTGACTGGGGCACAGGATTTCGGGCGGTGCTCCCCTTTAGGTACTGATCCTGCACTTGCATGAGCCTGAGAGGGAGAGCCTCCTTAAATCATGGGCCCTATGTTTCTCCCTGCCTCCTTCTTCCTGCCCCATAAGGGAGGCCTCTGCCCCAGTCAGGGGCCTGGTGTGCTTGGCAGGAATCAGGCCTGTGCAGTTCTTATGGCAGGGTTTGCTGGTGAAAGACTGATTTGCCTAATATCTGCTCATCCAGGACAAGTGCACCCAGCGACCAATGCTTTCAAGGAATGGATTCATTCCTATGAATACTAAATTGCTTAGAGCCATTTTGCCTACAATGTTTTCACTTAATGACTAGTTATCTTAAAACTAAAAAATACATTTCTAAATTAAGGATGTTTTTAGTCAGTTGACAAAGGGCTCTTATGAAAATTAGCAATTTATTTATTGAGGATTATTTTTCCTAAAAAGTTGCAACATTTTAATTAGCCAGCCATGGTAGCACGTGCCTGTAATCCCAGCTGCTCGGGAGGCTGAGGCAGGAGAATCAGTGGAACCCGGGAGGTGGAGGTTGCAGTGAGCCAAGATTGCGCCACTGCGCTCCAGCCTGGGCGACAGAGCAAGACTCCGTCTCAAAAAAAAAAAAGTTGCAACATTTTATACAGTATCAAAATCGTCCATTTGAAATATTTTTACTTTCTTAATTATAATGATTACCACTTGTTTAGTGTTGATTATGTGCCTAGCCTTGAGAGAGTTTTCTTTCTGAGGCATAATTTAGTTTAATCCTCACAAAAGCCTGATGGTGTAGACAGAGGAGATAATCAAACAATGGTTCAACTTGCATACTGACCAGTTAGAATAGATACAGGCCAACTCTTGCACTGACACCTTTGTGAATTGCTGAACATCGTTTGGAGGTTTTACAAATTTTTTATTCATGTTTCCCAACACCAAATACATCATGTCTTCGCCAGTACCAACCAGTCATTCAACACTGATACCAACTGGGTGTCCAACAGTTCAATTCAGTTCTGACACTGACTACCGGAAGTTAGCACATGGGTTTAAGGGCTGAGCTCCCCAACACCGTCCTCACTTCAGATGCCAGTTACAAGTATTGGGTCCCCAGGTTACCTACACTCTGTCTGACATGGCTACAACATTGGGGGTTCCCACAACCCCCCTTTTAGGTGCAACAACTTGCTAGAACTCAGGAAAACGCTATGCTCTTATGATTACAGTTTATTATTAAGCATATGAATGAACAACCAGATGAAGAGGTGCACAGGGCAAGGTCTGGAAGGATTCCAAGTACAGGAGCCTCTGCCCTTTTTTTTTTTTTTTTTTTTTTGTGAGATGGAGTCTCGCTCTGTTGCCCAGGCTGGAGTGCAGTGGCACGATCTCGGCTCACTGCAACCTCCTCCTCCCGGGTTCACGCCATTCTCCTGCCTCAGCCTCCTGAGCAGCTGGGACTACAGGCGTCCACCACCACGCCCGGCTAATCTTTTGTATTTTCAGTAGAGATGGGGTTTCACCGTGTTAACCAGGATGGTCTCGATCTCCTGACCTCGTGATCCACCCTCCTCGGCCTCCCAAGGTGCTGGGATTACAGGCGTGAGCCACCGCGCCTGGCCGCCTCTGTCCCTTTAGCATTGGGTTGCACCACACTCTTCATACCAATATGCTCACCAGCCCAGAAGCTGTCCTAACCCCGTCAGGGTATTTTATGGAGATTTTGTTACATAGGCAGGATTGATTAAATCACTGGCCACTGGGGATCAACTCAATTTCTAGCTCCTCTCCTCTCCTGAGAGGTTGGGAAATGGGGCTGAAGGTTCTGAGCATCTAATCAAGACTCACTCTTTCTTGCAATTAGCCCCCATCCTGAAGCTATCTAGGGACTCACCAACCTGCTGCCTTCTTAGAACAAAAGATGCTCCCATCACTTGGGAAATTCCCAGAGTTTTAGGAGCTCCATGCCAGAAACGAGAGACAAGGGCAAATGGAGTTCTTATTATACTACAGTAATATTATCCTCATTGTGCAAATGTGTAACTAAGGCTCTTGGAGGATAAAGTGATCATTTATAGGTTTCCAAGGAGTAAGTGGCAGATCTGATTTCCATCCCTCATCTGGCTCTGCACTGTGCTCATATCGAGCACTGCCCCCAGCCCAGCGTCCTGCCTATGCCTTCTAGGCCCCATTCCTGCCCTCCCCAGCTGAACCCATCCCCATTCCAGGACATGCCCCAGGTGCTGGGGCACCCAGAGTGCCTTTCCAAACTTGACTGAGCATCTTTTGGGCTGCACCAGCCTGTTTCCTGGAGTTCATCTTCTTGGGAAGATCTTGTGTGTGTTTCCCTGGGTCTGAAAGATGAGCAGGGAGCATTGCTGAATGGAGTGTGGCCATGTGGATCGGGATGTCCACGTGACTATATGCATCCCCTAACCCGCAGAACACAATTGGGTTTGAGAAGAGAGGAGGGGTAGGGTCGAGGGGTCTCAAACTTCCATCTATTTTCTTGCACCAGCCCTGCAAATATTTAGGCCTTCTCTTAACCATTTTGCAATACTGCCTCCATAATTACAAAATGCTTATTTTCCCTTCTACCTTGGGTACCAGTCCATCTTTTTTATGTGGTTAGAGCTTACGTAATTCAAATCAAGTTTGTTTCTATTTAGTAAGACATTGGCATTTTGAAAACAAAAACAAAGAAGTGACACAAGTAGAATTCTGTTATTGTTAAGGCCTTTTTTGTTTCTTTAAGATACCCAATAATAAAATATAGCTGGGTCATGAAACACAAAATCATATGGAAGTATATACCTTAGCAAATGAGTTTATTGCAAGAAACAAGTATTAAAGAAATGATTTTCAATCAACATAGAGTGAAGTTCTGCAAGGGTTCAAAGGCAGGTAAAATAGAAAATAAAAAGGTTCCTACAGTGACATGAAACTATCACCAACTACTAAAAATTTTTAGTATGGTTTTAGTTTGTTTGGTTACCAACTACTACATATTTGAGAAATGACCATTAGGAACACAAAAGTAAATTAGAAGTACTCTTTAAAAAATCCATAAAATACCTCTGAAATGGTAAAAAAGAACAGGCACTCAAATGGCTGCAAAAAGAGTCAGAGAGGGCCAGGTGTGGTGGCTCACGCCTGTAATCCCAGCACTTTGGGAGGCCAACGTGGGTGGATCACGAGGTCAGGAGATCGAGACCATCTGGCCGACACGGTGAAACCCCGTCTCTACTAAAAATACAAAAAATTAGCCGGGCGTGGTGGCTCACGCCTGTAATCCCAGTGCTTTGGGAGGCCGAGGCGGGTGGATCAAGAGGTCAGGAGATCGATACCATCCTGGCTAACACGGTGAAATCCCGTCTCTACTAAAAATACAAAAAATTAGCCAGGCGTGGTGGTGGGCGGCTGTAGTCCCAGCTACTTGGGAGGCTGAGGCAGGAGAATGGTGTGAACCCGGGAGGCAGAGGTTGCAGTGAGCCGAGATCGTACCACTGCACTCCAGCCTGGGCAACAGAGAGAGACTCCGTCTCAAAAAAAAAAAAAGAGTCAGAGATCCGTGTGGGTTGAGGAGGCAGGGGAGGGTGGTTGAGCTTTTATTCTCCTGGTCTTTAGGTCCGTTGGGTTTTCGCTGAGCTGGTGTGGAGGGTGGCAGTGCCATCACGCTGCGTGCTGAGTGAATCCCTTTGGTGTGTGATCACTCTGGTGGTGGCGGTGTGAGAAGCTCATACGCCCTTGGTCTCTAATGTGGCAGAGCTGGGAGAAACTTAGGTTCCCTGCTTCATGCCTTTCACCCTCTTTCCTCCAGTCCTCATGCTTCTTGTTCATCAAGGCTCCTTGGTGGCACCCTCTTGTCTCTGCATGAATCAGCTCTCTCTTTCCTCTAGGTATATCCACACGCCTCACTGGGCACCTCCACTAACTGCCTGCTCTCAGGACTGACCGCTTCATATCTGTATGAAACAGATCTGTTTCCCATCTCGATCCCTCAAGGATCAGGACTGTGTTGCATCTGGAATCTCTATCTATTCCCTTCCCTGTCATTTTATACTTGATGCAACCTGAGTACTCAAAACTTCCCCATAAGAAACAAGAGACTCAAACAGTTGCTCATTTAGTTTATGTCTTGGTTGGTTACAGACCGAGTGGCTGCTGTAACTTCTATGATGTTGCTGCGGTCTTGGATATCCAAGGATGTTTTGATTTTTGGAATCCAGGGGAGGCTGGCAGGGCATCATGTGAAGTGAGAATTCAGTTGCTCCTGGGAAGGGCTCTGGGAATCCCATGGAGGCTTCTGGTGGAGGTTTCTTGGTTATCCTTCAGTTTCCAAACCCATTTTGAGGGCAGGATTAGGGTTTGAGATCATGTCTCGTAGGTGAGTGGAAATATTATGTCTCTGTGTTGGGATGAAGTGGCTTCCTTTGAAATGCCCTGTTTGAGTCTCCTTTTATCACTGGCTAGAAAAATTTTAACGAAGATCTCGGTAATCTGATTGTACATTGCAAAGTGTATGTCAGTAATCTATTGTCACAAAAATGCTGTGTAACAAATTCCCCAAATTTCAGTGGCTTCAAGCAGTAAGCACTTATTCAGCCATGAGCCTGTGGGTTGGCCATTCTGGTTGGACTTGGCTAGCGGCTGGTCTGGTTGCCTCCCTCCCATGTCTGGGGTTTTGGTTGTCTATGGGATGATCAAACGTAGTCTTGGTGGGGTGATTGGGGTGGGTGACTCTGCCTCAGGTACCTCTCATCCTCCCGCATGCATCTGGCCATGTTCCCATGCTGGTGGAAAGTTACAGAAAAGCAAAGGGGAACATGTCCTGCCTCCTGAGGCTTCAGCTAGGATCTGTCATACTTGTCTTTCTGCTACTGCCTGTTGGCTGAAGCAGATCATATAGGCCGCCCAAAAATAAGGGTTGGGAAGTAATTCTACCTCTTTAATGGGAAGAATCACAAAGTTATGTGGCAAAAAGCATGGGTACAGGAGGAGTTGAGTGTTGGAACCATCTTTGTACTTATCCATAGTGACAGTGAAACAAGCTATTTACCCTCTATCTTCTCCGTGCCTCTAGAGCACTTACAGGGTGTTTCAATGACCTGTGTGTGTAATAAACTACCCCAAATCCTAGCAGCTTAGTACAACAACCCATTTATTATTGGTCATGATTCTGTGGGCTGACTGGACTCAGCTGGAAGCTGCCTCCCTGATGTCGGCAGGGGCCGTGGTCATCTGAGAGTCAGTTCTCTGGACTGTCCAGGACAACTCCCTCCCGGGCCTGGCGTTGGTGCTGGCTGCCCCACTGGGCACTCGGTCCTCTGCCATGTGCTGTGCTGCTGAGGGTATGGGGACTTGGTTTCAGGAGGCAGGAAGGGGAAGCTCCCACTTCCATAAAGGCCTGAGCCTGGGACTCCTGAAACCTTCCCTCTGCTGTGTTCTGCAGGTCAGAGGCAGCCACAGGTCAGCCTGGGTTTGAGGGGAGGGGGACGAGCTTCAGTCCCTGGTGTGAGCGTCAGCATGTGTGTGCAGGCAGGGAGGAACTGTGCGGAGTGAACTAGTCCAGAGAGAATGTCCAGACATACGGAAATAGCCATGTGCTCCCCAGAGCAGGGTTGTGCAGTGGGACGCCCTCCCTTTGTGAGGATGGCTTGCAGACGCTCCCCTTCCGGGCTGAATGACCCCAGGAGCAGAGTGGTGTTTTCCTGTGGCACCTGCTGCTCTTAGGATAAGGGGAGTTGAGGATTCCTATGCTCCCAGAAACCTTCAGCCAGGCCCCATCCTCTCCCAGCCTCTTCTCCCACGAGAGCACCAGGAGCCTGGTCACCTTCATCTGCTTCCCGGTTCAATTTCAGGACTGCACTTCACTCCCTCTGTACTTTCAGTAACTCTCATCCCCCAGAGGGACTTTAGGCCTGGGGGTGGGGGTGGGGGGAAGTACATATTTTCCAAGACCTAGAAATTTGGTTATAGAAAAAAAATGCCTAAGGTTCCCAGCATGTCATCTTCTTGGTGAGCCAAGCTCCGCCAATCTTGGGAGGCCTCCAGGGAGACTGAAGACAGATGTGGAGCATGCAGATCTGGAGGTAGATGCTCTTCATGAGAGGCAATTGGGTTGGAATGGGTGTGCCTGTACCGTGAGAGGTCAGAAAGGACAGATGTGAATGTGGGGAGGACTCCTGTGAATGCTTTCACTTGTCACTACAGTAATGCGCTCAGTAGCAAATTTGAAAGACAGCCTTCGAAAATGTCTCAAGTTCTGTAATCATATTGTTTATTTTTATTTTGCATTTGTTACTGCAAAGAGCCATTGTAAAGGAGAAAACAAACAAAAAACTACAGGTGATAAAAAGCAAGTGATGGCTTCTAAAAATGTAAACTAAAAAAGGCATTTTTAGTGCCAAAAAAGAACTGATGGCTTGGCTGAGATCTGCAGAGCACCAGAGACTGGCTGGGGACCAGGTACTGGAGGCTGGAGCCTGGAAGGAGGGGCCCCATGACGGGAGAGGTCCCCCTAGAATCCAGCTGCAGTCAGAACCATAACCAAGCGCCCAGGGAGGTTGGGCGGCAGGTGTCGGTGGTGGGAAGGTGAGGGGAAGAGATACCCCTCTCCTCTCACCCCTGCTCTCCAGAGGGGGCCACGTCAACCAACCCTGACAGGTGGCCAGGAGGCAAGGCACCCTGCTGAGCCCATCTGTAGAGGTCAGCCCTGGGGCCTGTGACAGCAAAGGGAGGTTGGAGACTGGCTCGGTGGAAGGGGAGGGCACAGACAGTGGTCAGAACATGCTGCTTTATAATTTGAATAAAGGAATATATTGGATGAAGTATTTATTTCTGGAAAATTCCTGGATTATAGGCATCTTTAAATTTAATTTATTTAAGCGGTGTTTTAAAATGTCCCTTCAAAATGTGGGTTGATACCTGCTAATTAAGTCAAACCAAATTTTTTTTGGGCTCTGGAGTCAGATAGCCTAATCTGATTTGAAGTTTGGTTCTGTCGCTTATTAACCAGGTGATCCTGGACAAATCAGTAACCTTTATGAGTCTTGACGTCCACAGCTGGACAATGGGAATGACAGCTCTCAGAGTCGTGGTTGGAATGAAATGAGAAAATGTGTGTGGAGCCCTTAGCGCTCAAGGAACTGGCGCTGAAGTACTCAATGAATGGTAGCTGTGCTGTTTACTAAGAACTTAATAACAAAGCTGAAAAGGATGTGCAGATCGCATGAGTTTTGGTGGGATTTCAAAGTCCTGTTTTCTCAGTATGATAGAGAAGTATGCCCTGTTTTAGTCCCACGTCTTCCTTTAATGGATCCCTCATTAGATGCTGCCCACGTGGAAGGATGTGTGGATGCTGCATGTGATGTGGGTTAGCTTGAGCTAGATTCTTCTGTCCTGTCGGACTAGGGTTCTCTTGGGCTCATTGTAAGTGATTTTCCCAATGGAAGGGAAGTGAGTTATCTAGTCACCTCATGGACCACACGTACCTAGAGGATGCCTTTAGGCAAACATGTTTAATGTAAAGCTATGATTCTTTTGCCATTGGTGAATTGTGTCCTGTCCTGCTAGAACATAAAACACAGAAATGCAGTTGTTTATTATTATGTATGTTGTTCCTTTTGTCTTCTAGCCGTCAGGTTCTGAACAGCTGGTAGATGGGCTGGCTTACTGAAGGACATGATTCAGACTGTCCCGGACCCAGCAGCTCATATCAAGGTAAGTCCCGTCTTGGCTGGGAAGCCAGCTCTGCCTTCCTCTGTGCCTAGGTTTTCATGGATAGCAGCCCACATATCAGTTAATTAGGGGTCAGTCAACACAGCCCAGGAGCTAAGAAAATGGTTTTTACTTTTTTAAATGGTTGAAAAATCAAAAGAAGCATATTTCGTAACACATGTAAATTGCATGAAATTTACATTTCAGTGTCCATAAAGAAAGCTTTATTGGAACACAGCCCCATGCATTCATTTCTATATCATCTGTGGCTGCCTTCACTCCATAATGGCACAGTTGAGTAGGTTCGACAAAGACCATATGGCCTGCCAGCTGAAAATATTTACTGTCTGGACCTTTTCAGAAAAAATTTTGCTGAGTTAATATATGAAATCACATCCAAATTCTTCTAACTCCTGTTATAATTCCATCTCCTTTATACTTGCCTGGGGTTAGCGAGCAGGAGACAAGTAGGTGAATGATTGGATTTCCGATGTTGGAACGTTGTTTTATCTGGGCTCGCCGACACTCAGCGCTCCATCACCTCACACCTGCCCTGGCTGCTTTCTGACCTGCACTTCCTGAGGCTCTGGAGGTGAGAGGGTGAGGAAGTGCGACTTGTGCCAAGGGAGGTCCCTGAGAGGACTCTGGCCATTTATTTTGACACTACACATACATGTGGGTAATAGCTACAGGGAGGAAATGAGATGGTAGTTTTCATATATTTGACAAAAATAAAGACTGCAGAAAAAATTGGGGCTTAAGCTACCTTATCCAAACAGGCTGTCTACACCTGTGCTGGTTAGTTCAACTATATCTATGCTGGCCAAAGTAATTGACTGCATGGCCAGTTCTTCACTTTCCCCATACTAATTCATTTTCCCTAAGTGGTGTGGTTGGTTTTACTAATGTATATTCCTTGCCTAAAACATTAATTGAAAATGGGAAGGGCTTATAATTGAAAGCAAAGTTTGTGATATTGAAAAGTGTACCTTTTTGAATAAAATATAAAAAGCCTTTCAAAATCCCACACATACAATTACACATGGACGTACACACATTTTAAAACAATACATTTGGTGAGGCATTCTGGACCATGTGCAGCTCACATACACACACATTTACTTTTTTTGAAAATGGAATTGGAAGTAATAAGAGTTTCAATGCATTCCTTGAGCTTTGTGGGTGCTCCTTCACTTTCAGAGATTGTGGTAACTCTAGGGATGTCGAGGATTCTAAATTTTGCCCAAGGCCATAGAGGAGCAGATGCTTATGGGGACACTATAATTTGATTTCTGTGTGATGTTTTGTTGGGCTATGATGGTTGTGTTTATCAAAAAAAGTGCAAGTAGGAAATCTCTTGTGGATGTGATAAGGTTTCTTCGGAAGTGCTGGGAACATATTTGATCAGTGTGTCTGTGCTACACAAGTAAAGTGGGAGAAAGACTTTCTTTAATTTTTAGTGTCTGCTGACCATGAAGCTGCATGATGCAAAGAAAAGCTCATAGGGAAGTTGAGACAATAAATATCTTCTATAGTTCAGATTGTGAGGGACGGCAACTGAAATTCATTTTATTAGCATTCCACACCACCCCTCCAGGCAACCAGAAGGAAATGATGAAGTCAGCAAGAAAGTATTACAGGTTTTAAAAAGCTAATTCATAAAGGTGAAACAATCCCATACAAACCTGAAAACACCATCTTTGAAAATGTGTGTTGGTAGAAACGTTCTATATTTGATTTCAGGAATGAACTATGTTTTCGGCTCTGATTTATCTTATTATCTGAAGGGGTGACCTTCCCCTCCACAACTGTGGGTATTTCTAGTCAGGTGGGACGAGAGACTGAGAAAAGAAATAAGACACAGAGACAAAGTATAGAGAAACAACAGTGGGCTCAGGGGACCGGCGCTCAGCATACCAAGGACCTGCACCGGCACCGGCCTCTGAGTTCCCTCAGTTTTAATTGATTATTATTTTCATTATTTTAGCAAAAAGGAATGTAGTAGGAGAGCAGGGTGATAATAAGGAGAAGGTCAGCAAAAAACATGTGAGCAAAAGAATCTATGTCATAATTAAGTTCAAGGGAAGGTACTATGCCTGGATGTGCACATAGGCCAGATGTATGTTTCTCTCCACCCAAACATCTCAGCGGAGTAAAGAATAACAAAGCAGCATTGCTGTAAACATGTCTCACCTTCCACCATAGGGCGGTTTTTCTCTCATCTCAGAATTGAACAAATGTACAATTGGGTTTTATACTGAGACATTCAGTTCCCAGGGGCAGACAGGAGACAGTGGCCTTCCTCTATCTCAACTGCAAGAGGCTTTCCTCTTTTACTAATCCACCTCAGCACAGACCCTTTACGGGTGTCGGGCTGGGGGACAGTCAGGTCTTTCTCATCCCACGAGGCCATATTTCAGACTATCACATGGGAGAAACCTTGGACAATACCCCGCTTTCAAGGGCAGAGGTCCCTGCGGCTTTCCGCAGTGCATTGTGCCCCTGGTTTATTGAGGCTAGAGAATGGCGATGACTTTTACCAAGTATACTGCTTGTAAACATGTTAACAAGGCACGTCCTGCACAGCCCTAGATCCCTTACACATTGATTTTATACAACACATGTTTTTGTGAGCTCCAGGTTGGGTCAAAGTGGCTAGGGCAAAGTGGTTGGGGCAAAGCTACAAATTAACAACATCTCAGCAAAGCAATTGTTTAAAGTACAGGTCTTTTTCAAAATGGAGTCTCTTATGTCTTTCCTTTCTACATAGACACAGTAACAGTCAGATCTCTCTTTCTTTTCCCTACAATTATCATCATATTGGTTGATCGTATTGGTTAATGTCAATATATAATATCATCATCATATTGGTTGATGTCAATATATGAAATATAATTTTGAGAAATCATAACTGAGAGTTTTTAAAAAATAAATTTCAACTCACATGGCTTCTGTGTGTTTGGAGAGATGAACTGGCAATAAGAAGTGTGGTTGCTAATAGCTGATGTTGGCTGCGAGGTAGAATTGTGTTAAAGATATTTATTTCCTTTATAAACCTATCAAAATCCCACCAATTAGAATTCGAATAATTATTTTTGTAATTCTTTTTTCTGCATATGAAATTGGGGTTCTTGACAACAAAGTTGGGAGGATAATTTTCTTCCACTGATTCATTAAAATGCCTGATATGGGAGTTTTTGAAGTAAAATTTCATGTGCGAGAAGTTTCTTCTGGCTTTGGGCTGAGGAACGCTGCTATGATTTCTGGGAAGGAAGTTCTTTTTTTTTTTTTTTTTTTTTGATGGAGTCTCGCTTTGTTGCCCAGGCTGGAGTGCAGTGGCGCGATCTTGGCTTGCTGCAACCTCTGCCTCCTGGGTTCCCGCCATTCTCCTGCCTCAGCCTCCTGAGTAGCTGGGACTACAGGCACCTGCCACCACGCCTGGCTAATTTTTTGCATTTTTTTTTTTTTTTTTAGTAGAGACGGGGTTTCACCGTGTTAGCCAGGATGGTCTCAATCTCCTGACCTCGTGATCCACCTGCCTTGGCCTCCCAAAGTGCTGGGATTACAGGCGTGAGCCACCGCACCTGGCCGGAAGGAAGTTCTTATAAATGGCACATGAATGGTTCCTTTTGATGTATTAACATATATAGTGGAAGATTTTGTTTTTGGTTCATTGCTACTAAAATGTTTTTGTTATCTGAGAAGGACTTGAGTTTTCCACAGAAGTGGCTTAACACTGCAGGTGTGATTCCCGTGAAGACTCTGTGTCATCACAGTCCTGTCCGTAGGCTGTCCTGGAGGAGAGGAACATTCCTTTCATCTTAGAGAAATTCACTCTGCAAAATTTATGATGACTCTTTTCTGCCAGAACAAATGGCTTTTATCCTTTTATATGTTTAAGGAGCTGGAAACAATAAAAAAAGGAGGGGTGGTTGAAAACTATGGAATATAAAATATTCTTGATTTAAATAGTGCAAGAATTGTGGCAATTCATTTACAAACAAAATGAGCAGGCTGTTTATTTTAGCTGCTTCTCTGTCAGTGATAATAGTGACTGTCTTGAAGCATAATTTGATTTCCCTTTCTTTGCAGGCCGTTCCAGGTACCTTTTTTAAAAATTTTTTATTTATTATTTATTTTTATTTATTTTTTTTAAGACATAGTCTTGCTCTGTTGCCCAGGCTGGAGTGCAGTGGTATGATTATGGCTCACTGCAGCCTCTGCCTCCCAGGCTCAAGCGATCTTCCTGCCTCAACCTCCTGAGTAGCTGGGACTACAGGTGTGCACCGCTACACCCAGCTAATTTTTATTTTTTTTGTAGAGACAAGGTCTCACTATCTTGCCCAGGCTGGTCTCAAACTCTGGGCTCAAGCAATCCTCCCACCTCAGCCTCCCAAAATGCTGGGATTACAGGCATGACCAAGTACTTTTTTTATTACAGAAATTATACTAACTACCATATCATGCACATCTACTCTTAGCATGTTAGGTGTGTATGAAGATACAACTCTCTGAAGGGGTGGAGCTGTCACAACCAAAGATGCACCCAGATGATTATCATCAGCCGACAAAAAAAATAGCAAATCCATTTTCTTAGGATCCTATAAATATTTTTGTCATTAATTCTATTTCTGATAAAGCATTTTTAAATTCACATGATTGCATTTCCTAAAAAGAGTTCTGTCTCTATAATATTTTCATTTACTAACATTTGCTGAAGAGGACTAACTAATTGCCTTTGTTGTTCACCAGCTAATCATATAGAATAATACACATTTTGGAGCCGATGGAATGAGGACTGGACTGAGAGGGGAACCATCTGTATATTAGTTCTGCTCCGTGGTCGCCAGCTGTGAATCCCAGAGATGCTAGTCATGAAAATTCTCTGAGCTTTGCATTCTTATCCAGTTTCATGTCGTGGATAAGAACACATTCTGGCTCAATTCAAATCCTGCTCTGATGTTTACTAACTTGGTGATTTTGTACAAGTTCCTTAGTTTCTTTGTGCCTTGGTCTCATTTTATATGAAACGGAAGCATCTGTTTTGCAGGGTTCGTGGGAGATTAAACGAGTTAGTACATTTAGACCCCACTGAGTACTAAACAATTGTGAGCTATCACTGTGATCTATAAAATGAGGGTGGCGTACCCATCTTAAAGATAAAACATCATCCTGTCTCTGATACCTATGGAGCAACATGAGCATGTTTTACAAAACACTGAGTGGAGTGAAAAATACAGAAAACAGAACGCGCTTTGTAGCACATGCTACTTACATACATAAAAAAGTTATATACTCCTCAAGCAACATCACAGGGTTTTCCAGGGTACATACATACCTAACCATATAGATCACATTGGAGTGGGTGCTTGCCTGTGTGGCACATGCTGGCTAGTTGCTTTGAGAAGTGGTTGGGGATAAGGGAAAAAATAATCATATGCAAATAAAACAAGTTAATAACAGTGATGTTTTTATGTGGCACAGTGGGTCCTCCATGCTGGCAGGAGCATGAGTTTGTACAAGCACTTTTGTATTGGCTTGGTGTTACCTAGTAAAGCTGAAGATGTGCCTAGCCTGTGATCCAGCAGTCTCACCCTGGGTCTGTATTCCCTTGTACCTGAGCACCAGGAGGTATGTATGAGCAAAAACAGAACAACCCAAGTGTCCATCTACAGAAAAGTGGATACATAAACCTATTGTACTCCACCAATGGAGTACTATACAGCAGTGAAAAATAAACTCCAAGTGTCTATCTGTAGCCATGTATCAGTGTGGATGGTTCTCATATGTGAGTAGAAAAAAGTCACAGATTACATACAATATGATTCCACAAATAAAGATTAAAAAGAGGCAACATTAAAAAGCATATTATTCAGAGAAACGTAATATGTGTTGAAAAGAAAAATAAGGAAAAAAAACCACATAACTCAGCATTGGAATTACCTTGTCAGGGAGGGGAGAGTTTTAGGGGAAAGGCATAAGGGGCTTCTGAGGTCCTGGGGCTGACTGTTGTGGACTAGGGAGTACCTGCAAAGGTGTTTGCTTCTTATTCTTTAAATTGCACAAATAGATTATATATCCTGTTTTGTGTGTACTATTTGCAACAAAAATACCAAAAGAAGAGAGAGGAAAAATTAGGTGGCTCATAGTGAAGTCAGTCTTGAGAGGAAGGTACTTTCTAGTTGTAAAACTCATTGTACTTTAGCAAATCATCACATTAGAGATCACTTGGTCTGATGCTGTTCTAGCTGCAAGGAAAGGTGGGAGCTACTGCTGGTCAAGTGACTTCCTTGAAGCTCAGGCTGTGCCTGTTCCAAAGCTGGGCACGGGCCGTTTCCAAGTTGAGTGTGTCCTCCTGCCTTGGCTTTGTGAGTTTTTCCACCGCACCCTTTTGCGATGAGGAATGATTTGGAGACTGCTTCTGACTTGGGCTCGTTTATTCATTCAACAAACATTTAGCAAACCTTCCATGTACCCCACTGGGGGTGGGGGGGGAGGGAGAGAAGGGATCAAAAAGACACAGCATCTGCCACTCAGGGCATGGGTCACCTGTTCTCAAACACTTCGGGCACAGCGAAGCTGCTAGAGAGGGACAGGGGAGCTGCTGCTGGGGTCTGGGCAGGATCTCAGGGGGGCTGCCTGTAGTCTGCACCTTCACCTGCTCCACTGGCTCACCCCCTATCACCCCTGTGTCCTGCCGACAGCATCTATGTTCAGCAGCCGCTGCTTCTGCCTGTAAGCCTCCTGGCAGAGGATCTTCCTGGGATCACACCTTGCTGTCTCTTCCAGGTGAAGCAGGCAGGTGACCCTCGGGTGCTTGATGAGGCTGGGGGTTCATAGGTCCACTCACCTGTAGCAGGCGAGTACAGATGCCTGAAGTTGGACCCTCCATCGACACGTCCTCTGTCCTCCAGCTCATGAAGGGTGTCCAGGCTCAATTCAGCTAAGCTAATCACTAGATACTGCTCCGTAAGATTTTGTGTGAGGATCAGGCACCAACAATGGATGACAGGGGAAACAAAGTCACTGTTCAGGTTTCTAGTTGCTGTTCACATGTGGGGAAGGACTAAAAACCCAGCTTACCCAGGATTTGTTTGTAATTAGGATTTTCACCCCTTGGCTTCCTTTTCCCTTTGGCTTTTATACTTTTGCTCATTTTTATGAGTGTGCTGGGGCCAGATGATCTCAGTGTGAAGCTTGGCTCCACCTGTTACTAGCTGCCTCAGTTTCCTCAGCTGTAAAATGGGAATGAAATAGTGCATCTACCCCATAGAATCACGAGGAATAAATTAGCTAATGAGTTTAGAGCATTCAAAGCGGTGCCTGGCACTCAGTGAGACTTATTATCACATCACATTACGTATTGTCAATATAATAATATGCACACCATGTTAATTATATAACATTAATATTTTTAAACAATATAGCATATTATTAATCTATAATGTTGTATACTAGCATACTGGTGCATATAGCAGTGGAAGGGGAGATACTGTTACATATAGCAGTGGAAGGGGAGATACTGTTACATATAGCAGTGGAAGGAGAAAAGTAAGAAGGGGAAATCTTACGGAAAAAATTAAATTGACCCAGGGTCAGTACTTCCCAAGAAGTGAACTGAAGCACTTCTTTCCCACATTGTTCCACGGCTGCCGCTCTGGAAGTAACGCTAAATATTTCTGACCATAAAAGACGCTAAACTTAAACTCTGTGTCTGTTTCATAGACGGAAGAGTCTAAAACAGTTTCAGAAGTAGCAGCGTTCTGTGCGAGGTCACTGTGAAGCCTGAGAGCCCAGCAGATGAGCCGAGCTCTTTTCAATAACACGAAGCAGATGCAGAAAGCGCCCGAATCTGCCTTGCGAGGAAGGGATTAGGCGATGTCTCGGGGCTGGTGATGATTTATCCCATCGCTATGGCGAAGGGTGGATTTCACGATGGAGCCCCCACTGGCTGACAAAAGACTCATTGAGTTGTAAGCATTTCTCACAGTTTGCAAATCTGATTTATAGTAACTGTGCTTCACAGGAAGGTGAAAGTTTATCCTTTTGAGAATATACTCAAAAGAGACAGAGTTCCCCCGCCCCCAAAGTCTGTCTACTATGAAGCTGATGTAAGTCTTTGATATGCTGCCTATTTTTTCTCAATAAATCAGCTTTGATCAGTTTCCAGCCTGGTTAGCACATCCCGATGAGCCCTGTGACTTTGTGGCCGTGTATAGCTGCTTTTTCGTTTTTTGTACTTTCATTTTTCTGCAGGATGATGGCACAATTAAAATTTCTACAATGAGTACTTTTATAATCAGAAAAATAATATTGCTTTAAAATATCAAGATATTTAATATGGCACAATAATAGAGACCCTGCCTACAGATTTCTTTATGTGCGTGGTCTCGAGCTGGACTGTACCTTCTGTTTCTCCTTCTCACTGGGTTCCTGCACCCCTCAGGGTCGCCATGCTGGGCACCCTCCAGGGCCAGATTCCAATGCGGTGCTCAGTTCCTGTAGCCTTTGGAACGGTGTTCAGCATGTGTGCAGCAGGGTTTAGTGAAGTAGTGAAGTGTTCCCCAGACATGCTGCACAATCCCCCCCCCAGTCTGGCGATTCCTCGTTAAGATTCAGTGAGGCTGACATTCAGTAGGGGGCACCAACTTAATCAGGAAGTGTAAGAGGGGTTTGGAGGAGATTCACAATCACTTCCCAGGAGAATGGGTGGAAGTTGCGCATGGTTAGCCTAGACCCCCTCTGGGGCAGTTTCCCTGAGGAGTTGGTTAAAATGCAGATTCCTGGTATCTAAAGCTTCTTCTCCAGTAAGTTTGGGTTGGAGCCCAGGATGCTGCAGTTCAAGCACCTGAAGTGTTTCTGCGTATCTTGCTCAGATAATTGATAGTTATCAACAATTAACCTAGCCTTAGATAATCGATAAATATTTATAAAAGGAACCATGTTTTTTGTTTCTTTGTTTCTTCATTGAAGGCTGCTGTCTTTTGCGTGGCTTCTGTGAATATCCTAGTCACACCTCTAAGGGTTTAGAGAGCATTATTTGGCCTTGGGTTTCAAAACATCAGCAAGTCTCTTCGGCTCCACTATTTGGTGTCATAGAGCCCAGAAGAGAAGTGACACTTGTTGCTTCTTCCACCTTATAGGAAATTAACTTAGGAATCGGAGTCAATAATTTTGCTTAGGGTTAGCCCCCAGTAGTTGAGTGTTTTAGAGACATCAGCAAGGTTGGCATCACTGTCTCTGACTTAGCCCTGTCTGTGCAATTGGGGGTTGAGGATCATTATCCTCGTTGTAGGACTCAGTGTGGGGCCACTGTTGTGGGGGAAGCAGGAATTGGAGGGTACAGTGGTTCAGGACACTAAATTAGCATTTTCCCATGGGGACACCCAACTCTTTCTTACTAATGAATAGGAAGAAGTCCTACTTATTATGGGTTTTTGCTGGTTTAATCTTCACCTTCTTTTCCTTCTGTGTCTTCTTTACCTTCTGATCGCAAAATCCCATGGTGTATTGGTATGAAAGAATGATCATTGATACCAGATCACCCAATTCTGCCCATCTATACTTCTCCAGGAAGTATCTGAGAGCACTATTTTATCACATTCTATTGTGGTTTTTAATCTTTGCTGATTTGATGGGTGACAATGGAGTTTTATAGATGTTAGCACTTGGAAACTTGTGAGCTTGATCATCTCTTCATACTCTTCACACACTTATCAACAAGTTACGTTATCTCATTTGTGATATTTTTGGATCCAATTTCAATCTAATCATTCAGAATTGCTGGGCTACAGCATGAACTGAACAGATGATGTCCCCGCCTGCATGAAGCTTCCATTCCCGTGGCTGAGATAGAATGTGCTCAAGGGAATAGTTACAAATCAGGTGGTGCTGGTTGGTATTCTCCAGAACAAAGCAGGAGAAGCAAGAGACTGAGGAAGGGAGAGGTAGAATTTTACACGAAAGGTTAGGGAAGGTCATAGGGAGGAGGTGACATTCAAGCTGAGACCCGAAGGGAGTGGGAGCATGAGCCGTATGATCACACGGGGAAGAGTATTGCAGAGAGAGGGAACAGCATGTGCAAAGGCCCTTTGGCAGGAGCTCTCCTGGCACTTTCAAGTAACGGCAAGGAGACTGGGGGCTGGCGTGGAGTGAGGTTAAAGCTGCAGGATGTGAGTTGGAGGCATGCTGGTGAGGCTGTGTTGTAGACTTCTGTTAAGCAAGGATAAGGGCATTTCCATTTTATTTGGCACACTGCGGGAGGAGAACCATTGGAAGGTTCATAGCAGATGTGATCTGATTGAATTTTTTAAAGCTTTCTTGAAGTATAATTTACATTGGTTGAAGTTCTAAAAGAACCATGTTGGCTGTTGTGTGGGGAACAGTCTAGAGGGGGACCAAGAGTTGAAACAGGGAAGACCAATTAGGAGGCCATTGCCAGGCACCAGGCAGCGAAAGGGGAGGTAGTGAGAAATGATCAGACTGGGGATCTACTTTGAAGGTGGAAAAGACAGCATTTGCTGATGGATTAGATATGCAGTGTAGGAGAGTCAAGGATGACTTTAAAGATTTTGTTTGTAACTGGGTATATGATGGTGCCACCTACTCTAAAAGGGACATCTGCAAGAGGGGACAGTTGCAATGAGCAGGAAGTCAAAAGTGGGGTTTGGCTGTGTTGAGTTGGAGATGCCTGTTGGATATCCAAATTGTGATGTTGAGAGGTTGATATGAGTCTAGAGGTCATGTGAGAGATATATTTGTGATTCCTAAGCCTAAGGCTATCTGAGGCTGGGTGACTAGGTGAGATCACCTAGGGACCAAGATGCAGAAGAGCATTAGGGTTGAGCTTTGGGCCCCTCCAATGCATACAGGTTGGAAAGAGGAGGGGGAACTACAGAGGAGCTGAGAAGAGAAGCCAGTGGAGGTAGGAGAAGGGCTAAGAAACTGCTGTCTCGGTGAGATGAGGACTGAGGATTAGCCACAGGCTTTGGCCACCTGGACATCATTGTGACCTTCATATGAGTGATTTGCATGGGTGGACAAAAGCCACCTTGCAGTGAATATGAACAAAAAAAAAGAGAGAGAGAGAAGAAGTGCAGACAGCTTATATGCAAACAACTCTTTTGACATGATTTAGAAGGTGTAGTGAGTTTCTCAGCAATTTGTATACATTATATTTTAATGATAGTTCCCCTCAGCTATGTAATATTTGTTGTGCAGATTGTTTTTGATGATTATTCTACCTATTAATTTTTATGATGTTCCTTTTCCAACACCCCATGAGATAAACATTTTTCTTTGATCACATCAATTGATAATTCTTTTTATTTTTCCCTTAGCTTTTAACTTAGAAAATTTTATCTATTTTATTCTTCTTTTTACTTCTGTGTATTTACCAGTATTCTGTATAGCTTGTTTAATAGATATAAAAGAAAGTACATCTTATCGTAAAACCCACCGACAAAGTCATTCAGCATTCACAGGAGATAAGGCTTGTGGCATCCAATTCAGTTTCCTTCATCAGGATTTCTGGGTTCTGTGCAAAATGAACACAGCATCACTTTGCAGCAGTTTTTTTTTTTCTCTTAGTCCCCTCTGCAGGGTTGATAATAAAAATAGTTGATAATTAGCATGGACACAGTAATTGGAAAGGGGCATAAACCAATCAGAAAAGATTACAATTGGGAGCAACAGGTGTCCCTGTCACGTTGTACACCACTCTCTCCCGATACCTTACTCGCGAGTGAATTGGATTTCTGGCTCCATGCCTTTCTGGCCTTCTGAATTTTGCCTCTCTGTCCTCGGATCCTTGCTATTTGTCTCCTTGCCATTTTGGGGAAAAAGGAGGCATTTACTATGTAAGGATTATCTGTGTGCCTGTTTTATATGTTTGCTAGATTATAAATTACTTGAAGTGATCACATAATCATTTTTGCATCCTGCATTATACGTTATGTATGTAGCACATGCTTCACATATACGAGTTGACTGAATTGAATAAGCAATGGCAACAATGAAACAAGAGTGATTCAGGGACTTTGTTGTATTCTGGGGCAGAATTGAACATGTCGGTATTCACTTACTCTTTATTTTCTCTCCTTTCTAGGTATGATTGTAACCATACAACCAATTTATAGCAGAGAGGACGTGCTCTCACGGACCATGTGTCTGCGCTTTCATAGATACCTACAGACTTTATTTTTTAGAGCAGTTTTAGGTTCACAACAGACTTGAGCATATACCACAAGTGTTCTCATATAATTCCTGCCCCTATACATACATAGCTTCCACCACTATCAACATTTTCCCACATGGGTGGCTGACGTGTAACAAGGGCTGAACCTACATCAACACATCATTATCACCCAAAGTCCAGAGTTCTCATTAGGGTTATACTTTAATATAAACACCGTATACCCTTGGTGTTATATGTTCTGTGGGTTTGGACAAACAGGTGATGACACGGATCCACCATTATAATATCATACAGATTAGTTTCACTGCCCCTCAAATTCACTGAGCTGTGTCTGTTCATCCCTCCCGACCTCCTAGGCCCTGACAACCACTGATCTTTTTACATCTCCATAGTTTTGCCATTTCCAGACTGTCATATGGTTGGAATCATACACTATGTAGCCTTTTCAGATTTTCTTATCTGGTATAGTAATGTGCATTTAAGCTTCCTCCTCGTCTTTTCATGGCTTAGTAGCTCTTCTTAACTTTTTAAACCATAAAACTCTTTTAAAATTAGGTGAATACTATATATTTTCTCCCAGGAATAAGAACAAACACGCACACTTTTATATGCTCATGGATCTATTGCAGTCAATTCAGTACCTCCCCTCAACCCACCTCCCACACTCTCGGTCCTGCAGGAGCTGGGATACCAGGTCAGCCAGTCCCTGCAACCTCTTGAAGCAGTTGATGAAATTGAAAGTGAATTTTTCTTTGCACCTATCTTGCTAGAAACTGTGTTGCTCCTTGAGCTCAGTAGGATAGAAGTTCTTTGAACAAAGACAGTTTAAGAGGTGCATTATCGATTTAAATGTAGTTCAGATCACAGATACTCATTCTGTACTTTTGCATGCAGGAGGACGGCTTCTCAAACTTTAATACATCCATAAGTCACCTGGGGACCTTGCTAAGAGCAGATCCTAGTTCAGTAGGTCTAGGGCAGGCCTTGAGATTGTGCGCCACAAACTACCCCCAGGTGCTGCTGGTTCTGCTGGCCTGAGGACCAGCCTCTTTAAAGCCAGGCTGGAAAGCCCTGTTTTCCAAACTACAGGTCATGACCCATTTGTCTAAGTGAGTCAAGGCCAGTATTAACAAAAGGAAATGGGATGGAGTAAAGTGGAAACTATCAGGGCACATCACATACAGAAAGAAAAAGTATTATTTTTGAAGATTTTGTTTTAGTTATATATGTGCGTGTATGTATGCATGTGTATATATATATAATATCTACACACTGAGTTTTATAATAATCTACATTAGTTTGTACTCTGGATACATTCTGTGTAGCAAGAAACAAGGGTAGATGCACTACGTTGGTTTCGTTCTAAATAATAGTGAGCTTGCAGGCATAAAATTGCACATGTGTCTCCGTGGATTTTGCTGCTCAGATTCTGGTATCCAGATGTTGGGATTTTAACCAAGGCTGTAAATAGCAGAGAAAGTTTTTTTATTATTTTAAAGATCAAATTCCAAAATTCTGGTTGTGTTTTACTTAATTGAGAGTACATGTTACTTCTGAGAATGTACTTTAAAAAGTAAACAAATTTAACTGAAGCATGGCTATTAGTTAGTGATTCTTTGTAGATTTTCTGGAAAGTCTTGTTTGTTTGTATTAAACATTAACTCTGCTGTATGCTGTAAATACACTGCTAAGATCAATATTGAAAAACGAACAATAATACCAATTCATATGGACCTTCAAATTAGTCTTATAAAATTTTATGATATGGTATTATCCAGCCAACTGACTTTGAGACTGACAAAATATCTAACTTTAACCAGGTGATTCTTGCATTCTTTGTTTTAAAACCTCAAGTTTAAAATATCTTTATATTTACATTTAATTGTCATTAATCAAAAATATATGCCTAAAGTAACAGTCAAAAACAAGTCAATTTTTTCTGACTTGTGTTGTTTGAAAAAGCCCCCAGTTCAAATATTTACTTTCTGTTATTGTTTGAAAAAAAAAAAAAAAGGATTGTGTAGAATTTACCCATTTCATTGTGTGTTACAAAAGTGACCTAGAGCCTGCAGGTGTGACAAGGGGTGTTGGGTCATCTCCTTACCTGTCCAATTTCACCTTCAGGGCACAATGTCCTGCAAGAATTATATATAAAATAGACAATGTTGGCAATGAGCAAAGACATCAGGAAAGAAAACAGACCAAGAGGGAGAAGATATTTTTACCTGTGAATCATTTAAACAATATGCTGCTGTTCCTGTTCCTCAGTCTTTTATGATAATGGAAAACTAACATATATCCAATAAAAGGATTTAGAAAGACCTGTTACTTGATTCCTCAAACCTGAAATTAAAAACAAACGAACAACATAACCCTTAGGTTAGGTAAAACATACCATGTGAAGAAATGTGGCTCTGAATAAGAAAAAAAAGACATTAAAAAAAACCCCACATTTTATAGTATTAAAAAGTATGTGTTAGAAAACCTTTTGATTGATATTAATGCATGACATAAATCAACTGAAGGACTTATTATTCTTGCATCAATTAAAAGCATTTAGACTTACCTGAAAATCTGAAAGTAGCATGTTACATACAACCCTAATTATTGTGTGCCCTCATGTAAACAGCAACATTTGATGATCAGTTCACTCCATGAGGACCACAATTTGGGAAGCTTTCTCATTTCCTTTGAAATGGCTAAATAGCGTCATGGGTAATTGGAATTATATTAAATTTTATTTTCCAGAAAATGAGTCTTCATGTAGGGGCTTGGAAAGTCACTTTTTGCTGGTATTGGTTTTAGGAGTATTGTGTTAGTTAGGTTCCCTGGGAAGCAGATGTTGAGACGGAATTAGGAATGTTAGTGTTTTATTGGAGGGGGAAGGGGGCTGTGCCTGTGAAGGATAAAATGAGGATGAAGCAAGACTGGGCAGGGAGAGCCTCAGACCAGGTACAGATTTGATAGTTTGACCAACCCAACGGGGAGGTCTGGAGCAGAGCTTGCCTTTGGAGGGGCCCCGGGTTGGGCAGAAATGACCAGGCTCTAGTACCCTGCTGTGTCAGTGATTGGCTCAGGGCTGTCTGGGATGAGGCAGGGCCTGAGGTGTGAACAGCTGGAGGTTGTTCAGATGCATGCTAGATTCTTTCTTGAAGGGAGATCCTAGTGGGACACCTCTGGGGCTGCCATAGCATCTGTAGAAGCAGGAAAGGGATGTAGCTGGTTCCTTCTGAAGCTCCAGCAGGGTTATCATTTGCTTGACATTGTCACCCTCCTTGTCCTTTTTTGTTGTTGTTGCAAATTTCCCTTTTGCAAGACTACTTTCTGCTCAGAACTAAATGCCCTTCACTCACAAAATCTGTATAATTTTCATGACCTAAAATGGCTTCTGTCCTGAGTGCTTAGATGGGGTCATTTGCTGTTGGACAGTCCCACTACTGTCAAGTGCCACCATGATGGGAAATTGTAATGTTAAAGAAAAGATGAGGCCGGGTGTGGTGTCTCACGCCTATAATCCCAGCACTTTGGGAGACCAAGGTGGGTGGATCACCTGAGGTCAGGAGTTCGAGGCCAGCCTGACCAACATGGTGAAACCCCATCTCTACTAAAAATACAAAAAAATTAGCTGGGCGTGGTGGCGCATGCCTGTAATCCCAGCTACTTGGGAGACTGAGGCAGGAAATCACTTGAACCCGGGAGGCAGGGGGTGCAGTGAGCCAAGACCGTGCCATGGCACTCCAGCCTGGGCAACAAGAGCGAAACTCTGTCTCAAGAAAAAAAAATGATTATTAAAAAATTTGTTTTAGATTAATTTTATTGTTGGATGTTTCTTGGGCTTAGACCTTTAGATAAACCATTTTGACTCTATTTGTTATATTACCTGCCTCTACTGTTATTTAAGGTTGACGTTAAATTTCTTTCAGTGATTTTGTTAAAGTCTGTCATCAGTTAGTTAGACCTGAAATCTAAATGACTAAATCGTGCTGGCCATTATATCAACCTTTGTCCTCTAAAAATTTGGGTCCCAGAGTTGGTCTTTAATTCTGCCTGGGGCTCCATCTCAAAAAAAAAAAAAAAAAAAAAAAGGGAAATGGGATCCATGGAGAAGGATCTATTATTTTTTTTACCAAGTCCATTGCTGCCAAGTGGAAAGAACCCCCTCAGAATGGGTCATCAGCAGGCAGGTGTGTTCCAGGCTCTGCAATTCTCCCACTCCAACCTCCTGCTTCTGACAGATTTAAGGATTTTTGGACCAGAAAAAAAAGTACTTTGGGAGGATCCTCCTATGGATTTCCTTGTTCTGCTCCTGATCTCTCTGTGCCAGCCCATCAGCTAGGATTCATGGAGCAAGGTCTGTGGCTTCAATGCTGGGTGCTCTTTTGCTTTCATTGTGGGGTACTCACAGACACCCTCCAGCCTGAGGCACCGGTTCTGCCCTGTGCATGCAAAAGAGACTGTGTCTCCATATCGCCATCACTTCCCCTCTCCTTTCTTGCTATTGTTCTCTTTATATTCAAATTATGTAGTTGGTACTTTTAATGTTATTTTACATTTCCTTGCACCTTGATGAAAGACATTGTGTATTTCTCACCTTTTTCTGTGCTGATTTTTTATCTGCTCACAAATATTGCCTTTATGACTCCATTTCTCTTAAATGTGGCTTTTAAGTGTTTTTGGTTCATTTGTGGAAATCATTTACTCTTCCCTCAATTTGCGCTGTAACTGTCACCTCCGTGTGTTAAGTAAATCGGGGAGATTTCTTTATTTCTACATTTGGCTTTCCTTATTGATACGTGATAGGAAAGAAAGTAATTCCCAAGGAAGACTATCCCAGTATTGTAGGAATGTTGTGGCAACATTAAGCCCCACTCCATCTTGCATTTCCATACTTTTGCCATTTACTATTCAAAGATTTGGAGACTGATGGAAAACTATTTCTTGTTTGAGGCACACACACTAATGTTTGACTTTGGATGAGAAATTTTTGAATGTCCTTGGAAAAGTAGAATGCTGACAAGGACCTTGAGAGAAGGGACTGTGATTCACCCTGTCTTAAAGAATGAAACTTAAAACTATTACCAATATAATTTGTACCAATAATAGTACTCATCTTCTTATTACTTTAATCTCCTATTCAGTTTAAAGTTTCTTGCTAACCCCAGTGTTGACCTGTTTCAGGCTGGGAAATCTCAGTTTGGACAGAAGGTGTGGTTGGTCCCCTTTCTCCATGGTACATGTCCATTTCTCCTGCTGTCATCTCCTTGCCTCTTCTGTGCCCTTGAAATCAATGATGAGTTGAGTGAGGTTCACCAGACCAGGTTTGGGGCCACCCTCAGCAGATTCTGCCTTAATAGTCTGGTACCTCTTTTTTAGAATGAGGTCTCTGCCAAAACTGTAGGACCCCCCCCCAAAACTTAGCATCCTGATTTAGATCAAAGAAAAAAAGCAAAAGATGATAAAATTAAATATAAAATGCCAGTTGCCATAGGATATATAAAATGATAAAATAGTTCCAAATCATAAGTAATTTTTAAAAAGTTTTGTTCATTAGTTGAAGTGCAGGGAGAACACTTTGTACATCTTCCTAATCTCAGCTAATTCTGCATCTTTAGGAGCAAGAAGAAGGGTTAATATGCAGGTGATGCTGGGGTGCCCATCTTCATAGAACAGATGCCCCCAAAGTCATACCCAGAACATTCTAAGAGTCTTTTGAGAAATCCAGGGAAATCATCCACAGAACACATGGTTTTCCCCATGTGGTTAGGATTTTATCTTTACCTTTAAGAGGTTTTACATCTAAATTGTCACTCTTATTCTCATTGGTTAACGTTCTCAGAGTATAATGCCAAGACGTCTAAATTGTTAAAAACTTAACCTTTTAAAAAAACATACACATATATTAGTTTTTTTTCAAGCTAATATATGTTTGATCATTGATCCTCAGAGATTCCTACAAACCTCAGGTTGGTCCCAGAAGTCCGGGGGATGTCTTCTAAAAGTGGGTGACACAAAGACTTATGACTTGCAGCCTAGAGAAGCACTGTCTGAGTGAAGCCCAGGGGCCAACTGTGTAGCTTCTCAGCTGCTCTATGTCCTGGATCTTTCCATTTTATTCTAAAATAGTATATTGCAATATTGAAATTCAATATGGAAATATTTCCTTGTGGCTTTAAATAAACTTTTCAGGAATGCATATTAGCAACTAAAAATAGAGAAAGTCTCAAATTTCTCCACTTTTCCAAAGCTATTCTGGAGATTTAACACTTTTCTTAGCACTCTGAAGGATAGAACCCATGATATCAGTGGCACAAGGTCACAGAAACATTTAGAACTTTCTCTTCCTGAGTACACATAGCTTTGGAGTAGCTGAATACATGTGCTTTGTGAGTTCAGTGGAGAGTCCCACAAAACACGGTGGAGGTGGCAGAACCTGGAAGACCCAGTAACTCTATGTGACGGCTACTCTAGTGGAAGCCTGAGTTCTCTATTGGGTAACCTTGGATGATTGGGTTAGGCTCTGCTGAGGGTGCTGGGCAGATGTGAGGGGCTACCCCAGCGTTAATCAGGGTAGGCTAATAGCTCTAACTCTCAAATTTCAGTGGTCTAAACAAAGTTTATTTCTCACTCCTGTAACAGTCCAGTATGGGGGTCTGGGTGCGGTGGGTCTCCTCAGTAGCTCTCTGATGAGAGGAGCAAGAGAACCCTGCTTTCTTCCCATCCAGCCTCTACCTAGCCTTCCCCCCACTCTGTGTCCTCAGAAGCCTTTCTTTTCAGCCAGTGGGTGGGAGAAGAATGGAAGATTGCATGTAGACCTGTTTCCTAGGCCAGGCTTCCATCTACCTTTCATTGACCAGGAATGAGTCACATGACCACACCTGGCTGCAAAGGAGGCTGGTAAATATAGTCTGTCTGGGTACCAAGGAGGAAAAGGGATATTGGAAAGGCTTGGCCCACCCCTTTTGTATCCACAAAAGGCTGCAGAAATGTGATTGGCTCATATGCCCTATCTCCTCCTATCTCCAGAGATGTGACTTCTTCTCTCCTTGGGTGACTACAAAATAATAATCTTCTTCATTTTTTCTCCCATGACAAATCTTGATGTCACTGTGAACAACAATCTAAAAAAGTAAAGATTATATATAATAATTATATGTAATCTCACCAACCCAGATACAATTAACATTTTAATCGTTATATTTCCAGTCTATTTTTCCATGAACAATATTACATATAATTATTTTTGCCAAAAGAGGTCATAGTAACTGCTATTTTTTCAATTTTTTGAAACTGCCCTTTTATCATCCCAAAATATTGCATTTCTGCAATATGGCATTTTTTTTTCCATGTCCCTAGAAACTGTTTAGTGACCTATGCAATTTCATCCTATGTATATTCTATACATTTTAAGCTAAATATTTTTTGTTGGCTTCAGATTCTTGGCTGTTATATACAGGGCTATGTTGAATATCCTGTAACTATCTTTGATTAAATCTATGATAACTTCCTTAGGTTCTAATCATATAAGTAGAATTTCTAGAACAAAGAATATGCAACTGTCCAAAATTTTTACATATATTTCCAATTTCCTTTCTGAAGACTTTTACCAGTTTAAGCACATACCAGTATATGACATTACTTGTTTCCCCAATATCTGCCAATATTTGTTATTGTATTTTTATAATTTGACAGTACAAATAGCAAGACCTTGATAGGTCACATTTATTTGCATTTCTTTGATTATTAACTTTATTAGAAGTGTACTGATGATTTATACTTTTTCATGTCCTTAGTCCATTTTTCCATGTGGACTTGAATTTTTCTTCTTTATTTCCTCAAATGTGTTGCCAGTGTCAGACATAGTGCATATTTCAATATAGATACTCAATAAAAACTTGTTAACTGAACAAAGAAAATTATGTTAAGGATGTAACATATAAGTTACATCCTTTATGTTAAGGATGTTAAAACTCTGTCAAATGTGTTTCATATATTTTCTCCAGAAATTGTTGAAATTTTTCTATTAAATAATAATATTGAAAATAGAAAATTTTTGACAATGGATATATTATTTTTTTACTGAGAAAAAAACCAAAACTATTTTTTATAGTCTTTCAATATATAGTTTCTTAATTTTTTTTTTTTGAGACAGAGTCTCCCTCTGTCAGCCAGGCTGGAGTGCAGTGGCATGATCTCAGCTCACTGCAGCCTCCGTCTCCCGGGCTCAAGCAATTCTCCTGCCTCAGCCTCCTGAGTAGCTGGGATTACAGGCGTGTGCCACCATGCCTGGATAATTTTTGTACTTTCAGTAGAGACGAGGTTTCACTATGTTGGCCAGGCTGGTCTCAAACTCCTGACCTCAGGTAATCCGCCCGCCTCAGCATCCCAAAGTGCTGGGATTACAGGTGTGAACCACTACCCCTGGCCAGATTTTTAACATGTCATTTAATTTGTTAACATTTTTTTTTGTGAATTCTTTAGTTCATCCTGACAGAGGCTGTTCTCATCCTAAATTATATAACTATTCATCTGTATTTTCTTTCTGTGTTTTATGGTTTAATTTTTAATTAAATCTAATCTATTTGGATTTTTTAGATGTATAATGTGAGATAGGGATTTAGTTTTTTTTTTTTCCTTTCTAACTTTTATTTTAGGTTCGGGGGTACACGTGTACGTTTGTTACGTGGGTAAATTGCATGCCATGAGAGTTTGGTGTGCAGATTATTTCATAAACCATGTAATAAGCATAGTGCCCAATTGGTAGTTTTTCAATCTTCACCCTTCGTCTACCCTCCACCCTCAAGCAGCCCCTGGTGTCTATCATTCCATTCTTTGTGTCCATGTGTGCTCAGTGTTTAGCTCCCACTTATAAGTGAAAACATGTGGTATTTGGTTTTCCGCTCCTGTGTTAACTCCCTTAGGATAATGGCCTCCAGCTCCATTCATGTTACTGCAAAGGACATGATTTCATTCTATTTTATGGCTGTGTAGTATTCTGTAATGTTTGTGTACCACATTTTTTTCTTTATCCAGTCCACCACTGATGGACTTCTAGATTGGTTCTATGTCTTTGCTATTGTGAATAATGCTGTGAATAATGCAGGTGTCTTTACAGTAGAACAATTTATATTCCTTTATATACCCAGTGATGGGATTATTGGGTTGAATGGTAGTTCTATTTTAAGTTCTTTGGGAAATCTCCAAACTGCTTTCCACAGTGTCTGAACTAATTTACATTCACACACGCAGCATATAACTGTTCCTTTTTCTCTGCAGCCTCACCAACATGTGTTATTTTTTGACTTTTAAAATTGCCGTTCTGACTGGTGTGTCATGATATCTCATGGTGGTTTTGGTTTGCTTTTCTCTAGTGATTAGTGATGTTGAGCGTTTTTTCATATGCTTGTTGGTCACACATGTCTTCTTTTGAGAAGTGTCTTTTCATGTTTTTTTGGCCCATTTTTTTTAAAGAAGTTGTTTTTTGCTTGTTAATTTGCTTAAGTTTTTTTTTATAGATTCTGCATATTAGACCTTTGTTGGATGCATAATTTGCAAATATTTTCTCCTATTCTGTACATTGTCTGTATACTCTATTGATAGTTTCTTTTGCTGTGCAGAAGCTCTTTAGTTTAATTAGGTCCCATTTGTCAATTTCTGTTTTTGTTGCCATTGCTTTTGGAGTCTGTCATGAAATCTTTGCCAGGGCCTATGTCCAGAATGGTATGTTCTAGGTTTTCTTCTAGGTTTTTATAGTTGTATGATTTACATTTAAGTCTTTAATCCATCTTGAGTTGATTTTTGTATATGGTAAAATGAAAGAGTCTAGTTTCAATCTTCTGCATATGGCTAGCTAGTTATCCAAGCACTATTTATTGAATAGGGAATCCTTTCCACATTGCTTGTTTTGTCTACTTTGTTGAAGATTAGATGACTATAGATGTGTGACATTACTTCTGGGTTCTCTAATCTAGTCCATTGGTTTATGTGTCTGTTTTTGTACTAGTTCTATGCTGTCTTGGTTACTGTGGCCTTATGGCATAGTTTGAAGCTAGGTAGTGTGATACTTCAGCTTTTTGGTTTCCTAGAATTGCTTTGGCTATTTAGGCTCTTCTGTGGTTCCATATGAATTTCCAAATAGTTTTTTCTAATTCTGTGAAAATGTAATTAGTAATATGATAGAAATAGCATTGAATCTATAAGTTGCTTTGGGAAGTATGGCCATTTTAACAATATTGATTCTTCCTATCCATGGGCATGGAATGTTTTTCCATTTCTTTGTGTCATCTCTGATTTCTTTGATCTTTGTTTTGTAATACTTGTCATAGAGATTTTCACTCCCCAGTTATCTGTACCCTTAAGTATTGTATTTTTTTTGTTGCTATTTTGAATGGAATTGCATTCTTGATATGGCTCTCAGCTTGGACATTGTTGATGTTTAGAAATGCTACTGATTTTTGTACATTGATTTTGTATCCTAAAACGTTGTGAAATTGTTTTTCAGATCCAGGAGTTTTTAGACAGATACAATGAGGTTTTCCAGACATAAATCACGTCCTCTGTGAAGAGAGATAGTTTGACTTCCTCTCTTCCCATTTGGATGTATTTTGTTTCTTTTTTTTTTTTTTCTCTTGCTTGATTGCTCTGGCTAGGACTTCCAGTACTATATTGACTAAGAGTGGTGAGAGTGGGCATCCTTAGCTTGTTTCAATTCTCATGGGGAATGCTTCCAGCTTTTCCTGTTCAGTACAGTGTTGCTGTGGGTTTGTCATAGATGGCTGTTAGTATTTTGAGGTATGTTCTTTCAATGCCTAGTTTGTCAGTGTTTTAAACATGAAAGGATGTTGAATTTTATTGGAAGTCTTTTCTGCAGCTATTGAGATGATCATGTGGTTTTTGTGTTTAGTTCTGTTTATGGGATGAATCACATTTATTGATCTGCATATGTTGAGCCAACCTTGCATCCCAGGAATAATGTGTAGTTAATCATGGTGGATTAGCTTTTTGATGTGGTACTGGATTTGGTTTACTGGTATTTTGTTGAGGATTTCCAAATCCCTGTTCATCATGAATATTGGCCTGAAGTTTCTTTTCTTATTGTGTCTCTGCCAGGTTTCTGTATCAAAATGATACTGGCCTCATAAAATGAGGTTAAGGAGGAGTCTTTCCTCCTAAATCTTTTGTAATAGTTTCAGTAGGATTGGTAGTAGCTCTTTGTTATACATCTGGTAGAATTTGGTTGTGAATCTCTCTGGTCTAGGGCTTTTTCTGGTTGGTAGTCTTTATATTACTGATTTAATTTTGTAATTCGTTATTGGTCTGTTCAGCGTTTCAATTTCAGACTTTAAACCAACAATGATCAAAAAAGACAAAGAAGGGCATTATATAATGATAAAGGGTCCAATTCAACAAGAAGACTTAACTGTTCTAGATATGTATGCACCCAATGCTGGAGCACTCAGATTCATAAATCAAGTTTTAGGGACCTAGTGAGAGACTTAGATAACCATACAATAATAGTGGGAGATTTCAACATCTCACTGACAGTATTAGATAGATCATCAAGGCAGAAAACTAACTTAACATATTTGAGACCTAAACTTGACACTTGACCAAATGGACCTAACAGACATCTCCAGAACACTGCACCCAACAACGACACAATATGCATTCTTTTCACCTACACGTGGCACATACTTCAAAATTGACTACGCACTTGGCTATAAAACAATTTGCAACAAATGAAAAAAAACCCTGAAATCATACTAGCCGTACTTTCAGACCACAGCACGGTAAAAATAAAATCAATGCTAAGAATATCTCTCAAAATCATGGAAATTGAACAACCTGCTCCTGAATGACTTTTGGGTAAACAATGAAACTAAGACAGAAATCAATAAATTATTTGAAACAAATGAAAACAAAGATACACCATACCAGAATCTCTGGGATACAGTTAAAGCAATGTTAACAGGAAAGTTTATAGCACTAAACACTGATATCAAAAAGTTGGAAAGATCTTAAATTAACAGCCTAATGTCACACCTGGAGGAACTAGAAAAAACAAGAGCAAACCAAACTTACTGCTAGCAGAAGAAAAGAAATAACCAAAATCGGGGCTGAACTGAATGAAATTGAGATACAAAAAAACCATGCAAAAGACCAACAAAAATAAAAGTTGGTTTTTTGAAAGAATAAATAAGATTGATAGACAACTAGCTAGACTGATAAAGAAAAAAGAGAGAAGATCCAAATAAGCATAATCAGAAATGACAAAGGGGACATTACCACTGAACCCACAGAAATAAAAAAAAAACCTCAGAGACTATTAAAAAACATTTCTGTGCACAAAAATTAGAAAACCCAGAAAAAAAGGGATAAATTTATGGAAACATACAACACCCCAAGATTGAACCAGGAAAGAAATAGTTATTTTTCCTCAATAAATGATTGTTCTGTTGCTATTGAATAACTTACTTTCCAACTGATATGAAAATGTTACTTTTATCACCTCCTGAATTCTTTTGTGTACAAAGGTTTGCTTTTAAATTATCTATTCTGTTTCCTCAATCCATTAATCGTCTGTCAATTCCTGACTGCTACCCTTGCTGATTTATCTGCCTTATGTTTTTTTGTGTGTGTGTCACAAACCTTGTGTGAACCCGAGTCCCATTTGCAATGATCCCATCTCTGGCTGGTTGTAGTTATAGTCTCTGTTTTCTCAATTATCTCAAAGCCACCTGCTCATACATAATAGGCTGTCTTAGCTTGGGCTGCTGTAACAAAGTGCTATACATTGAGTGGCATATAAACAACAGAAACTTATTTCTCACAGTTCTAAAGGCTGGAAGTCTGAGATCAGAGTGTAGCAGGGTTGGGTTCTGGTGAGGGCTCTCTTCCTGATTCATAGATGTCCATCTTCTTGCTGGGTCTTCACACTGTGACAAAAGGGTGAGGGAATCTCCCTGGGGTCCCTTTTGTAAAGGTACTAATGCAATTCATGAGACCTCCATCCTTATGACCTAGTCACCTTCCAAAGGCCCCTCCTCCTCATACTGCTACCTTGGGGGTAAGGATTTAAACCCATGAATTTTGGGGGCACACACACATTGCAGTTGACAAACACACTATGTGTCTGAACACATCTCATGGGCCTCCATCTATTACTCCAGGACCCTCAGCTCCTGCTTGGTCTCAGTGGCCACCCCAGCAGATTGACTCCTTCTGGGTGTGAGGGCTTCCACAGCTCAGGGCCAGCCTGTTACCTGTCCCAGGAGGGCTGGCCCTTCTTTCCTGTGACTCAGCAACCAGGTCAAAAGGTTTCCGGATCCTCTTGGCATTTCTGTACTTGGATGAAGCACCCCACCACCGGGCGTAGAACCTGACTTTTGGAGTGGTCACCTTGGGAGCAGGTGACAACCCAGACATGCAGGGTGACTCTGACCAATGAGGAAGGGGATGCAGGAAGAATGTAGGCAACTAAGTTCCTATTTTTCCTCCACCCCATGGGCTGCTGTGAGGTAGAATTTTTCCGTGTAACCTATCAGAGGCATCTGCATGGCCAAGGGAAGGCAGGGGCTCAGTGACTGGCTGTCTCCATGTCCCCAGAAGCTAGTGTAGTGACAATCTCACTCGCTTCCCCTCACTCTCACCGCCCCAGGTTTGCACCTCTCCAATGGAGCAATAGTATTTAATTTTTGTGTCAGTCTGTGTTCAAAGAAATCTAGGTTAAAAAAAACACTGTGTCCTAGACAAGGAAGATATTCATTTCTGTATTACTGCTGTTTTTTCTTTTCTTTGTACTTTCTCTTTTTTTCATAGAAAATTAATATTTGCACCCAAAGAAGCCTCTGTTTCAAAAGACTCAGCTCCCATGACTTTGGCATGTTACATACCTAAGAAGCGTAAATGCAAAACAAATAATAAACCCCAACAATCAGGACATTGTGCATTACTGTATATGTGTGTTTTACTTTGCCAAATTGCAGAAAAGTAGATTGAACATCTAGATTAGGGAAGCCAAAGCTATAACACGTGGATAGACATCTTTAGTTGTAGATTTCGGTGAAGTAAGATAACTAGCTGTTTAGATCTCTCCCTGTCCAGGGTGCACAGCTACAGCTAGTTAGTGTCAGGATGTGCAATAGTTTGGGGTCCTTATTCTGAACTTCTCTATACTCTAGGAGCCTTCAGATGATGCCTTTAGTATGATGATTTATCACCCTGGATGCAGGAAACATCTAGGAAGATGTTTATAAAAACATTATACCTGTGCCCCAATCCCGGAGATTTCACTGGTCAGGGGTGGGCTTGGGCATGGCTTTTTTGTTTTGTTTTGTTTTGTTGTTTTGTTTTGTTTTTTGAGACAGAGTCTTGCTCTGTTGCCCAGGCTGGAGTGCGGTGGTGCGATCTTGGCTCACTGCAAGCTCCGCCTCCTGGGTTCACGCCATTCTCCTGCCTCAGCCTCCCAAGTAGCTGGGACTACAGGCGCCCACCACCATGCCTGGCTAATTTTTTTGTATTTTTTTAGTAGAGGCGGGGTTTCACCATGTTAGCCAGGATGGTCTCGATCTCCCGACCTCGTGATCTGCCCGCCTCAGCCTCCCAAAGTGCTGGGATTACAGGCGTGAGCCACTGTGCCCGTCCCAAAGTCATGCTTTGCAGAGTTTCTACAAATAACTGTTCAGTTTCTCTTTAGAAATCATATGACTGGCCAGGCACGGTGGCTCACGCCTGTAATCTCAGCACTTTGGGAGGTTAAGGCTGGCAGATCATGAGGTCAGGAGATCGAGACCATCCTGGCTAACACGGTCAAACGTGGTCTTTACTAAAAATGCAAAAAAAAAAAAAAAAAAAAAAATTAGCCGGGCGTGGTGGCGGGTGCCTCTAGTCCCAGCTACTTGGGAGGCTGAGGCAGGAGAATGGCGTGAACCCAGGAGGCAGAGCTTGCAGTGAGCAGAGATCGCACCACTGCACTCCAGCCTGGGCAACAGAGTGAGCTTCCGTCTCAAAAAAAAAAAAAAATCATATGATAATGGTCTCTGTTTAAGAGAGGAAAACTATAAGGATCTTGGAATCGTTGCCTACATTGACTTAGAAAGCTTTATTTTTAGAACATAATTTTAAATTTTGAACTAATTATGAACTATTAACTTATATATGATGACACAATAAAATAAAAGCTGTTTTGATTTCTTGGTGGTACTTGGTGGAAAGCCAGTTTATTGGGGCAATATACTGTCCTCACCCTCAAGTGATCACAGATTGCTCAGGGGACATAAGAGGTGGGGTTGGGGAGCTGCAATTTTTGCTGTCATTGAACAGCACAGGGGTACAATTTGCATCTTTTCAGGTATTCCTCTTTGCTAGACCTTACGGGCTAGAAGAAATTAAAGAGAATGAAATGGTAGAGAATTTTTTTTGGAGAAAAATATCATCACACATATTACCAATGTAGAACAATTATGATTATACCGTTTTAAGGATCTCAGATATTTTCCTGCTTAGAGTCTATGTATTTTCATTTAATTATTAAAAAGTACAGGATTATGTAATTTTTTTTGCATTTTATGCCTTGTGGTTAGACCCTAAGTATTAAAAATTGCCTCTACTTAACAGTGGTGCAGTCTTAAAAATTCTGGCTATGGTAGCAAAGGTTCTGGTGTTGGAATATTGTTGGCCTATTAGATTCAGGGAACTATTTTGATGGTTAAGAGTATTTCTGACTGGGCTAAGGGCATCATTTTATCTTTCTTTCATACCTATATGTGGTTATAAATGCCTAGTTATTTTGTCTATGAAAATCAAATCAGTTTCTACAACATAAACAGCAAAACAAAAAGCATCCATGAATCAGCAAACTTTGAAGTGGAATTTTAGCACTAATAAAAGCCCTTGCCTATGATCGAGTCGCCCTCTTTAATGATTTGCAGGTCACTGTTCATCTTTTCCTTTCCTTGCTTTACCATTAAATAAATCTCTCCCAGGTGTCCCAGAGAGACTCCTTAGAGGCAGCGTTCCCTCTTGTCTTGTGAGAATAAGTCTAAGACACTCTTCATTTTGGTGAGTTGATGGTGGGGTTTGTAAATATCCATATGGTCAAACACGCATTGGTTGAGGCCATGCAGATCTTGTTGAGCAACACAGAATGCATCTTCGTACCTTCTTCCCTCTCCAGCCCAATCCCCAATATTTTGGCAAGAATAAATCCATAGCTGCAACATGGGAAGCTAGATATTCATGCCAAATCACGACATTTGAGATCAACAAGTTAGAAAAAAAATCCATGACTTTTCATGTAGCACTTTAGGGTGACCTGGCTCAGAAGTTATCTAGGGCAGACCAGGCCAATGGCTATGGGACATTCCCTGAGACATCTTTTGGACTCTTCCTTCTTCCAACACCCTGGCTCATATTCCCACTCAAAGGAAATGGCAGGAAGTGACCTACAGACAGGCAGACTGTCTGCAGAGAGCAAAAATCTCCTTTGAGGACCACTTCATACACCCACCCACAAACATGAAATAAGTCATAACTGATTCATCCTGCCAGCCACCAGGGATAGTTGGATTAATTGAACACTGTTCTTAAGAAATATTCAGCTGAGGGAGGTCAACGAGGAGATCAACAACCAGGTACAATGGGAAGCTCAGCTTTGGTATTCTGTGCTGCACACTCCACGTTTACCCAGAAGATGTGTAATTGCTTCTGAGAAGCTGAGGCCAGGAGCAGATACCTCTAACAAGCGTGTTCTGAGTGTTCTCTATGAGACCTGGGAGCTGGACCAGGTTGTTTCTTAGCGCTACCTCCAGCTCTCCCTCATTGTTCTTCTTTTGATATAGACATCGTGATTTGGAGGAGGAATGCCTTGGCAGCCAGAGTGGAGCAGTCGAAAACTGTGTATCATAAAAATGAAAATGCATTCTCTTAGGTTTGTGGGCGCTTGTGTCAAGGCCTGAAGAATGAGCTCATATCACAATATTGTGGAAATATTGTGATTGTGGAAAACGTATTGCATAGTAAGTGTTGCCTGTGATAGTATCACATGAGCATACACCCGCACAAGAAGGGTGTGCTGGAGTGGGCGTGCTAGAGTGGCACTGAAGGAAGCACAGTACTATCTTTTCGTATGGCATGTTGGCTTTGTGTTTGACAGTAAAGGGAATAAAATAAGGTCCTCATAATTGGAGCACTTCTGTGTGAGTAGAGGAAGATAAAAAGAAGTAAAAAAAGAAGATAGAAAAAAGTAAAAACTTCAATGGGATTTTAGGGGGAGTTTGCACTTATATCCAGCATATAGGAAAGGCTTTGCAGACAGTGGGACAAGATGTGGGCTCTGGGAGATGGACCAGGGCAATGACAGTAAGTGCTGCATACAGAGGAGACACCTAAACAGCTGACTGGGTCTTGGGAGTCTGGGTATGGAAAGAGTTAAAGATGACTCTAGGCTCAAGCCTGGAAGCCTAAAAGGTGCAGACACCATTTCTAGGAATAAGAAGTTTCATGGAGAAGGATGGAGTTGGACCCAAAGGAGAAGAGAGGAGAAGTCTGTAGATTTGGTTCGCAATCTTTGACTTTGAAGAGCTGAGAAGAGATGTTTAGTAGGAAATGAGTTGGAGTTAATGAGACACTGTGGAGTTGGAGGGTTTTGAAGACCACTGGGCAAGGGGACAGTTTCTTTGGGATTGGATGTGGTCATGTCATGAAAGCTTTTTCAGTGGAGCTCAGTAGAAGCCAAGTTGCAAGTAATTGAAGAGAAAGCAGGCAAAATGCCAAGGCATGTTGATGGTCTCTATCATGTTTATCGTTGTGTCTGAGAATTGTAGCACCGTACTGACTCAATTAACTTTTGTTAATACAAGGGAAAGTGAGATATTGAATGTTAGCTTAAGTGGAGTCAAGAGATGTTTTGGATTATTTATTTTAGGGCAGAAGAAATTTCTCTTGCACAGGGAAAATATCCGTCACAGAGAAAGGGAGGAGATGCAGGAGGGAGAAGACAGCAAGCTGGGAAATCATGGCAGTGTCTGTCTCAGGGGCGCAGATGCAGGGATTAAATTTGGAAAGGAGCAATTATCAACCCTACGTTGCTAAAGGATTTGGGAGCAAGGGAGCGTTTACCTCTGAGTCAAGAGTGAAGGGGGAGAATACAGGTGAAGCTATTGAGAAATCCCAAGAGTGGGAGGTCCAGGTTGAAAGAACTTACATTTTATGGCTTCGTTACTCTAAAAAAGTATATAGAAAACAAGGTCAACCTTTGTGAGTAATGTGAGAGTAGTTTTGGGGTAAGAGGCAGCAGAAAGGAAGGTTTTCAGCAGCTGTGTAGAGAATTATATAGGAAGTGAATTAGGAGTGAATGAAAAGAAGTTAAGGAGTGAATGTAAATTCCAAATGGATTTTAAAAATTATGAGATTTGTGGTAGAGACAGACAGTATTAGCCGCATGCTTTTTCTCCATCAGTGCTTAGTTCTTTGGCACTGGGGTGGAGAAAGAAGACCAAGAGCGGGTAGAAGCTTCCTGGTTAGTAAGAGGATGAGCAATTTCAGGGAACTAGTCAGAGCACAGTGAGCTGACTGTGGGGAGGGGAGAAGAGCCCTGAGTTGATAAAGGTCCTGGGAAAATAGGATGAGTCAAAGAAGGAGAGAGCTTCATGAGCATCCAGGAAGGCTTCAGAAAGAGCAAGGGTGAGGCAGAGATGGAAGGAGAGAAGGCTGTGGTTAGAGAGAGGAATTTTCACTAGAGATTTTTTTTCCCTCATCAGTTCAAATCCAGCCTGGGCTGTGTACCTTATATAATCATTTTCATCATGTTGGTTGGCTTGATTTTACGGTTTCTGTGTTCATTAGAATAAGATATCCTGGGAAAGGAAATGTAAAGTCGCCTCTCTTCTGCCACAGTAGGATCACGTTTGAAGAGTCATGTTTAGTTCCAGACATTTCCTTTAACTATGTATTCTCTGCAGATCCCACTGGTACCACCTGAGAAATACTGAAAAGAGTCACTCCCCAGCTCCACTGCTCTCTTTCTGGTCCAAGTCACCGTGATCCTGTGCGTGGATCATGACTCTGCTTTCCTAATTGTCCTCGCTTCTCTGCAAGCGAGGGTCTGTTCTTCACAGGGAGCCGGGATGACTGCTAGACATTGTCAGTCCATGTGGCTCCAGCGCTGCCAGCCTTCCTCCAGGGCCTGAGGGCCCTAACCACCTGATCCCGGTTACTTCTTCAGCCTCATCTCCTAATGCTTTACCCTTGGTTCTTTCTGCTCTGCCCACACAAACATTCTTGGTATTCCTCACCCCAGGGCCTTTGCACTTGCTGCTCCCGCAATCCGGAATGTTCTACCCATCATTTATGACTTAGTTCCTCACTTTCTTTGGGTCTTCATCACCTTCACAGTAAAGCCTTCCCTGACCACACTATTCAATAGTGTTCCCCAGGCCGGGCTTGGCAGCTCATTGCTGTAGTCCCAGCACTTTCGGAGGTCAAGGCAGGCAGATCACTTGAGGTCAGAAGTTTGAGACGACCAGCCTGGCCAACATGGTGAAATCCTGTCTCTACTAAAAATATAAAAATTAGCTAGGCATGGTGGTGCATGCCTGAAGTCCCAGCTACTTGGGAGGCTGAGGCAGGAGAACTGCTTGAAACCAGGAGGTGGAGGTTGCAGTGAGCTGAGATCGAGCCACTGCCCTCCAGCCTGGGCAACAGAGTGAGACTTCATCTGAAAAAAAAAAAAAAAAAGTGTTTCTCACACATCACCCTGTCTTCCTTCCCACTTTTATATCCCCTTCTCACAGGCTATTAACTTTACTCTTTTATTTTTTTCTTTACTGTACGTCTCTTCCAATGAGAAGGGAACTCCACAAGAGCAGGGGTTTTTATTTTGCTTGTTTGTGGCTCCATCCTCACTTCCCAGCCCATAGTGGATGCTCAATGATGTTCACTGAATGAATGAATATTGAATTACCTGGCTATAAAAGTCATATATGCCCATTGTAGATAACTGGGAAAGCACAGAAAACTATATAATATAAAGATATGTGTATATACACATATACATAGCTCTATGTGGAAATAACCTCTGCTAAAATTACAGTGGAATTGCTTTTTTTTTAAAAAAAAACACACATATACATATGTAGTTTATGCATCAGTAGGGATATTGGTAAATAGAATGAGATTGTGGGTATATGACCAAGGGGATAAAGATTTAAAATCATATTATCTGATGGACTGTTTTTGAGAGATACTTAACCTGGAGATGACCAGGATTTGGAGAGCATAATATACATTTTAGATATTTGAAGAATTATGGTGTCTAAGATGAAGTATACTTATTCTGCATAATTCTGGACTAGAGCAGAATCCACACTACTGGGGAAAGATCCAGAAAGGGTAGTGTTGGCTGCATAGTGAGATTAATTCTCTCCGGTGGGCCACCCATCTGTAGGGCTAAATTTTGAAGAACAGAGCTTGACATCCATAGAAGTTCAAATAGAAACACAATGGCCTCCTGCGAGGTATTTGCTGCTTGATGGCTGTCGTCTAAAGAATCTATGGTAGAAAAGACACATTTAAAAAACCTTTAAGGCAGTTTTAAACAGCTAACAGTAAATTTGATAGCAACCACAGGACATTGCTTATATGTCTGTGGGTATTTTCCCTTTTCTATAAAATATCTTTTCTATCTATTACAGAGTAGTAACTCACATGGAGTATCTATTTACTGTTTATTTTGTCTCTTATCACCCCATTGGTCCTCACAGTTTTAAGTGTCGTATTATCACGGAAGAGAGTGAAAATGCATTTCGTTAGCCATGCATAAGACAGATTAGACCAACAATTCATTTTCTTTTAACCAATCTATTTCTCTATTTTTAGAAATACATTACTCCAGAAACATCAGGAACACATTAAGCTCCATAATAACTGAGATTTTAAAGCCATGTTTTGAAGACCCTCTAAACCCAACTGATATAAACACATTTAAGCCTGACATGGTCATGATGTCATTTGTCCTGTAAACATCTTTTAGCCTTTGGAGAAATTGTAGCAGACATATCAGCAGGATTCATAAACAAGCCAGTGGAAAATACACACAGAGAAGTTCATAATTTGAGTAATTTGTGTTGAAAAATCACAGGACATCTTGATGGATTTATAACTGTCGTGATAAAATTAACAGTGCATAGGCCAGGCGCGGTGACTCACGCCTGTAATCCCAGCACTTTGGGAGGCTGAGGCGGGTGGATCACGAGGTCAGGAGTTCGAGACCAGCCTGGCCAACACAGTGAAACCCCATCATCTCTACCAAAAATGTAAAAAAATTAGCTGGGCATGGTGGCACGGCCAAGTCAGGAGAATCACTTGAACCCAGGAGGCAGAGGTTGTGGTAAGCTGAGAACACGCCACTGCACTCCAGCCTGGGCAACAGAGCGAGACTCCATCTCAAAAAAGAAAAACAAAAACGAAAATAAACAAACAAACAAAAACAGTGTAGAGTATTTTTACTTTGAAGCTATTGGTACTTTCCAAATATCTGCTTTTTAAAAATTTAATTTAATTTTACGTTCCAGGATATATGTGCCGGATGTGCAGGTTTGTTACACAGGTAAACATGTGCCATGGTGGTTCCCTGCACCTATCAACCCATCACCTAGATATTAGGCCACACATGCATTAGCTATTTATCCTGATGGATATTTTCAGGATATCTGTTTTTAAGAAGAATAATGTGCATTCATTTGAATTGCTGAAGTTTCGTTAAATTCACTACAAATTATTTATCCTACATATATTTTAAGTCAGTTTTAAGTAAGACTGTTTTTGAAATAAATTTGAGGTATTTTAGCATAAATCACTCACAAAATAATTTTTAAATTCTGTAAAATTCTATTTGTTTGACTTTATTGCCTTAAGATTCCTGTTATGATTGTTTTTTGAGATAAATTTAGCAGTACATCAGTCATTTAAGGTTTATTTTACACTTGAGCAAGTGGCAATGTGTGGCATAAAACAAGCCCTCCCTATTGTTATAAATGAAGTGTAATCAAGTAGATTATAATAATGCAAGGTGAAATGGGAGACAAAGCAGTTCTTAGCCAGTGCTATCCAGGCAACTCACCTTTGTACTCCGAATTTATCTGGATTACCAAGATAATTGAGGGGATTTTTGCTCAGGTAATTGTAGTTGGGTAATCTGGACTTCTCTTCCAATTTGATTTGAATGAAGCCTCTTAAGCAGAAACATATGGGCATGGAAGAGCAAGCATCGGAACTCTTAAAGGGCAATAAAAAGTATCCTAAGGATTTATAATTGGATGGCGTCTTCCATCCAGATGGATTCCACAGCATTTTAAGGCTTGTAAAGGAAGGCCAGATAGACGTACCACAGTGCCCTTTCCACTCCAAGTTGTGGTCAAGTGTAGTGAAATTTGCAGCACACGAATTCCTGCTTCCTTCCCTTCCACCCCAGTGCCTCCCCAGCCACCCAAGCGCTCAAAGGCAGAGCTAAAGCAAGGAGCTCCACCCAGAGCCAAAGCTTTCCTGATGGATTCTGCTGCATTGCTGGGTTGTGCTGGTCCTCCTCTGGTACCTTCTTAATCTTTGCTAAAGATGTATGCCCACCATTGTCACCCCCAAAATGTCCATATACTTTGAGCTTGGGGTTGACCAGTCAGCTGACAGGTGGCACATACTTTATGGAGGCAGATGGAAAAATTTTACATTCAGCAGAAGAGCCTAATTCCTAGCAAGGATTGGATTGAGAAACAAGGAGCATTAGAAAGCTCCAGAAGGCGGGGTCTCAGGCCTGCACATCTGTCAATATATGATGAGTGATCGGGCCTATGCCTGAGTGTAACCCTCCTTGAGGAGGGGGTTTCATTCCACTGGAGCAAGAGAGGGAGGTGGATGTTCTTATCATCTCATGGCCTCACAGGGGAATCATTTGATGTCAGGATTTTAAGAGATATTAAGTAATTCACTTGCCAGGGGTTTGCAGTTTACTAATAATTTTATTTAACTTTTAGGTTATAACTGTCAGGGTGAGTCAGTTGTGTGCAAAGCATAGGACTAGGAAGAGGGGTGATGTGGAGTGACTGCCTTCTGAGCACGTGGTTTCCTTTTGGGGTGACAAAAATGTTTGGAACTAGACAGAGGTGTTGGTTGGACAACATTGTTAATTAAATGCTACTGAATTGTTCACTTTAAAACTGTTAGTTTCATGTTATGTGAACTTCACCTCAATAAGAAACCAAATATGTTTGAATATTTTTTTTCTTTTAACTGGCACAGTGGCTCAGCCTGTAATCCCAGCACTTTGGGAGGCCAAGATGGGTGGATCACTTGAGGTCGGGAGTTTGAGACCAGCCTGGCCAACATTGTGAAACCCCGTATCTACTAAAATACAAAAATTAGCCAGGCGTGGTGGTGTGTGCCTGTAATTTCAGCTACTTGGGAGGCTGAGGTAGGAGAATTGATTGAACCTGGGAGTTGGAGGTTGCAGTGAGCCAAGATCGTGCCACTGTACTCCAGCCTGGGCGACAGAGCAAGACTCTGTCTCAAAAAAAAAAAAAAAAAAAAATCACGTGTTGGAGACGCTGTTTTATACCTCTGTGATGAGTCAAAGAAGGACTGGGAAAATGCTTCACCCTCCAAGACGCCAACCTGGGGTCAGAGCATGGGTATACGTGCTGTGCTGACTATGCTTACGGTCAGTCCCTGAGAGCCGCTCCTCGTCTATGCACATATAGGAGCATGACCCATTAGCAAAACAAGGTGGGCAGAGGAGCCAGACAGGCAGGGGCTTCAATGGTAAGGAATATGCTCAAAATGACCTCTTAAAAAATACAACAATGATTTGTAAGTATCTTTAATCTTTAGCTTTTTCACTTTATTCGTCGATTTCTGTCTTCTCATGCTTAAAAATAACTCAAAGTTATATTTATATGTCTAGAACAGTGAACATAGGATGTGAATCATGTAATTTTACATTTTCTAGTAACTACCTACACTAATTTCCATCATGTATTTTCTTTTAATACAATCTCCCAGGATATATCTGAAGAGTCCAGCATAGCCAAAATGGAATCTTTTTAATATGTAATCAATATAAAAATGACTAATGAGATACTTTTTTCATAGAACATCTTCCAAATCCAGCATATATTTTGCACCTACAGCACATCTTAATTTGGACTACTCACTTTTCAAGTGATCAGTTGTCACAGGGGCTAGTGGTTGCCATTTAGACTGTGCAGTTCTAGGAGTTGTGATTTTTGTTGCGTCCTCTCTGGTGTCAGGAGATGCTCAGTAACTAAAACATAGGTGAAGAATGATAAACATCACATTATGCATTAGTTTACAGCCTCAGCATCGTTAAAGTGCCTTCAGCTCACAATATGGTGAATGACATAAAAGAAATAGTATTCTTTTCCATTTTATGAGTGAGAAAACTGAGATTCTGAGAGCTGACATCTGCTCATTTATTCCTGCCCAGGAATGGCTTAACTGCTGCTCTGGTTTCCTAGTTGTCTTGGACAGGCCCTGGGCAGTCTCTGTTCCTGGAGGAAAAGATTTATGCACTGTGAAAGAAACTCAGTCATTTTTTACAGAAGAGAAAATGAGTCTCGGAGAAGTACAGTAGCTCTCTTGGTGGTCATGTGCTAGTCAACCATGGAGCTTGAACAAGAACCATGCCAAGAGCTCTTTTCAATTCCAGGTAACAAGCACAAGCCCACATGTCTTCTGTCCCCCAGCCTGCTGGCCAGTCATGTTTGGCCATATAGTTGAAAGCAAAGGGTATGTAATGGAATTACATGACTCCATTTAAAACAGAGAAGCTGACAGACTAGTTCACTGCCTTAGCCACTTAGCCCTGGGACAAATTCTGGCTAGATACCAATTCTAGAAACCTGGAATTTCCCCTGACAATGCCTCTCCCAGTGCAGCTCAGTCATAAAGCAGGGAGTGGCTAGATGGAAGCCCATTACTCCGTAGGTCACTTGGTCACTTTGGACACAATTCTATCTCCTTGATCCAAGAACTAAGAAGGAGGGAGAACCAACTAGACCCAGGAATCTTCTTTTTTTTTTAATGAGAAGAACCATGTTTGATTTTTATGACTTTTTGTTATAGTAAAATATACATAAAATTTATCATCCTAACCATTTTTTAGTGTACAGTTGAGTGGTATTAAATACATTCACATTGTGGTGCAAAACTCACCATCATCCATCTCCAGAACTTTTTTCATTTTCTTACACTGACACTCCAACCCATTAAACAATAGCTTTCCATTCTACCCTTCTCTCAGCCCCTGGAAACCATCATTTTACTTTCTGTTTCTGTGAATTTGACTGCCCTAGGTAACTCACACAAGTGGAATCGTACAGCATTTGTCCTTTTGTGGATGGCTTATTTCTCTTAGCGTAAGATAAATAAGACAATCTCTTAACTTTCCAAAGGTCCATCTGTGTTATAGCATATGTCAGAATTTCTCTCCTTTTCTAAGGCTGAAGATATCCCATGATATGTGTATATCACATTTTGTTTATCCACTCATCTGTGGATGGACACTTGGGTTGCCTCCACCTTTTGGTTATTGTAAATAATGCTGCTATGAACATGGATGTGCAAATATCAGTTCAATTTCCTGCTATCTTCATGCGGAATTGGTGAATCATATGTTAATTCTATTTTTAATTTTTGAATCACTAGACTGTTTTTTATAGTGACTTTCCCATTTTACTCTCCCACCACCAGTGCATAAGATTTGCAACTTTTCCATATCTCCACCAGCACTTGTAATTTTCTGATTTTTTGGTAATAGTCATACTAATGGCTACGAAGTATTTCATTGTGGATTTGAGTTGCATTTTCCCAATGATTAGTGATGTTGAGCATAATTTCATGTACTTATTGGCCATTAGTGTTATCTTTGGAAAAAATTCTGTTCAAGTCCTTTGCCCATTTTTAAATTGGGTTGTTTTTGTTGTTGTTGTTGAGTTGTAGGTTATATACATATATATATATATTTTTTTTTCTGGATATTAATCCCTTATTAGATAAATTATTTTCAGATATTTTCTCTTATTTTATAGGATGTCTTTTGACTTTGTTGATAGCTTGTTTGACTCACAAAAGTGTTTAATTTTAGTGCAGGCAAATTTGTCTCTTTTATTTATGTTGCCTGTGCTTTTGGTGTCATATTCAAGACAGGCTTGTGAAATCCAGTGTTATGAAGTTATTCCCTAAGCATTTTAGAGTTTTCTCATAAGAATTTTAGAGTTTTAGCTTTTATTTTTTGGTCTTTGTTCTATTTTGAGTTAATTTTTGTATATAGTATAAGGTAAGAGCCCAACTTTTTTCTTTTGCATATGTATACCCAGTTTTCCCAACACCAGTTGTTGAAAAGACTCCTTTTTTTCTCATTAAATGATCTTTGAACCACTTTCAAAAGTTATCAGACCATATATGCAATAGTTTATTTCTGAAGTCTCTATTCTATTCCATTGGCCTGTATATCTTAGACCCCAGAACTTTCAAGGACACATTGAATTTTACTTTCCTCTCACACACTAAATCTTGAGATTTTGTCAGCCATAAATTTATCTATTTAGTTCATTGATACGTTCTTTTCTGTTTTGGTTATGCGAAGACTTAACTTGCAAAAAGAAATTTCAGTGTTGAAATATTTTTAGCCAAATCAATTTAGCATTTTAAAGTACAGCTTGATTAGAGATTTGCACAATTTTCACTTTGCATTTTGAAATGTAAATACTGATGACAGACTTCCATTGTCTTGTTTGCTCATGCATTCATTCTTCCCTTCAACATGCACTGAATACCCACTAGGTCTCGGGCTCTGTGTTGGGTTCTACACATTCAAAACCATGGTCTGTTGCCTCTAAGTTTAGTGGTGGATACAGCTGTGCAAACAGTTGCTTTAACAGAGGATGCATAAAATGCTAGGGGATGCAGAGGAGACGCTGACGTCCCAGAGGAGGGCTTCACTTAGAAGATGAGGCTGGATCTGGTATGGAAGGATAGATAGGAGTCCTCAAGGTAGATAAAGAGGAGAAGAGTATTTTAAACCTGGGATGGAATGACTCTTCTTGAAACCACAGTTCTTTTCATGTGGGCTGTTTTCCCAAATGGCTTGTTCTTTGTGTTACTACTGACCAGCTTTCCAGTATAGAGCCTAGGTGGAGATATGGCTTGATGACTCTGGTGGGCTTCCAAAGCCCCTAAGTATAAGTCAGGTTTGGTTGGAGATTACCTCAGTGTCTACCTGGAGAGTCCATTAATCGATTTTTAGGGGTAACTTACCAGCAAGATATTTAATCTGAGTCTGATGGAAATCATCACATGTACTCCATCCCTAGGAGTAGAGAGGGGGCTAATTGCTCATGGTCCATGGCCCACATAACACTTGCCGTCAGATGTAATAACCCAAGATTGGGTCCAGAAATGGTTGCTTAGGCAGGGTAAAGGAGGAAAGAGGATGAGATGTGAAAAAAGCACCAAGAAGATAGTGTTGATTAAAAAAAATTGTGTTTTCTTATTGGTTGAAAATATGAATTTAATAAGAAGTTCTTTCTCCCCCTGAAATCCCATAGCGTTTTATCTGTATTCCTCTTATGAAAGAAGCAGCTGTATGATAATCAAGCACGTTAACTTTTAAACACAAGTGAATTTGTGGGATCAACATGGCAAAATATTAGAAATTGCAATTGAATTGAAAAATCTAGGAAGTATAGCAGTTTTCAGCAGTGAACATATTTTACTTTATATTACTGATATTTATGTCCTTGCAAGGCTTTAAATATAGGGTACTTCCCTAATTCGTCTTTGGGTCTTCCAGGCTGCCCAGCACATAACCTAACACATTGTGGGTTATACATGAAGGAATGAACAAATAAGGGAAAAAAATAAAGGTGTTTTGAAAATCATAAAATATTCACGAGTGTAAGATGTACAGTGGGTTTGGTAAGTGATAGGTGCTATAAAATCTTTTATTTTTTAATTTAATCTTTATTTTTGGTTGTGGCAAACACATAAAACATAAAATCTGTAGTCACAACCACTTTACAGTTCAGTAGTGTTAAGTATATTCACATTGTTGGTGCAGCAAATCTCTGGAACTTCTTTACCTTGCAAAACAGAAACTTGATGTCAATCAACACTCCCCGTGTTCTGCATGCTCCCACCTTTTGGCAACCATTATTACTACTTTCTGAACTTGGACTACTCTAGGTACCTCACATAAGTAGAATCATACACTGTTTGTCTTTTTGTGACTGGTTTATTTCACGCAGCATAATGTCCTTAAGATTCATCTATGGTGTATGTTGGGGGATGGTGGGGGTGGGAGAGCCTTAGGGAAAATAGCTAATACATACTGGGCTTAATACCTAGGTGATGGGTTGATAGGTGCAGCAAACCACCATGGCACACGTTTACCTATGTAACACACCTGCACATCCTGCACATGTCCCTCGGAACTTTAAAATAAAACGATTAAAAAAACCACTTTAATTTAAAAAAAGATTCATCTATATTGTACAATGTGTCCAAATTTTCTTCTTTTTAAAGACTGAATGACATTTTATTGTATGCCACATTTTGTTTATTCATTCATCTGTGGATGGACGATTGGGTTGCTTTGACCTTTTGGCTATTGTGAGTAATGCTGCCATGAACATGGCTGTACAAAGAACTCTTTGAGATCCTGCTTTAAATTTTTTTGAATATATACCCAGAAGTAGAATTGCTGGATCATATGGTAATTCTATTTTTAATTTTTTGAGGAGCCACCATACTGTTTTCCATAGAGGCTGTATCATTTGATATTCCCACCAGCAGTGCACAAGGGTTCTAATTTCTTCATATTTTTGCCACCATTGTTATTTTTAATTTTTTTTATATTTCATAGTAGCCATCCTAATAGGTGTGAAGTGTAAAAATTATTTTCTAAGACTAAAGAATGAAGCTATTGAGTGTCACTTGCTTATCTTCAAGCAGTCAATGCTTTTTTAAAATAATTCTTCAAAGCAGACTATATGTTGAAGTCAGAAGCTTCTGATGTGTGACTTTCAGGGACTCTGAAACAGGTGTTCATTTGGCAATAGAAACTGATGAAACATTCAAAACAACTTTCTCTCCCAAACCTTAAAAAGAAAAATTGTGACATTAAAAAAAATCACAAATTGTTTTTTTCTTGTCAGTAATGACTTACTGGTTCATGCAGAGGTGAATATTGGTAGGTAAATAATCCCAGGACTGTATGCTGAGAATGAAGCTCAGAGCAGACCCTTATCAGAGTGTCTGTCTTCGGAAATACTTGAGTCAAGGAGCTGTCCAGCAGGAGAGAGGGGAGTTATAAAGGCTTTATTTGCATGTATTTGCAACTCTTTGTTGCAGTGTAAGTATAAGTGAAGTGTTTAGTATAAGTGAAGTGAAGTGTGCTTCTGTGTATGGGGAGGGAGAGAAGGGAGGAGGGTGAGAGCACTTGTTCCTTGTATAAGAAAAAAAATGGCTCTATTTACATCGTAACTCCCCATGATTAGTGCATGAAGGAAACTATATATTTTCTGAAGGCAGGCTATTTTAAGAGGATAAAAACTGTGACATCATCCAGGAGAGCTAAATATCAGTTGAGCAGCTAGTATAAGAGGTATATGCAATGAGTTATGAGGCTCTGAAACTTTCCACGTTAGTTTACGCCCTTTGCGGCATGATATGAAGACTTTTGTGTAGCCTAAGTGTTGGTTTTAATGAGGTATTGCAATGTACACTCAAATGAAAAACACATGATATACCCCAGGCAAGAGAGAAGCAATAACTGTACATATTTTTGAAGAAGACTAGTCATACCACAGGCTACCATTATAACAGAAAAAACAACAAGAATTTTAATACAGTTGTCTGGCCAAATATATTAATTTAAACTGAATGCCTTTTAAAAAATATTATAGCTGTAAGGCACAACGTTCCATTGGCAAGCATCTTCAAAACCTTCATTTTAGAGGATTGAAGGAAAAAGTGCAAGCAGGCCTTCCCGGCATGTACGTTTGGAAGATCCACCAAAAAGTCTTTGATCATTTATGTGAGGCTTCTTTGAGTTTGACACAAAGAAGCTAAAATAAAAATAAATGAATTTTTAAACCAGTTGTCGTCTTTGTATTTACATAAGAGAATGACTGAGATGCCTTCTGGAATTCTATGGTAAGAACACTGGGTTGTGCATCAGAGGTCAGCTGGTGCTTTGCTCTGTCTGTGTGTTGACCTGAGTTCAAATAACTGAGACAGATTTTCATTTACCTGTGACCTCATTTGGGTGTTAGCCCTGGGTTCTAATAATTCTTGTGCAAATAAAGTACCGTATGTTGTGTGTTCCTTAATTTAGAAATCTGAAATCTCAAAGTGCTTTACTTCATTTTAATTCAATAGTGATTTTACTGACTTCCTGCTTCAAGGAACACAGAGGTGAAAAAGAGCTAGTGCCCTCAGATGGCTTATTACAAGTAGATCATTTTTGACCAAATGTCTCTAAAATCGGTTGAGAACTGATACAGCACTGGGAAGCTTGTTGGGTCAATGGACATAATTTTTATTAAGGGATTTCGTTGTATTTCTTTTGAGTCCACTTCACGTATAAATCACCGATGAGAACATCAGGGTGGCAGTTACTTCTACTATCCATAGAGATCATTGAATTGCAGGTATGTGGAGTTGGAAGGCAGCTGAAAATCCATGTCAGACTTTGATCAGTGTCACTAAAGCCCCATTCTCTTGAAAATATTGCAAATGATGGGGATGATCTCTTTTTACCTTGAACACATCCAGACCTGTGATTATAATCAGAAATCTTAGCTTTTGGCTGTTCTCATTCCAGTTCCTTAAAGCTCCTTCTGACACACCAGCCTTTCACATACGGCACCTTCTTTAGAATCCCCTGCCAAGAATCAAGTGTTTCCAAACTAGAATTGCTTTAGATGATGGGATAACACAAGGTGTCAAGGCTTCTTTTAGTTTTGTGAAGTAACTTTCGTAGTGACTTCAGAAATGATTTTCCATCATTTGAAATGGAAGCCTACAATCACATTTCCCCCTAACCACAGTCTTCCAGCTGTTAACTATTGTGTCTTGTTATGTGGGTGGGTGGGGGTGGGGAATCGGTATATATTTTCCTTGCAACTCAAAAGAATCCAGAAATTAGCACCCTGGACTCACATAACAGTTTATCTTGTTGAAACCCCCATGTGCCCAATTATTATTGGTTGTCTGTTTGCTCCTGTGAGTAACGGAATGAGGGTCTCACCCTTTGTTACCTTGGATCGTCTGGCTGAGAACTGAACTTTCTTGTTCTTATTCTCTTTGTGATCTACTATTATTCTGGAAGCAGCCAAGGAAATACTGAATCTTGATTTATACACCAACACAATTTGACTTTGTTTTGAGAGGCAAAATATAATAATATTTTTCTTTCTTCTGTCAGTTTTATTTTTTTCTTGAAATGAACCAAATTGTCTACACAATTGCCTCAGTTGAAAGAAAGACTCTGTGAAGCTTTTCCTGGCCTGGGTTCTGTGTAACGCACTGCACTTGGGTTCTGTCTGAATTTGACTCCTGGAGCTCGCCAAGCCCTGATGTGTAATTGGAAACATGCACACTCACTCACAGCAGCGCTTGACTCTGCAGAATGCTGCGGACATTTTTCCCATCTTTGTTCATTCTTATTTTGTCCCTGTGCCATGATTTTTTAAATTGAATTCAAATTTGCAGCTTCTAAAAGAAAACCACAAGAACATGATTTTTAATCTCTTGAGATTTGCTTGCCGCTGTTCTACATATAAAATAGCAATTTCCTTAATATATCTAAGCCAGATTTATGAAACAATTAAAAATGGCATCTTATTTTTTTTTAAAGTCTTTTACCAGTTAAGGAAGAGCGTGTACTACCAAAGCAAAACAGGTTTTGCCTCTGGCGAGTCTGAGAAGTAGGAATGGCTATTTACACAGACCCTTCTTCAAAGTGTGAAGGAGGGCTCAAACACTGTAAATGGTGATTTTAGCCTTCAGCCAGATTCCAAACTTGGAAGGAAAGAAAAGTCCTCACAAAACCATGTCGCCTCATGTGAAGTGATGTCATCATGTTGGGGAGAGGTTACCTAGAGAAGATGAAGCATCTTACAGATTACTTTATTTGTGAGCTGTTTCTGATTATTCCAATGGAGGGAAGGTCACTTTGAATAATGACGCCTTGTCATTCCTTCTGTGGGGAATCTACACTACTAGTCACCAGATGTGCTGGGTCAGGCACTTCAGGCTTCCTGACCATAAGCTCCACGTGTTCAGGTCCCCTTTGTGTGTGTGCCCTTGCTGGAGGAAGGCCAACCTGAAGCCTGCTCTCCCTGCCCACCACCCCAATTAAGGAAAGCTGTGGTTTGTGATGATTTATCATCAATATCTGTGTCTACAGGCCCAGTCATCTTCTCCGAGTATGAAGGTTTGGCCTGACTGTAGTTCAGCAGCTTCCCATGTAGAACTTTATTCGTCCTTTTGAGCTAACTATTAAATACTATTGAGCCTTTTCTGAAATGGGAATTTTCCTCTTTAGACATCATTACAAAATCCTGTGACTCGACGGGACTTTGAAGATCAGTTGCTCTTGCAGATCTTTACATTTTCAACGTTTTAAAGACTCTTAAAAGGTATAAAATGAGTCCTATTGAAATCAAATTCACTATGTAGCACAAACTTGCTCATCTTGATAGTAAGTGAGCCTTCATGTGTTGGAATTTTCAGGAAATGAAGATGTCGCCTAATGATGTAGATGGTAGATTGAGAGGGATTTACAGTTATTATACTTGCCAATTCTACACCGAATTGAGGACTCTCCTGTGCAGAATTCTGCCAGACAGTTTTGAGACCTTTTCTTGACTTTCTTCCCCTGGAGAAGGCTTTCTGGCCTCTCTGTAAAGTTCACCCAATGGTCTTAGATCCACCCTCTGCAACTTACTAGAACCATAGGAATAAGTAAATCCCTTTTTCAAATGGAACCTTTCAACTATTTGAAGAGAACACAATCATGCCTCCCTTCAAACCTCATTCTTGCTGGACGCAGTGGCTCACTTCTGCAATCCCGGCACTTTGGGAGGCCGAGGCGGGTGGATCACTTGAGGTCAGGAGTTTGAGGACAGCCTGGCCAACACGATGAAACCCTCTCTCTACTAAAAATGCAAAAATTAGCTGGGCATGGTGGTGTGCGCCTATAGTCTCAGCTACTCAGGAGGCAAAGGTGGGAGAATCACTTGAATACAGGAGGCGGAGGTTGCAGTGAGCTGAGTTCGCACCATTGCACTCCAGCTCAGGCAACAGAGCAAGACTCTGTCTCAAAAACAAAAACAAAACTAAAAAACCAAAAGTCCTCGTGTCTTCTGTTCCAGGACAAGTCCCCAGTTTCCTCAATTGTTCTTTCCCATGGTTTTTGTTTATTTTTATTTTTGAGACGGAGTTTCGCTCTTGTCACCCAGGCTGGAGTGCAATGGCGTGATCTCGGTTCACTGCAACTTCTGCCTCCTGGGTTCAAGTGATTCTCCTACCTCAGCCTCCTGAGTAGCTGGAACTACAGGTGCCCACCACCATGCCTGGCTAATATTTTGTATTTTTAATACAGACGGGGTAACACCACGTTGGCCAGGCTGGTCTCAAACTCCTGACCTCAGGTGATCGGCCTGCCTCAGCCTCCCAAAGTGCTGGGATTACAGGCATGAGCCACCGCGCCTGGCCAGCCATGTGTATCTTAATGGAAAAAATAAAGACACAAATCAGAACATTAGATATTTTATTCTAATTTGATACTCTGTTGAGCCTCCTATAGGTAACGTGGCTTCTCTCTAAGAAAATAACTCATCACTGCTCCCCAAGGCTACTCCTTCCCTAGCATTACCCATCTTAGTATTAATAATAGGATAACCATTTACTCAGGGGTTTGTTTAAGCCCAAATGCCTAGCATCATTCTTTAATCCTCTTTCCCTCATAGCCATCCACCAACAAGTTCTGTAGGCTCCCTCTTCAAAATAGATCCCAGTGTCCAGTTCTCCACCTCACTTCCTCCACCACCAGCACCTTAATTCACATCACTAGCTCATTCTCCTGGAGACTGAAGTCACCCCTCCCTCATCTCCCTGCCTCTCCTCTTGGCTTCCTATAGACTGTTCTCCACACAGAAGTCAGAGTGTTTTCCTCAAAGTACAGATCAGATGAGATTTATGCCCTGCTAAACACCACCTCATACTTCCCTCGGCAATGTGGATAAAATCCAAGCTCCTGTTCATGTTGCCAAGGCCCTTCAAGATCTCACCTGCCTCCAGCACCACTGGCTCACTCTGCTGTGGCCACACTGGCTTCTTGGTGGTTCTAGAATATTCCTTATTCATTTCTACCTCAGGGCCCGTGTGCTCCCTGCTCCTGTAATATAATTTAAAAGGTTGACAATGACATCCTCATTTAATTTCTACCTGAATCATTGCTGTGAATTTTATATTGGAAATGCAGACATAGTATCTTTTTAAAAAATTAATAGACCATTCTATTATTAATGCTAATATTGTGGTTCTCTCAATGAAGCTTAAAAAACTGGCTAAATCTTGCCAGAAAGGATATTTAAATATTAATTATACCAAATTTTAATAAATAGTTATGTTTACAAAAGTTTGCTATGGGCCGGGCGCGGTGGCTCACGCCTGTAATCCCAGCACTTTGGGAGGCCGAGGCGGGTGGATCATGAGGTCAGGAGATCGAGACCATCCTGGCTAACAAGGTGAAACCCCGTCTCTACTAAAAATACAAAAAAATTAGCCGGGCGTAGTGGCGGGTGCCTGTAGTCCCAGCTACTTGGGAGGCTGAGGCAGGAGAATGGCGTGAACCCGGGAGGCGGAGCTTGCAGTGAGCCGAGATCCCGCCACTGCACTCCAGCCTGGGCGACAGAGCGAGACTCCGTCTCAAAAAAAAAAAAAAAAAAAAAAAAAAAAAAAAGTTTGCTATGGCTTCCTAATGTATAATACTAAACAACCTAATATGGGTTGAATCGTGTCAGTAATTGTGAAGTTCTAATCCAGGTTCAAGTGATTCTCCTGAGTAGCTGGAACTACAGGTGCCCACCACCATGCCTGGCTAATGTTTTGTATTTAGCTGGTCCCTCAAAATGTGACCTTATTTGGAAATAGGGTTATTGCAGATGTAGTAGGGTGGGCCCCTAATCCAGTGCTTGGTGTCCTTATGAGAAGAGGAAATTTGGAGACAGACAGGTATATGAGGAGAAGGCCATGTGAACGCAAAAGCAGAGATTGGGATGATGCTTCTATAAGCCAAGGAACACCAAAGACTGCAGCAGCCCCCAGAAGCTGGGGGAGAGAGAGCCTAGAACAGATCCTCCCTCACAGCCTCAAAAGGAACCAGCCCTGCTGACACCTTGATCTTGGACTTTCGACCTCAGAGCTGTGAGAAAATACATTTCGGTGGCGGAAGCCGCCCAGGGTGTGGCACTTTGTTATGGCACCCCTGGGAAACGCATACAATCTTATCAGACCAAACTCACGGAACAATCTGAGATCCACAGTTGTGCCTAAATCATTGCTGTTTTGAAGACAGCCACATACAGTCACATGTTATCATTGTCACGTTAGGGTTTTAACCAGGGTAGTTGTTCAGTAACCTCTGGCTTCAAAGCTTCTCAGGGCAAGGCCACTCATACAATTTTGGGTTGCCCTTTGCTGTTTAACAGGTCCTGCTCTCCTGGAGAATTCCAGCTTTTTCTTTGGCCTCCGTGTAAGAGAGTTGGGGGGTGGGGCTCCATGCCTGAGGATCAGAGGCAGAAAACTGCAATCAACGCCTCCTCTTCAGACCCTTCCTGGTGGTCACAGCCCTGTTCATCATCAGCTGCGGTCAAAACTCTGGCTGAGAAATTGATCCGCTCAGGAATCATTCAGGGATTATTTAACCCGTCATTCCTCAGCGTTCACTAAGCATTCTCTCTGTCCTCAGCCAGCAGGAAGTTACCAACCACAGGGTTTTAAAAACACAGATTCCTGGTCCACCTCAGAGATTCTGATTCCACAGGTCCAGGACGTAGCACATACGTTTCCATTTCCAAGCCCCCAGCTGCAGCTGAGGCTGCTGGTCTGAGACCACACTTGGAATAGCGCTGGCCTTCAAGGACTAGAACACATTCTTGCCGCACTCCATGTCGAATCTTCTTCTCACTGTTTCAGTCTAATATTATGCCCTTGAATTTCACCAAGGGCTAGTGTGGGATAGGCCATGTTTGCAGTGCCTGATTGTTTTAGAGAGGTCAGAGAGGTCATCTCAGAGACTTCACTCATTATGGTGCTCAGTATGCGTCGTGGAAAATTACTCTCAGATCTGAGGATGCAGACGTATTCAGTCCCTTCTTAGGAATTGGTGAACATCTTAGTAGATGGTGAAAGTTCTGGAAGTCATCATCTTTCTCCCATTACTTGCAGAACTGGGATTTTTCTTAATTGCTACAGCGTTTCTTAGACAGAATTCTCAACATAGTTTTTTCAGTTCTTAATATAATTTCCTCCTTTTGCTGCTTGATTTTGTACTTTCGTATGTTCTAATAATACCTTCATACCGGTGTATTTTATTCATTTTATTTTAAACGGTAACATTTTTATTATAACGTTAATCCAGGTGGACATTTTAGTAAATAGAGTTAGTACAAAGAAAATTAAAACCTTCCTGACCCTCCTCACTCAGAAATAACATCTATGGACATTTTGGGGGATTAGCCTTCTAGTTAATATATGCATGTATTTTAATTAAATTATGTGCATTTATATATAAATCTTTAAGTTTACTTGAAAATTAGAATGAAGATAATTTTGCTAAAATTAAAGACATCTTACTCACAGTTTTATTCATTGCCATATGTGTTTATCAGTTAAATCATGAGTATCGTTCTCTATCATGATGCAGTCCGCTGTGACATAGTGTAGACTACAATATAGTCTTACAGTCCTGCTCTGACTCTTTTAGGTAGTTTCCAGTTGTTACTACTTCAGACAAAATTATGATTAATATTATAGCAGATACATTTAATTGATTTAGTATAAAATTATAGAAACGGACTACTTAGGGGAGAGAGGGAGAGGTGCAAATTAGAGTTTACATTTTTATCCTAATCCCTACTGGATTTGAGTTCCTGTTTCTAAAGAATTTAGTCCACTCATGGATTATTTACTCCTTGATGGGCAATCCCTGTCCTTCAGCCATACCCGAGAAGGACAGAGCATCCCTCATCCTCCAGTGGTCCTCAGTGCTTCCCTCACACACAGCACCTGCACATGTAACAGACCACGCCATCACATTTCTTAGTCCCTCTCTTCTTCAAGGCCTCCTTTACAATATCATGTCTTTGAGTTCATACTCCCCATAAAGGAGTTATTCTTCCCCAACAATAGTCAGAAAAAGTATTATTATTATTTTTTTTAAACGGATTCTTAATGGACCACTGTTAATCGTATTGCCTTAAAGAAAAACAAGCTTAATGTTTTGTTCAGAGCTCTCATTGGCCCATTTGGCTTTCAGTCCGTCTCTGCATTTCCACAGACCCACATCTCCACCGAAGGTGTGGTTGGTAGAAGGACTGGCAAAGACTTTGCGACTTGGGCTTGCTTTCTTCCTCTTTTCTGCACATTGCAGTAACTTGGCAGGAGATGTCTAGAGGTTGGTGCTCCCACAGATATGCAGGTGCCTCTCCTCCCCCATAAAAAGCTGACGTGGTTGAAGTCACGTAACAGCATTTAGGAGGTAACGTGAGCAGGATCTCGCAGGAAGGTTGGGTGGGGGATGAGGTAGAGAAATGACTCACAAGCAACTCTGTGTCTTGGCTCGGTAACTGAGAGAGTGGAAGAAGTGTTGGAGGGAAAGCACTGAGGCTCAGGAGAGCTTTGCGCGTGCTTCTGGTCATGTGCTCTGAGAGCATCTGGAAGAGATGTCTGGCAGGCTTTTGGATGTACAGGTCCGAATCCAGAAGAGGGTTAAAGCTTGAGTGACTGTGGAAGGCATCGTCTGTTAGAGGCAGGAAAGAGCATGGGCATTAACATGGCCTTTCATGGAGAACATGGGCAGGGATACAGAACCCGAGAGAGGGTGAATGCCAAAAAGAGGTGGCAGGAGGGGCGCGGGGAAGATGTGAGGGGTGTCAGCTACACCACGTGTGATCTTCACACCACACCAGTAGGGAGGGGCTTGAGAATCCTGTTAGGTTGACTCTGCTCATTTCCTTGGATTATCTGAAATAAATTTCTCTTTTAGTTTTAAAAATTAATTTTCTTGTCTCTTTCTGTAGTCACAAATGATCTTAATTCTGCATCTACCCCTACTCTTTCCAATAGTTGCTTGATGTGGAAGCAGCACCCGCTTCTAAGATGGACTCTCAATTTGCGACTGTTGGTCTCTTTGTTTGGAATTAACATGAGCTCTTGTGTTTTGCCCACTTTTGTGTTTGCTTTAGGAAGTATTTCAAACAGAGAAGGCTGGAGAATTCTCTTTCAAGAGCATTTCAGAAGTTATTTGCTCACCAATGCTCAGGATGAACTGGGTGATCTCTGCTTACAGGCTTTTAAACATTTCCAGAATAAAGGACACTGTTACTGTTTCTGGCTCTAAAAATCCTTGGATTTCTTTCTTTCTTTCTTTTTTTAAACAGTTAACCACTTTCTGTCTTTTTCACCCCAGTAAAGAAAATCTAATATCTTATCACTGCTCCTGTCTCTTGGAGTTTTAAATTACAGAATGTTTAATTACCAAAGGTCCTTTTGCTTATTATATTTTAAACATGCAATGATGTTTCCAAAAATACTCTAAATTGAAGCAGGGAAAGTCAGCAACAGCTTTATTCAGGTTTCATTGGTGAACAGCTACTGGTTTGGATGTCTGAGGCTGAGTAATTTCAGTGCAGATAGATAATTTAGCTTTATGATGATTCTGTTGACTAATAGTCCGAAAAGATCAGAAAAGAGTCACATATAGGAAGATGTTGACTTTTTCCACAGTGAGCCATGGTTGCATAACGATTCCTAGTCCAGTGGTCAACAAGTTGCTGCCACTTTGTGACAGATTTGAATTTATTCTTTGTTTATAGAAATTCAAGCCAGAAAGGCTCATAGTGTTGGCAGCTGATTAAAGCAATTTAAGTTTGATTTTTGACACTGTAATTAAATGTGAGCTCAAGTCAAATAGTGCATTCCATACCCCTTCCAGGTGGGCAGGGCTCTGGAGCTGGCAGTGTGTCACTGTCTAGCTTGGGTTTGGTCTCAGGGATTCCAAAGAAAGCTTTGATTTGTAAATGGGTGGGTTGAAGGGTGCCTTCCAAAATATATCTTTTAGAGGTATGAACTAACAAAATAAATGCAAGAAAATTGGATTAATTTTAATAATTCTGCTGCTTTGATTCCAAATCCTTGAACACCTACAAAAACAAAGTGTCTCTTAAATCGCAGTCTTGCCTTTGGATCCCGGAACTCTCTGTTTCTGTTTATGAGCAGGAAGAGCCAGACATGTATTCTGAGATGGATGGAGACATACGGAGGAGAGTGGAGGCACCTGAGAAGCCCATTCAGGGTACCGATGGGCCATCACTGGGCTTTTGCAGCCTTCAGAATGAATTCCTTTCAAATTATGTTTTCGAAACCAGATCCAGGTTCTTTCTGTTAGTGATTGTTTTCATATGAAATAACATTGAAATCCAGTAGCAAATTGGGCTAGATGTAGATGAGAATTCCGTGTGGGTAACTGGGGTTTTACGGAGAATTACAATAATGAGTGGGGTGAAACTCAGATATTGAACATTCATCAGGGGTGGGAGCTTAGAGAAGTAGATCAGGGTGACCACCGGCTTCCTGGCCAAAGAGATTTTTGTCCAACCCTGGCCCCCGCCTCTTACTCACTGACTTTGGATAAAGGATTGAGTCTGTTTTTTCTAAATATTTTTCGGGGAGATGTTGGTGATGAATACTCATTGGAATCCTCATTTGGAAAATGGACTTGGTGTTATATAAGATATATCAGCAAGAATGTTACTTTCTGGATTCTACAAAAAGTTACAGGAATAACAAAATAGATGGCTTATTTGTGATAGACAACCAACTATTTGATGGTTCATTTAAAAAAGTCGAAAGCTCAGGCAGGGGCTACTTAGAAAACACAGGCAGGATAGAAACATTAACCCACGTTATTTTTAGTGTGCCCTTTTTGCTACCTAAGTGTGTTTTTTAAGAATGATAGGGCATATTTCAGAGAGCAAACCTGGAAGCATTCAATCCAATGGCATTTAATAAAATGATTTTGACTAGAAAACTGGCCTCACCCAGACACAATGCCTCCTTTGAGAAACCATTTTTCAGAGTCTGAGTTGCTCCCACTTTGAGAAGTAACTACCCTAGTCCATATGGAACAATGCATTTCTTCCCCAAACATATTTTATGTCCAAGAGAAATAATTTCGTACAGCTTATACCTACTTTGTTTTTGTTATTCTGTCTCCATCATATGGTATTTAAAAAGATTGTCAGAGCAACGTCGTTGTTCAGCTTTCTACTGAAAATTCACATGAGAGTAACAACTCTGTCTTTGGAACTGGCTTGAAAAATTCTGAAGTAAACAAGAATTTGCTTTTTCCTTTTATCTAATCTGAAATTGATTTATGAGACAGGACCTCTACTGAACTGTGTTAAATACCTTGGAAATATTTTGAACCAAACTTTCATACTGTCATAGGAACAGCAGAAATATATTTGCTTGATTAAAATAAAATATTTAGATATGCTTGATCTACTACACTGTAAGTTGATTAAAAATAGTTAAAGTGTTTTAACCTTGCTAGGAAAGCAGTTATGGCAATATCCATTTTATGACTTTCAAATAGCTTTTATTGATTATAACTTTACACAATCATTTGTCATATTGCAAATAAAAGAATATGGTTAATATATGGATTTTTAATTTATGGTATCCTCTTCTTGCAATACCAATATAATCAATCTTTTCAAATGTTAGTAAATCAAGATAGAATCTTTTATTAGTAAATTTATAGATATGATAAGAAAAAGGAACAAAAATGCATATTTTATAAAGACCATTATTTCAGAAGTAAATCTTTTTTTTTACATTTGAGAAAAAGTACAAATCTCATTTTATATCTTGTAATTTAAGTAGCCAGATCTTGTCAAAACTTATATATGAAACAGCTTACTTACAGCATTTCTTAAAAGCAATTTATTTTTCCTGGGGGCTTACTCATAGGAAGGGGACCACTTACGAAAAATTATTGATGCTACTTTAGGTTTAGATTAAAGCAACTCTTTCTATAATAGAAAATTCTCAATTTTTGTATGATACAGCTTGTAGTTATTGTATATGACATCAGTTATAACCCTTCATACTGAGAACTTTAGCTGATGGGAGGAATAATTATAAAATTTACCAAGAGATATCTGAATTTCATTCATATCATGTTTTTAATGTGCAAGCCATAAGTTGCAAATTTTTGGTGAAGAATTTCACAACTAAGAGTGTCTGAATCTGCAAATGTACCCAAGACACCCTTTAATACTTATCTGATCAAACTTACGGTGATCTTAATTGCTAAGTTAAGTCCATTCAGTTAGAGTTGCAAGTAGTATAGTTCCTGTCTCCTCAGGGGAGCTTTGTCACCATTGTGTCTAAGTTGGCCTGAAAATTTCTTTAGCTGATTACTATTTTAGTTTCCAAACTTCCACACTTGAATTATGTTTTTTTGCAAGCAAATTCAATGAACTTCACTTGTACCAGGTTCCTCTCTCATTTTATTCACCTGGTGATGAACCGATTATATTTGTATGGAGGCTATTTTTCCCAATCACCCTGAATATTGTTCTAAATTTAAGCTCTATGCTTCTCTCTTTGCTTTCATGAGCTTCTTTTGTCCTAGAGTAACCCCCACATTTTTTGGAGGTGGCGTCACATAGTGTTTTAGATGTGAAATAAGGAGTTAGAAAGACTTTGGTCTGAGGTCTGTTTGCTTGCTGTGACTGTGGGCAAGAGACGTAACTTCTCTGTGCCTGCCTACCTTTAGCTATAAAATGCAGCTAATAATCGACATATCTAGTAAGGTTTTGTGATAACTGGACCAGGGCTTGGCTCCGTGTGTAGTAGCCGCACTTTGAGATGCTGAATGTTGCTTGAGAAAATGAAGGGAACTGTGTGGCTGGTCTTACTTTAAGTTGTGTCCATGAATCTCTGATGCACACTCACTGAAGCCCGGAAATCCTCCTCCTCGACTCTGTGCTGTCGGCTGGCTCTTCTGTCCCTGCTGGGCTTCTAAGTGATGGGCAGGCTGAAGGTTCAGCTTTAATCTTGGCTTTTATTTGTTATCTCACTTCTCCCCACTAAGAAATGAGATCCAATCACATGGCTTAAAAACCATCTATAAACTGGTGATTCCCAGTCTCGAATCCTGATATATCCAGCTCCCAACTGATATCTCAACATGTATATCTATGAGCACGTCTGATATAAAGTACAAATCCCGATCTGCTCTCCCCAATCTTGTATTCTTCAAGTCTTCTTCTCTGTAAAGTAAAAACACTATTTTCGCAGTTGTTAAGCCTTAACATTACACAACAACCACAAACCACAGATCATCTCTGATTGTTCTTTTTTCGTGCTCTCTGCCTCCAGTCAATCACCAGTCCTGATAGGTCTTCCTGCAGAAACTCCTGGAATGAGTCACCCGTCCCCTAGAATGATGCGGTAGCGTCTTAGCTTGGTTATCCCAGCTTTCCTTTGTGCATGTTGACAAACCTTTTCTGTACACAAAACCTTCAGAACGTGTCAAGGAGATCAGACAATCCCTAATTCATCTTTGGCCCCAATGGCTTCCCGCCATGTTTGGGATTAAGTTCAAACTCCTCAGTAGGATCTGGCTCTTGCCCACCTCATGGACACAGATGAGATTGTTCAGCCCTGGCTTGTGTCTGTTCCTCGGATGCCCCTGAACTTGTGAGTTCAAAATCAAAAAGGATATTTGAGGAGCTGATCCTTCAGTCTAGAGGGCTACTTCTCTGGATCTTTAAGTAGCTGGTTCCTATTTGTTGTGCAGGTTCTAATTTGATGCCACTTCTCAGTGAAGGCCATCCCCTCCAGCTCCTGGCTCTTCCCAAGGGACAAGAAGGGTCTTGGGAAGAACTCCTGATGCTTCATATCTAAGCTCTGTGTTCCTTCCTTGCAGTGAATTGATAGATGACTGCAAGGCAAGGTTATCCCTTCTCCCCCGTTTCATCTGCCTCCTTGCAAAAGTATTTCACACGTGAAAAGTTTTGACCTGCTAACTGAGGAGAAAAGTAACCCTGGAAGTTTTTTTTGTTTTTGTTGTGTGTGTGTGTATGTGTGTGTGTCTGTATGTGTGTGTGTGTGGTGACATGGGGATATCATACAAACAGTATTTTATACAAAATGCTTTCAGTGTCCAAGCTGAGTTTCCCTTGTTTGGAAGCATATCAGATGGCAAAGGGCTTCTCAACTGCATCTTTCTCCCTGCTTCTACATGTGTGGTTAGGGTCTCAGTCCTAATCTAGTTGTGCAGCCAGATATAGCATTTAACTGAGAGAATAATACTGCAGTGGACATTCTTGTAGGTGACTTCTGGTGCACATATACACACATCTCTATTGTACATGTATTAAATAGTGGAATTACACAGTCTTTGATGACAGTAGATGTGCCGACTTTCTTTGTTTACTTCTCTAATTCATTCTCCATCCTTCTCTGCTCCTCTTGTCCTGGGAGTTTGACTTCTGTCGACTACATCAAATGGGCTCCTTTGTCCTCTATCTTCTGTTGGGTTAAGCAAATGAGAGTCACCACAAGGAAGCCTGAGAGTAGGAGGAGAGAGCTTGGGGAGTTTTTTTCTCCAGCTTTCTCTCTTTGGTCATGGGTTGGCAGTGACTTTTTCCCTCCATGGAAGGCCACAGCTCCTATTGTTTATCCTCTCCTGTGTTCACAGCTACCGGTGCTGCGTGACTGCTACCTCCCTTGCCCTTGTAGGCCTGAGGGTAGTAATGGCTTCCTGTTCTTGCTAGCCTGGGGGACTTCCTCACCCTTTGGTTTTTACTAAATTCTACCTTTACCGTTGTAAATTCTTTCATTAAATTTTGTTCACTTACCTATTTGAATATGCTATATGCCTCTTATTACAGCCCTGATGGATAAATAAGGATGTTTTTTAAACTCCAGCTGTGTGTGAGAGTTCTTATTGCTCCACATCTTCACCAACATTGTTAGTCTTTGTTTTAGACATTCTGATGTATCTGTGGTGTTATTTCATTCAGGTTTTAATTTGTACTTCCTGCTTTACTAATGAAGTAGAAGACCTTTTAATGAGCAGTTGGATATCCTCTTTTATGACTGCCTGTGCAGTTTCTTCCCTGTTTTTCCTTGTGTGTATTCTGACTTGTGTGTATTCTTATTGATTGATGGGGGTTCTTTACATATTCTGGATATGAATAGTAGATTAGATGTGTTAAAGATATCATCTTCCACTCCATGCATTGCCTTTTGATTCTCTTAATAGTGTCTTTTGATGAAAATTTAAGTTCCTAATTTTTTTCTTATTTTAATGCAGTTCAATTTATTAGTCTTTCCTTTACTCTTAGTGTTTCTGTGCCTTGTTTTTAAAATCTTTCCCTTCCCAAGTCAGGAATATAGTTTTCTATATTATGTTCCAGAAACTTCATAGTTTTTGCTTGTCATATTTAGATTTATAGTTTATCTGACATCAATTTTTGTGATGTTATGAGTTACTTCTCAAGTTTCTGTTTCTCATGTGGATTTCTCATTTTCCAGCATCATTTACCAACAGTTTCTCCCTTTTTTAACTACTCTGCCCCTTTGTAAAAAAAAATCAACTGCCACCTTCGTCAAAAATCAAGTGTGTCCATATATGTGTGAATCTGTTTCTGAACTTTCCTTTCTTTTCCATTGTCTGATTTGTTTCTACCTGCATGAACACTATTCTGACCTAATTGCTGTGCCTTTATAAAAATGTTTAGTAGAGCAGGTTGTCCTACCTCACTCTTTTTTTTAAGATTTGCCTTTTAAAAATGGATACTATAAATAGATAGATAGATAGATAGATAGATAGATAGATAGATAGATAGATAGATAGATACACACACACACATAGTTATGGGGTACATGTGATAGTTTGTTACATGCATAGAATGTGTAATGATCAAGTCAGGGTTTTGGGGTGTCTGTCACCTTGGGTATTTCTCATTTCTATGTGTCAGGAACATTGCAAGTCCTCTTTTCTAGCTGATTTGAACTATACAATACATTTTTGTTAAGTATAGTCAGCTACTCTGCTATACAACATCAGAACTTATTCCTTCTATCTAACTGTATGTTTGTACCCATTATCCAAACTCTCTTCCTCTCCACTCCCACTCTCTGCTCAGCCTCTGGTAACCATCATTCCACTCTCTATCTCCATGACATTAACATTTTTAGCTCCCACATAGGAGTGAGAACATGTGGTATTTGTCCTTTGTGCTTGGCTTATTTTACTTGACATAATGACCTCCGGTTCCATCCATGTTGCTGCAAGTGACATGATTTCCTTATTTTTATGGCCAAATAGTATTCCATTGTGTATATGTACCACATTTTGTTTACCATTTCATCTGTGGATGGACATTTAGGTTGATTTCATGTCTTTGCTATGGTAAATAGTGCTGCGGTAAACATGTGGGTGCAAGTATCTTTTTGATATACTGATTTCTTTTTCATTAGATAAATACCCAGTAGTGAGATATCTGGATTATATTGAGTCTTATTTTTAGTTTTTTGAGAAATCTCTACTGTTTTCTATAGTGGCTGTACTAATTTACATTCCCACTCACAGTGTAGAAGAGTTCCCTTTTCTCTGCATTCTGGCCAGCATCTGTTATTTTTTGTCTTTTTAATAATTGCCATTCTAACTAAGGTATGATGATATCTCATTGTGGTTTTGATTTGCATTTCCCTGATGATTAGTGATATTGAGTATTTTTTTTCATATGCTTGATGGCCATTCCTGTGTCTTCTTTTGAGAAATGTCTATTGACGTTCTTTGCCCACTTTGTAAAAGTTTTCTTTTTAATTGTTGAGTTGTTTGAGTTTTGTGTATATTCTGGATTTTCTCTTACTAGATGAACAGTTTACAAATATTTTATCCCATTCAACAGGTTGTCTCTTCACTCTGCTGGTTGTTTTCTTTCCTTTGCTGTGCAGAAGTGTTTTAGTTTAATATAGTCTCATTTGTCTGTTTTCTCTTGCCTGTGCTTTTGAGGTCTTAGCCATCAAATCTTTGCTTAGATCAATGTCCTGAAATGTTTTCTCTATTTTCTTTTAATAGTTTTATAATTTGGGGTCTTAAGTTTAAGTCTTTCATCTACCTTGAGTTGATTTTTATATATGGCAAGAGATAGAGGTCCAGTTTTATTCTTTCGCATATGGATATCCAATTATTCCAGCACCATTTATTGAAGAGGGTGTCTTTTTCCCAATGTATGTTACTGATGCCTTTGTTGAAAGTCGGTTGGCTGTGAATATGTGGATTTATTTCTGGGTTATCAATTCTGTTCCATTGGTCTATGCGTCTGTTTTTATACTAGTATCATGCTCTTTTGGTTACTAGAGCCTTGTAATATATTTTGAAGTCAGGTTATGTGATGCTCCCAGTTTTGTTGTTTTTGTTCAGGGTTCCTTTAGCTATTCAGGCTCCTTTTTGCTTTCATATAAATTTTAGGATTGTTTTTTTCTATTCTTGTGAAAAATGACGTTAATATTTTAACAGGGATTGCATTGAATCTGTAGATTTATTTGGGTGGTGTGGTCATTTTAATGATATTAGTTCTTCTGATCCATGACCATGCAGTGTCTTTTCATTTGTTTGTGTCCTTTTCCATTTCTTTCATTAGTGTTTTGTAGTTTTTTTGTAGAGATTTTTCGCTTCCTTGGTTAATTTTTTTCCTAGATATTTTTTCCTTATACCTATTGTAAATGGGATTTTCTTCTTGATTTCTTTCTCAGCCAGTGCATTATTGGGTATATAAATGCTACTGATTTTTTTGTATCCTGCAACTTTACTGAATTTTTTAATTAAACCTAAGAGTTTTTTGGTGGAGTCTGTAGGTTTTTCTAGATGTAAGATCATGTCATCTCCAAAGAGGGACAATTTGACTTCTTTTCCAGTTTGGATGACCTTTATTGCTTTCTCTTGCCTGATTGCTCTGGCTAAGACTTCCAGTCCTATATTGAATAGAAGTGATAAAAATGAGAATCCTTGTCTTGTTCCAGTTCTTAGAGGAGAGACTTTCCGCCTTTCCCCGTTCAGTATAATGTTAGCTGTGGGTTAATCATGTATGGACTTTAATATATTGAGGTATGTTTCTTCTGTACCTAGTTTGTTGAGAGCTTTTACTATGAAACAATGTTAAGTTTTATCAGATGCCTTTTCTGCATTTATTGATATGATCATATGGTTTTTGTTTTTTTCTATTGATGTGATGTATCATATTTATTGATTTGTGTATGTTGAACCATCCTTGCATCTCTGGGATACATCCCACTTGACCATGGTGCATTATCTTTTTGATGTGCTGTTGGTTTCAGGCTACTAATATTTTGTTGATAGCTTTTGCTGAACAAAATACTAGAAAACTTATATTCACCAGAAATATTGGCCTGTATCCATGCTGAACTGAAGTGATGTTCATCAGGAATATCAGCCTGTAGTTTTCTTTTTTGTTGTGTTCTTGTCTGATTTTGTTATGAGGGTAATGTTGGCCTCATAGAATGAATTAGGAAGAATTCTCTCCTCTTTAATTTTTTGAAATGGCTTGGTGAGGATTGGTATTAGTTCTTCTTTCTAAGTTTGGTAGAATTAGTAGTGAAACCATCTGGTCCTTGACTTTTCTTTGTTGGGAGATTTTTTTTCCTATCCAATCTTATTACTTGTTATTGGTCTGTTTAAGTTTTCAGTTTCTTTCTGATTCAATCTTGGCAGGTTGTATGTGTTCAGAAATGTATCCATTTCCTCTAGGTTTTCCAGTTTGTAATAGTCTCTGATAATCTTTTGTATTTCTCACTCTTCTTTAAGAGCATCTTGTCTGTTTTTGACTCTGCATTTCCATACATATTTTAGAATCACTCAAGTTTCACAAAAACTTTGTTGAAATATTGAATGCATCTGCATTGAATCTATTGATCAATTTGAAGAAAATTCTACCTTTGATTATTAAGTTTTTCAATCCATGAATATATCTATCCATTTATTTTGGTCTTCTTTTAATAATATTTTGTAGTTTTTGGTGTAGAGGTTCTGCACGTATTATGTTAGATTTATGTCCATATTGTAAGGTATTTTTAATGCTAATGAAAACAGTATCACTTAAAAATTTTGATTTCTATTGATGTTTATGCTGATATATAAAACTAAAATTCTATATTGACCTTGTATCTAGCAAACTTTTAAAACTCATTTATTAATTCTAATGACTTATTTCCAAATTCTCTTGGAAATTCTGTGTAAAAAAATGATGTCATCTGTAAATAAAGTTTTATTTACTTTTTCCCAATCCTTTAACATTGCATTTCATTTCCTTGCCTTCTTTACTAACTAAGACTGCCAATTCAATTTCAGACAAATGCGGTAATATGTGGGGCTTCTTTGTCTTTTCCCCCAACTTCAAATGATTAAATTTTAAAGTTTTGACATGAAAATGTGTGGTTTACTGTAGGTTTCGGTAGATTCCTTTTATCAATTTGTAGGATTTATAAACTTCCTCTTTATTTCTAATTTACTAAGAATTTTTAATATGAATGTTGAATGTTATTAAGTGCTTTTCTTCTTTTGTTTAAAGTTATATAAATTTTCTTTACAATGTAAATTTGATTATTTGATTGAAACAAGCTTTCATTCTTAAAATAAATCCAGTTTGTTCACAATATATATTATTGTCGTATATACTGTTGGGTTTTGTTTTCTAGAATTTTATTTAGGATTTTGCATCTATGTTTATGTATGAAATTGACCCATAATTTTCCTTTTTAAATAATTTTCTAGCTACATTTTGGTATCAAGCTTTCTTTTCTTTTATCTGAAAAGCTTATGTAAGAGTGGCATCCTTTTTTTTTTAAATGCATGTTAGAATTTGCTGATAAATCCGTCTGGCCTGGAACTTTCTTTCTTTTTTTTATTTTTTTATTTTTGGAGTTGTCCTTTAAGAGGTCTGAGATTTTTCAATCAATGTCTTTAATAATTATAGGAGTTCAGGTTTTGTGTTTTTTCTTTTGACAGTTTTGGTAAATTATATTTTCCAATTATGTATTTCAACTAATTTTTCACATTTATTGATAGGAAATTGATCATAATATTCTATTATCCTTCCAATGTCTACAGCATCTGTAGTAATAGCCCCCTTTTTATTGTTGACTTTGGTTATTTTAACCTTCCCTCTTTTCTCTCTGTAATCACCAGTGACTTACACATAACTAATCTTTTCAGAGAACCAGATTTGGTTTTGTTTATCTTCTCTACCATATTATTTACAATTTTCTCAATTTTGTTCTCATTTGTTATTTTTCTTCTTCTTTCTTTGGGTTTTTCTAACTTTTTGAGATTGATGCCTTTGCCTCTTTCCTATGGAAGCTCACCCACAGAAACAGTAACATTATTATGTGCTCCACTTCATATTTACTCTTCTGTTTTATTTGCAGAACCAAGCCTTGTTCAAGTTAGTATTAAAATATAAATGACTCCCACAGCCATCTCTTTATGCAGTGCCATAAAATGTGCTCTAATCAGAAGGATTTTATATTACGTGTTTTTAATTATTCTTGTGAATCCTCAATGCCCAAAATGAATTGGCAACAAATATTTGTCTGTAGATGTCAAGATATTTCCTCATACTGATATACTTCTCAGCATAACCTCCCATTTAGTTTCTTTGCTCCTTGCTCCTTTCATGCTGAAACAAATCCTTTACCCAATTTCCCCTACAATCTGAATATTCCCTGTTTTTGGGGAACTCAACTCAAATTTCTTTTGTCCTAGTTTCTTTTTTTTTAACAAGTTTCACTTGTTATCTTACTAACAGTGTATTTAATAAAGTCGATGCTCAATAAATACTCTTGTCTCAATGAATAAGCTTCAACCTCTTTGTAGCTATATTAATATATTTATGTATTCTATAAAGTCTAATTGGTAGCCTATTATTATTATTTTTTTTTTTGAGACGGAGTCTTACTCTGTTGTCAGGCTCGAGTGCAGTGGCATGATCTTGGCTCACGGCACCCTCCGACTCCCTGGTTCAAGCGATTCTCCTGCCTCAGCCTCCTGAGTAGCTGGGATTACAGGCACACGCCACCATGCCCAGCTAATTTTTGTATTTTTAGTAGAGACAGGGTTTCACCATGTTGCCCAGGGTGGTCTCAATCTCCTGACCTCATGATCCGCCTGCCTCGGCCTCCCAAAGTGCTGGGATTACAGGCGTGAGCCACTGCGCCTGGCCCGTAGGTTTTAATTAATATATTTAAATTTTCTTGGCATTTCAGTATTTCTATATTATAATGTGAATTATTTTAAAATACTTTATCTGATTACAAAGGTAGCACACACTTGTTTTATCCTAAATTTTCTCAACTGTTTGACTTGAAAAGGGGGCAGTTACTCCATGATCCAAACCTCAAAACTGAAATTTGTATTTTAAGATGTTTTCTCTGCATATGCTAATATACATATGTGATAATTTTCTAAAACTTATTATACTTTGAATATTTTCTATGCAGTACATTAATATCTATCTCATTCTTAATACTGTGTAGTATAATTATTCAATATCTGATTGAAAGACGTACAGTGTATTTTCATATTTTACTGTTACTGAGCAGTGTAATAGCAGACATCCTTTGTACTTATAACTGTCTATTGTGAGTATTTCTAAAAAATAGATTTCTAGAATATCAATTGCGGAGACAAAGGATAAATTATTTTATTCCCATTATACACGAATGTCAATGCTTTTTCCTCCACATTCTTGCCAATACTTCAAAATATTACATTTTTTCATTGTTGTTATCTGGCTAGGCCCAAATATTGTGTGGTGGTTTATTTATTTTTATTTTCTTTAATCTGTTTTCACTTTTCTTGGATGGTTTACACTTATGGATAGTAAACTCCTGTGATGGTGACTCGTGGTCATCCAGGTTCTTTTGCATTGTGTGGGTTAGGATGGGCAGGACACACTCTTGTATATGTACCAGCTGTTGGTTTATGTGATTTTTTCAGGTCAATCTATCCCATCTGACAATATACCTTCCATTAGGCTGACAGTCTGTCATGCACACAGTGCACACACACAATTATATTACAAGGCTGATAAAACCGAATTGCTCTGTTCCAGTGGTTCTCAACTGGGACAGTTTTTGGTTGCACCTTTAGGGACAGTTGGCCATGTCTAAAGACAGTTTTGGTTGTCATAATTGGAGTCTGCGAGGTGTTACTGGCATCTAGTGGGTAGAGGCCAGGAATGCTAGCAAACATCCTGCCATGCACAGGGCAGCCCCCACAACAGATAATTAACCAACCCAAAATGTTGATGCTGCCAAGGTTGAGAAACCCTGTGGTCTATTGCTGTGACATTTTAGTGCTTCTGTTGTATCACAAGTGTACCAATTTGTGTTAATTTTAACACATTTATTCTTGCTTAAAAATTGGGATGTATCTTAAAATTGATTGATTAGAAAGTATTACGGTGAATTTTCATTGGCAGAATTGTTTTTTCTTTCCTAGTGATACTTTAAATCATGATGTGCTTTACATCTTACCACCCAAAGTCTTAGATTTGAGGAAATATGATATGATTGTGTCTTATCTTTTATCCCTACATATGTGCAGTCTAATTTCAGTGTAGGAATAGGAAGTCTCGTGTAGCATGACAGTGTAATTGCTGTATTTGTAGGTATTAAACATCAATCAATGCCTAGCTTTGTACCCATAGGCATTCCACTTTGTGCCTGCTCTAAGGCAAAACACAATATTCAATGCTGGAAATAATTTCATATTTAGTTTTATGTTAAAGTAGTTCCTCTTAGATTTAGTAAATAGACAAAATATTGATTGAATGTTCAAATGTAGGGTGGAATGATTGATTTATTCATTTGGGAGGTTGTGAATCATTCCTATATCTATTGATTTTGTTCTTCATTTATATTCATTACCTTTAAATTCAGGAAGGTTATTGAAAATTCAGGGGGAAACATTTGTTAGGTTGCTAACTCCTTCACACTAAACCTTCTATGTTTTCTTACATTTACAAGCAGTCTAATAATCCAGTGAATCCCTTACATACTGAATGTTGGGAAAAGGTCATGACAGGAATATCTAGTTTTCAAATCTTGGTTTGTTAAAGATCAGAAATCTTCCTTCCAGATCTTGGTTTGTTAAAGGTGATGATCACCTAAACTAAAGCATACTCAGATGATGGCTGCTTGATATAATGGAGTGAGCTTTTATTCCTGGCTCTTATAGGAGAAAATCTGTAAGTGGTCAGGGGAAAATCGATTTCAATGTGTACTGTCAATTCCTTTTTTTGCATTTGTAAGTGAGAAAAAAATTAGGTGGTTAAAAGGTGGCAGTTTTGAGTTATTAAGAATGATATGGATTAGCCTCAACTTCCATGGGTCACTACGAGGTAGCCGCTGATACTTCACATCTGGTTTTGGTTTGCAGTAACTGACAAAGAAGCACAAGGTATGTATAGCCCTATTGTTAGTGTCGTTCCACTCTTTTAAAGACAAAAAGCTCCCCACTCCAAAAGTACTGAAATATTTTCAACTCCAATTTACAGATTAGGCAAAACCTCTTGAGTTAAGGGTCACTAAAGGCAGCTGAAAAATTTCTTTGCAAACTTCTCAGTGTTCTGGCTGTTAAAGAAAAATAGTAAAATAAAAAGAGCTCCCCAGTGTAAGAATTCCATGAAACAGAGAGTGACGTGTGAGACGCATTAATGCTTTCCATTCCTGATGAAAAGCTCGAACAGCTTTAAGTAATGTGGAATCCAGTATCTCAAATCCTAGCTCCGTCTGGGAGGTGAGTTTTGGGTGTCCTAGCTCCCTGGGATTGGAAGAGCAACACGTTGTCTATAGGCATTCCATATGTGAGTTTAATTATGATAACTTGACTTCTTTAAAGAAGCTTTTTAGATGTTTGGGGAGAATCCCACTCAGGACTGTGGTTTTTCTTTCTCCTGCTTTCTTTGGGGAAGGAGCACACAGGACCATGGTTCCCAGAAACGGAGACACACTCTGTGAACCTGTGCACGTCCCTGTGCCCACAGCGAAGGCCCCTCCAGTGATCAGCCAGGCCCACCATTGCAGCCTTCCAGATGGCTCTCATTAGAGTCAAAATTGACTGAGGGAAGCCCCTGGGGCGTCCTGGAAGCCTTAGAGACCATGCTAGGGACAGAGCCTCTGATTTCTAGGAGCTAATGTTTCAGAGAAAATAATAACAGCACCTTCTAAACACTAGAGCTTTTCTCTTTAGTAACTCAAGGTAATGAATCCCCACCCTCTCCCTCTGCTTCTCATTTACCACCCCTATTTCTCTGCAAGTCACAAAGGGGAAAATTGAAGTTTTCTCACATCTCCTTGGGAAAGTAATCTGAGGTTGATGGGCTGAGATGTTTCCAGAGAATGGGAATGGGGTGCCAACAGCATGGAGGAGCCTGGGGAGCTGCTGGTATCAGGCATAGAGTGAAGACCAAAGTTAGGGATGGGAGAGGAGGGTATCTACTCTCATGGGGCAAAGTGACCCTGAGGCACCTCTACATTTAATGAGCCTAGAAAGAAAAAGGGTGGAAAAGAATAGGAAGGAACTGTTGATGTTCCCTTCTTATGTCCTTTCTGTTGGGTCAAAATACTGTTGTAATTTTGGCATATTTTTCTCTCTATCCAATATGCAAGTTGTTTGTTTGGCTGAATACTGCTTCACTTCTTTTCTGCACCTCCAGTGACCGACAATGCTTAGCACATAGGCAATGCCAATCAAGATTGATGAATGGATGAATGATCATACAGAAGGAATATTTTCTGCTGTAGCAACGTTGCAAAAGTTTCTTCTTAAGGAATCTTCTGATGGTATGCCGATGCCCGGTTGCTATATAACAACTCACTGCAGGACTCAGTGGCTTAAAATCACAATGATCACTTTATTATTTAGAATCTCTCATGGTTCCAGGGCTTGATTGGGCTGAGATAGATATTATTTGCTTGGAGTCTCTTATAGGTTTGCAGTCAAGTGCCGGTTGGGGCTGGAGTGATCTTGGTTTCTTCATTTATACCTCTGGGGGTTAATGCTGGCTGTGGGCTGGGACTGATGACTGGAACACCTACAAATGGCCTCGTCACATGGCTTGGGCTTTCTCCCCGTATGGTGGCTGAGGTTTAAGAGTGGCTGTTCCCAAGAAAATCAGGTGGAAGCTCTATCACCTTTCCAAGGTAGCCTTGGAAGCCACATAGCTGAACTTCTGCTGTAGTCACAGCCCAACTCAGATTCAAGGAGTGGGAACGTGGACCTCACTTTCTGATGGAAGCAAAGTCAATGTCACTTTATAGAAGGTTATGCATGATGGGACATCCTACTGGGCCATCTTGGGAAATACAGTTGCCATGGTGGTATGGCAAATGTCTAGAAATGCAATCAATATACCATTCTAATGGTTTCTGATAAGTACGTGTGAAACCAACCCAGTTGCCTAAATAGTTTGGCTGGAAATAATTTTAATCAGAGTTACTTTGGAAAATTACAAGGACTAAGTTGTATACAAATGGGAGCTCTTATTTTATATTGAAATCCAGATAAATCTGCTGTAAAATAATCATGATGCCAGCAAAATAGAGGATGTATACTCATCCACTCATCCACTCATTCATTCATTCGTTCTTACAGCCGGTATTTTTTTTTTATTGACTATCCACTTGCTTACAGGTACTATTAGCTCAATTATTGAGACGGAAATCCCATAAGATACAGATTTGGGAGGCTTCTTAGAGAAAATTTACCTTCCTCACTGCCCAATGACTCAATCTAAGAAGACAGCTTAAAAAAGCCACTTCCACAGCTCACAGGGCCTGCAGCTAGACTTGGGAGAGAGGTGGTGACAGTGGGGAGAAGAGGGGTGGGGAGCAGATGACCTCCTGCTCTGTCTCTCTCTCTCATCTGTTCATAGATATCGATACCATCCATTGTGTGTCTGTGTTTGCCTGTGTGTCTGTGTGTATATATGTGTGTGCATGTGTGTATATGTGTGTTTATATGTGTCTGTCTTTGTGTGCATGTGTGTTTGTGTGTCTCTGTGTGTGTGCATGTGTGTGTGTCTGTGTGTCTCTGTGTGTGTGCATGTGCGTGTGTGTGAGAGAGAGTGATGGGGGAGCCACTGGTTCCTCACAACTTAAGTCCCAGCTGTCATCTTAACTTTGTGGATGGTCAGCAGGCAGTTTAAAAACAAATGAAGGCACTGATGCTGGGCACGTTCTGTTCAGAACTGAGGGACTGGCTGGTGCTTTGGCCACAGCTGGGCCTGGCCACATTCCTAAAGAGGAGCCACAGCTGGCTGGACTGAATGAAACTGGCTGGGCCTGTCCCAGTTCCCTCCTGTCAACTGCTGTTGAGAGAACCTCACCCATCCCAGGGGAGTCCCAAGTTCAAGTCGAACTCTGGGCTCTTGAAGGGCTCTCCTGGACTAGCCACTGACACAGCCAGTATTGCTCTCCCCTGATACTCCTGGGCTCTGTGGCCGGCTTCATTCATTCATTCATTCATTCATTCACTCATTCAGTAAGTGCTTGTTGAGGGCCATCACTGACACAGTCATGAGGGAATCCTGGGGTTCCCCTCCCAGTGTCAGCACTGGGGCTCCGGGAAGATGGCTGCCTTCCATCTCCAATGCATTTTAATTTCTTCTTTGAACAAACCTGCAAAGTTACTGGTTGATTGAAAAAGGAATATTGGCACAAATGAATTAAATGACGCATCGGGGTCACCGAGCAGTTGGGGATGAAGCCAAGGTCCCTGTTATCAGGATGCTGCATGGACTCTTCCCTTCGGAGAAATATCACGAAGGCTCCCCGCCTCCAGCGCGCGCCAGTGGACCCCTCCTGTGAAGCAGAGGTTAGCCCTGCACTCAGGGTCCTCAGTTCCTACCTAAGCCAGCTCATCATTAGCAATTCGTATTGTGCATGCTGGCAATGCAGAGCCCAGGGGCGCTTTTTGTCGAGCCAGCGTCTTTTATCTGCAGTTGCACCCCAGCGAAGCTGGGACCGGAATGTACGACTGTTACAGGGTCCGGGCCTCCTCCCATCTAGTTTGCAATGCCTCTCACATGCAAAGGTTATGTTTGTTTCCTTTTAAAAATAGCAGACGAGCAGGTGACACACTGCCTTAATTATCCTTCTGTAGAACACATTGAAAACTAGCCTCCCTGTTCTACTGGCAGAGCGAGAGGAAAATGTATCCTAAACCGCAGTGGGTGAAGCCTCTTCAGATGTCGGTCAGAGCCTTACCCACACCCAGCCCCGCCCGACAGCCGTGAACACAGACAAACAACTGTCACCCATTGACCTCACGATTCCTTGGTATATGAACCAAAGTGGAAGCGGCGAGAAAAGGAAATACTGCAGATATTTTTAAGTAGAAGCAAAGGCAGGAAGAGGAAAGTTGCAAAATTGGTTATATTTCTTTTTGCTTAAGTGCATAATGTTTGGATGACCAAAAAGTCAGTGTAAATGTATAATAAGATTATTTTCAAGGAAATCTGTATATTAAGTTTTAAGGCCTATTTTACTTCATATATACATAAAGTACCATTTTTAGAAGTGCTATACTCCATGCATATTCCAAAATACTACACGTTTTTTTTGAGAAAGGAAGGGACCGTGAGGCTTTTTTCACATCTGATATATTACAGTATAATCCATATTCCTCCTATAACACTTAGTTCTGGAAAAGGATCTACTGGTGTCTGAGTTTAGGCAGGCACTAGCACTGACGTCAGTATTGTGTACAGAGAAAACAAACATACTCTACATTTACCGAATTTGATGCAACTCACATTTGGGAACATATTGAACAATCTAAAATTATTGTAAAGTGGTAAATTTTTCAGGCTTTAAAATCATTAACAGTGGCATAAAACAATTATACAATTTCCATGGACAAATCTCACCCCCCCAGATTTATGCCTTTAATCTTATATTCAGATCTGTGTAATTCATGTTTGCTCCTAAAACGTGTATTTCTTTATGTTCTATAATAATGAACAATCCAAATTTTTCAAAAAAAAACACCATTTCTGCATTATAAATGTTAGATCTTAATTTTAACAAGTAAAAAATGAGACCACTTTGTAAAATAATGTCAATTCAAGGAATTTAAATCAAGAATTAGGCACACTAGTATTCTCTCTAAAGGCCTTTTTGAGGGGCATTTAGCACCCTCTAGTGACAACAATTCAAGCCGTTCAAAGGGAACTTCCCTGCACGACTCATGTCTGGTTTCTAGCTGGCAAGTCAACAATGCAGTGTAGTTCTTTAGGCAGGAGGTGGTTGCTTCCTAAAATCCTTGAGGCAGGATTATTTTTGTAGCTGTAAATAAAGGCTGGAATAATCTCCACCAGGCAACCGCGCAGTGGGAAAACCATGATTTATCCCTATCGGCTATAATATTCTTTGGCTTATCATGGCCAGTCCACTCAGAAAGAACATTTCTAGTACTCCTTGAACACTGCAGCCTTTCCCAAAACATGTGCTGAGATCTGTGTGGGCATCAGATGACAACAACAAATTTACTGATATCATCATTTCAGTTCAGGTCGGTGCATTTAACGGGATTTAACACATTTTCATAAGAGTGAATTGGAAAAGAACTGGCCTGCCTTCACTTCAGCTGCACCTCTGTGTCCTCTGCGTTGCTTGCAGTGGGAGATAATACAGTGTGGAGAGGGTGAGGTGTGGAGAGGGGGCGAGGGATGAGGAGGGCTCAGGTGGAGAGGATACCATGTGGAGCGTACCATGTAGCAGTTACTGCGCTGAGACAGACTCCCAGTGTCCTGTGCTCCTGACTTCAGGCACGGGTATAGGGCTTCATTGCATCCGCAGGTAGCCTGGTGATACTCATGCAAATATAAATGAATTTGTGGCAAAGATTTTTTGCCTTCGCTTCATTTCTGATTCCATTTGTGATGGAAATAAATTAGTAAATAAATCATCAAATGAGGTGATGCTGAATTAAAGCCCACCTCAACCGAAAACTAAAAGCCAACTTTAGAAAGCAGCAGGAAAAATTATTAATGCAGGCTTCTACATCAATTTCTATCAATTGAATGCTATTATAGTGCCACTTATGATCTTTCTTTAAGAAGTAATCTGTATTTTCTTTAAAAATAATTCATAAAATAGTGACAGATTAAGACAAAAATAAGTGATGCTGTTTAGTATCTTATAGGTGAGATTGACACACTTCTTAAAAAATCATTTAAAACTCTGACTAGAATCAAAATCAAAATTAATTTCAACAACCTGGGATAAATTCTCAATTTGGCCAAGGATGGTGACAGGGGACAGTACCTGGGAAAGGATACTTTGGATCTGAGTCGGGGGTAGAGTGGGATGCCAGTCAGATGCTTTTGTGAATCTTAATTATATGCCCTGTGGGCATACGAAGCCTTATGGGCACCAATGGCAACGTGATGTCTGTAGCATCTATGCTCAGATATACCCAGTTATACGGACAAAGAAGTTGAAACTCATTTAATGGTTTCCAAATTATATGGAGAAGCCTAATAATTGGAACAATACATTTAAAAGTTATTTTAAGCTAAATAATGGTGACAAAATAATTACTCTCCTCTTAGGTTTCTTTCTTAAAACCACAGATAATACATTGACCTATTTGGAGTCCTTGATAATGGTTTTAATATTCCTGCATTTTTAAAGTCATATGGAGTTGAGTAAGAGCAAAATTGGCCTAAACTTGAGAACGTGTGGGATGCTTATGAAATTGTGTTTATTGAAATCATTGCTCCATGGGAGCTTATAGAACTGAACTGACGTGTGCTTCAGTATTAAGGAAATTGCAACTTGGTGTTGAGAAGTTGAGGATTTGGTATGTGATAACAGTTTCCTTGGTTTCTATTAGTTCAGATCAACCAAGAGACTGAAGAATACATTCACCACTTAGAGAAAGTGTTGAAACAATGGTTATTTAAATTGTAATTGGATTATTTCTTAATGTGCTGCTGGGGGATATGGCACTCCCCTACCCCCCCACACACACACCCTCATACACACACTCACACACTCATACACACATACTCACATAGTTGTATCCAATGGAGTGAAGCTGTAATCATGAAGTATGCTGTGAACAGAAAAACCGTCCTTAAACAGCGCTGACTGGGTGCCCTTGAGGGCTGAGAGTGTCTTCATGCCGCGTATGTTCTCAGGCAAATCCTCCGACTGCTGCAGATGGAAAAGTTCCATGGAGTGCTGGAGTTTTCCATTGTGCGGCAGCCCCAGATGCTTGATTCTTATCTACAATCTCAGGCATGTTCCTGGCAAAAACCCCTGGGACATCGTTCTTGCGGGGCTCTCATGAATAATCCAAACACTATGCATTTTAAATTCATGTGTCATCTTAAGGACAATATACAGCACTTTTGTCCTATTGTTTTGTCCTTAAAAACCTGCGTTTCATGGGTCGCTCCCAGGCTCTGAAGTTTTATGTGTGCAGAATTTGAGGAGACTGAGATAGGCTTCCCGAATGCCGAGACATGCGGTGACTGGATAGAGCCCTGTAATCCTGGCTTCCTGAGTGCCCACTGGAGTTCCTGGCAGGAAAAGGCCATTAATATCACCTGAATGGATTAATGCCGCATAGATGGCCTCCACGAAACTCTTGAGCGTTTCTGGGTTTTCTTAATAAAATGAAAAAAAAAAAGAGCTCTATGCTTGCTGTAGACATTTAAAAAAGAACAGGCATTTGGGCATGCTAAAAGGTTTGACACCTACAAGTATTGTGGGCTGCACTTTTTACAGAACATGCCTGTATTTTTCAGATATTTACAAAAATGAACAACATTGCATGTTACTTACATATTTTTATATTAGGATATAATTTATGTTTATTACAAATTTATGTTTTGAAAATATAAGTGAACCAAAGAAGAAGAGGGGAAAAAACAAAAAGCTTCTCTGCCATTGGTATTATAAGATATAGCTGTCAATATTTTTACTTTGCCTTTTTATTTATTTTTTATTTTTTGACTATTACAAAAGGTTATTGGCCGGGCGTGGTGGCTCACGCCTGTAATCCCAGCACTTTGGGAGGCTGAGGCGAGTGGATCACAAGGTCAAGAGATCGAGACCATCCTGGCCAACATGGTGAAAACCTGTCTCTACTAAAAATACAAAAAATTAGCCAGGGTGGTGGCGGGCACCTGTAGTCCCAGCTACTCAGGAGGCTGAGGCAGGAGAATGGCATGAGCCCAGGAGGCGGAGCTTGCAGTGAGCTGAGATCACGCCACTGCACTCCAGCCTGGGCGACAGAGTGAGACTCAAAAAAAAAAAAAAAAAAGGTTATTTAACAAAAAGTCTAATATGAAAACATACATGACCTAATTTTTACATATAGTGAAACAGGCCCTTTGGAGAGGGGACATGGGTTTTTCTGTTGAACAGCCATTATTTATACTCATTCCAAAGTTTCTAATATGATGATACTATTTCCTTGTATTACCACCGTTCCAATACTGTTCTGCTGCCAACTAGTTGACATCTCCACACATTCATCTATGACAAGATTCATAAAGGGATCGAGTCCCCATAATATTCCTTGGACATGTCTGCCACCATTGCATTTCATTTTTCAACTCGGGAAGGTTAGCTTCGCTCATGGTGTCTATTCCTCAGGTTCACAGATGCTTTGGAACAGAATGCACGGCCATCCCCAACTGCCTTTTTATTTTTAACAAAATGAGTCTATGGATATAATTCTCCTATATACTGTGATTTTTTAACTAACCAGGTAAAATATCAGAGCAGTTTTCCATATTGCTAAGTGTTCATCTACGACATCATTTTCCTGCAATGTTTTTGAGGAGGAAGGGCGTTCCATTGTAGGGATGTATAGGGCAGGGATAAAGACGTGAATGAGTCATGAGTGAATCTTCTGTTGTGTCCCCACAGATGTGGAGGTTCAGACGGATCTCCTCTCTTTGCTCTGCGCATGTATTACATTGAGAACCATGTGGCTGTCATTCAGAGTGTTCTTAGCTCCTAACCTTCCTCCCCATATTCCATACAGAGAAGTTAGTAAGGGAACAAGAATGAGAACTTGTTCGATCTTTAGAAAATGGGAAGAAATGATTTTAGGATAAATAAATACTAGTGTTTCTTTTATTGTGACAGTGAATTTATGGTATATTTATGTTATATTATTTTGTTTCTTTCTTTGGAGTAAAATGTGAGGAGACTAGTGGAAGGTTTTGGCAGATTCACAGGGGATGGGTTTGTGGCAGAGAAGCATGCAAGGGAAATGTGTGCTTTATTCATAGGTTCTGCTGTCCACAGCTACTGTATGGGCTGTGCTGGTCTAGTGTGGTGATTACTGCATCTCAAGGAGAGTGAAAAAGGACCCTGCCCTGATAGGCTCATGGCAGGACGGGCCTCAGGTAGGGGCCGTGTGCCAGATTGCCCCCTAACTTGGTCCGCGTGGTGGCTTGGAGGGCATATTTCCCTAGGGAGAGGAGGTATCAGGTGGGAAAGGCAGCCTGGTTCTTAGGCTGCTGGGTGGTGTAGGGATGAGGCCATTTAATAACATAGACTTGGGGTACAAGTGAGGAAAGCTAGAGTGATATCTATATCTTCAGATAATTTCCCCATAGGATAATATTTGGGAAACGGTTTCTGCACTGCTATATTCTAGTTAATAGATGTGCCTTGGCCGGGCGTGGTGGTTCACGTCTTTAATCCCAGCACTTTGGGAGGCTGAGGCGGGTGGATCATGAAGTCAGGAGATCGAGACCATCCTGGCTAATATGGTGAAACCCCGTCTCTACTAAAAATACAAAAAAAATTAGCCAGGTGTGGTGGCGGGCGCCTGCAGTCCCAGCTACTCGGGAGGCTGAGGCAGGAGAATGGCGTGAAGCTGGGAGGCGGAGCTTGCAGTGAGCCGAGATCGCGCCACTGCACTCCAGCCTGGGCGACAGCAAGATTCCGTCCCAAAAAAAAAAAAAAAAAAAAAAAAGATGTGCCTTGTCCTATCAAGAGCCAAAGATTTTTTTAAAACACTTTACATTAAATAGTCAGAGATTACCAGGCTTGGATGCTATGATGCCATTTGAAACATCAAGAATTATTCTCTTTGAAGACAACAGGAATCAATCAAACATTTTGTCATTAGAAATGAGGAGGAGTTTCCTTTGTAAAATTTTGGAACAGAATTTACCACTCAGTATCCCCAAATTAACTTTTTATTAGATCACTTTTTATGTTTGTATGCATTTCCAAAATTAGACGCAGTAAAACTTATGGATCGAATATTGATCAAATAATAGCATCTGTTTTTCTCTTTTTTAGTATCCAATAAATAAATTTGTCTCTTATAAAACAATATTTTTATTAGTTAGAAAATGATGGATATATGCATGCATGTATGTTATACATAAATAAATATGGGAGAGAGAGACAGAGATTGAGAGAGAGAGAGCATGTGTGAGAGAAAGCAGAGAAAATGATGTACATTGGCACCAGTAGACAATCAGAGTTAACCAGGCAAAGGGTATTAGGAGTTTGGTGTATTATCTTGTGGCTTTTCTGTAAGTTGGAAATTATTTCAAAATAGAGAGGTAAGAAATCCCACTCTTCACAGTTTGATTTGCATTAGGCAAGAACCAGGGAGTTAAGGCCAAATCATCACTGAAGCATTAGGTCCCAGTAGAAATGCTGATCTTTCCTGCTGCAGGGAACAACTGAGGGCTGGATTAGCAACCACGAGGCGTGGGTGAGGCGGGACCACACAGGATTTTCTTCCGTGGCTATTTCATTAGCAAAGCGTTCATCTTATTTAAAGCTGGTGTTTGGTAAAGGCATAATCAGGTGCCATGTGTTGTGGAGGCCACAGTTAACATTTTACATTGATGCTTCTTAGGAGAGAACAAAAAGCAAGGACACTCAGGGAAGCTGAGAGAGCTTTTCTCCTCCGCACTCCAGAATTCTAGTGGAAGCTGCCCAGATAAAACAGCTCAGGACTTTGAAATTTTCGGGGAAACAGAATTTTAATCAGCCTGCCATCTTATTCATTGTTCAGAGATGAAAAGAGCGGAAATCAACACCCCCTCATAATGTAGGTGCTGAGAACTTAGGTTCTGATTTCCACAGAATGATTTTCTTACAATATACTCTCTTTCTTTTCTTTTCCTTCTTTCTTTCCCTCCCTCCCTCCCTTTCTCCTTCCTTCCTCCCTCCTTCCTCCCATCCTCCTTCCTTTCTCTCTCTCTTCTGTCCTTCCTTTCTCCTTCTCCATTTTTTCTCGCCCTCTTCCCTCCCTCCTCCTCCTCCTCTCCTTCCTCTCCCTTTCCCCCCTTATCTTTCTCCTTCTCCTCCTTCTTTTGTCCTAACATGAGGTGATAAATCAGAGGTATATAATAAAAGCCAGAATGACCTGGGCTGGTGGACAGAACTCTGACACATGCCGGCCTAAAGTCTGAGTGAAATCCATTTACTGAACGTCCAGCTCTGCAACCAGGAATTGTCAGATGACTCAGGATTTAGTCTATTGTGTTCTTGGGGTCGCCTATTGAGACCACACCTCTTTATGGGTCCTGCGTTCCTGTAGCTAGATTCAAAGCAAAATGTTTCTTCCAAGCAATTTCCTGAAAATGAGTAATTAAAGTCCTGAAACCCTCTAAGGAATGTTCAGGCCTGCATTCGCTGTACTTCCTTCGAGGAGAAAACAGACCTGTGACCCTGAACTTATAGCTTGGATTTTAGACATGTAATGGGGCCCTCACATGGCATCTCTGGGTAGCCAAAAGTTCTATGAGGATCTGTTGTCTGCAACATGGATGTCTGTCAGAGTGAGACCAGCTCACTGATATTCCGGGACATTTGTAGTCACTTCAGTTATTTGGGTTTTAATAAATACTTGAAAACAAGACTTAGGAAGGTTTATTTTTCCTCTTTATTTTTTGTGTTTACTGTAAGCCTAGAGTCCTTGCGTTTTCAACAACTTTGTTGTAGAGCAAATAAAAAGTGCAGGTATTTGGAAGGAGAAAATGAAACTGTTCTGGAACACTTATATGAAATGTTGAATAAATATAGGTTGTTAAAAATCAGCCAGGCAATGGCTGTTACTGAACATGGCCATCTATTAACATGAAATAAACTCCACCTGCAAAGTTTCCTTTTAGGAGAAAGGAGCTCAAGTCCTCTGTCCTAGTAATTCTGCGAAGAATTGGGCTGCGAAGGGCTGACACCCAGGGCAGTGGGGTGCCCTCAACGCCTTGGCTCCAAGGTGCTTGCAGCCCGTGTGAAGCCATGCGGAGTCCCATCACATCTGCATCCTGCCTTGGTCTCAGTGCAGTGTGTCACACGGCGGCACACCGGTCACACCTGCTGTGGCAGTCCCCATCCCAATTGATGCCTTTTCTTTTTTTAATTAAAAAAAAAAAATCTCCTGGCTGCATATCATCAAGAAAAACAACATTGTTTTCAGGGTCTCTTATCTCTCCACTCCCAAATATCCTGTTTCTTTGGGCTGGACAGCCAGGACCAATAGAAACCTCTTCCTGCCATTGGCTGACTTCATTTCCCAGACTTAGCACAATCTCATCCGCTCTAAACAACCTCATCAAAACTACTTTCTGGTCAGAGAGAAGCAATAATTATTATTAACATTTATTAACGATCAATAAACTTGATCGCATTATGGCCAGCACTATTAAGGTAAGGAAAGGGTTCCTTTTAATTTGACAAAATCTTGTTCTTGTTACTCTTTTCTTTGGTTTCCTTTATCAAGGCAGATAAGTTAGGGTTGGGCAACACCCCCACTGCCACAATAGAGGACAACAAGATTTCCTTTGCACTGCCTAGTAAATTTCCTTTTTCCTACTCCAACCATCCGCAAGGCTTAAAAACTTCAAACTCAGAAAAAAATTGGGGTTTCTAAATTCACTGTTGAGTGCTGTGGATTACTTTTGGAAAGGCTTTTCGGAGCGCTTCTGAATTTTCAGATTCTCTAACTATCCCTAACGGTGCCTGGATGTGTGTCTGAGAAAAGGCAGCAGACTCGGAGAGGTTGAAGGGTCGGGTCAAAGCAAAAGATGCGTTTGTGAATGTCAGACATTTGGAGGCTCTTCAGTGGCTCCTTAGCATCAGGGATGCCAGGCAGTCCCAGTGGAAGCGAAGAGATACTCGGCAAGTGGCTGCTGGTAATGGGACGCAAATGTTGACTTGATTTGTGGGACATCCACGCTGAGAACTGAGTGCTCACGTAACTCAAATGGGGGTAATTTGGTTTGTTCCACTATATGTTTATCTTCAATAAAATACCTACTGTCTGTGCACTGTGAGTAAGATTTCTTCCAGCAATGGTTAGGTTTGCGGAGATTGGAAAGCAATGGCCGGTCGGTTCTCTGTGCTGTGGGGTGTTTGGTCTGATGCATTTCCTTGCCTAAGTTTTTAGTAGATAGCATGTAGAGATTAATGTGGAGGTAAATCTGCACAGGTACAATCCTAAATATGGCCTGATTCCTGGAAATGAAGCCAATTTAATGGTGACTACAAGTCAAGGGGCATGCAGTCTTGAATGGGGGTCCGTTCAGTTGTTTTAAAGGCCACCATGCCTTCGTGACATTTGTAGAAATGTGAAAAATCAGCAACAAAAGCAGATGCTGAGTGGAGGGAAAAGAAAATTGTGTTTGTTGCATGTCTTTAGTTTTGCTGCACGGAGGTGAGAAGCATTTGGTGGTGTTTTCATAAGGCTTTTAGTTTGTTGGAAAGTGCATAAGAAAATGGAAGTTTGCCCAGAATTGGGCCAAGCCATTTTCAAAAATACTCTTTGGTTTGGTATTTTCATAATTTGAAATGTTTGTATTAGAAGATTTGACTCATATGTACCATAGAAACTGTGTTTGAGAAGTTCAGCTTTTATTTCTCAAGGTGTGTTCAATAATATATTAAAAATCTGTGTACCAAGAACTTTCACCTTATACTTTTCTTTCTTTGGCTTCAAGGATTGGAATCTGCTGAAATATGGCTCCTATAGACAGGAATTATAAAATTGAGAGTTAATGTGCCCTACTTATAGCTACATGAATAGAAATTACTTGATTTTGTGACCCAAAATGTTATTTTTTTGTTCTTATTTTCATCCTTATTCATATGCATGTTAAATCAAATATTCTGTGTAAATCTTGAATAGCTTGGGTACGATCTTATGTGGTTTTTTTTCCCAAAAAACTCAGTGCATTAAAAAGGACATTGAAATAACAGACCATCCTTTAGAAGGTAGGTACATTTTGCAAAACATCCAAATGTGTTATACTGTTTAATTTGAAGTATACATTTATGAATACATGAAGCTATTTTGAAAGTTTGAATATTTTGTGATTTTCTGAACACTTTTTTGGAAATAATAGTTTACACTTGTCTAAGGTACTATGCTTGATTTAACATTTTATTACATTGCATTATGTGTTTATTGTATGTACCCAAGTGAACCCTTAGAATGACTACAGGTGAATTTTTTTTTAATCTTCTGTTAAAATAGGCCCTCTTTATAGGTGACTTCCTTTAAGACATGTTTCTGTTAGATTTCCTGGGTAAAGTAATGAGATGATTTTACAGCCTTGTTTATAGAGTGGAAAAAGGAGGTCCTGAGTCTGTTGACTACAGTTTCAATTACGTTAGCGCAAAGCCCAAGTTAGCATAGGGAAAATGATGGCTGTCCACTGGAATTAGGAAACAGCCCCCCATAGAGGCAATTTCCAGTCTCAATGCACTCTGTTTTTTTGTTGTTTCAGTAAATAAATCAATTAGTCGATTAGGTATCAGATGCTCTGAATTTTTTAAGTTGGTTTTCTGCATTTGAGTGGAGTTTTTATTTTTTTGCATTAACATTTGTAAGACCCTATGAGACACTATGAAAAGCTAAATATTCGTATCCAGTCTTTGTGATTCTTACCATCATTTTCCCTTGGTAACTTGAAATTGGGAACAAAATGTTTCAATTGGAAGAAGTAAAGGAATTTTGGGAACTTATGTGAGAGTGTTCATTTATCTCTAAGTGTCTGTGAATTTTAAGATCAGCTTAAGAGTTCTAGTAAAGACTTGGAAGCAACAAAGCTGATGGTTTGCAGACAATTCACTGATTGGTTTTGGTGCTTCCCTTGGGCATTGGTGACATCTGACAATATTGAGAGGTGCTGAACCTCACCGGCCCCACTGTCCCCACAAACATCTCAGTGTTTGCTACAGACTGCAGGGATCCTGCTGTTGCACTGAAAACTCGATTGTGCTTCAGTTAGGAGTTTTAGCCTAATTTCCCAAAGACTTTCCTGATTCCTTTTTTTTTAATGCCATCTGCAATTTGGGAAGTCTAGTGAAGCCTACAGTCCTTTCTCAGAATAATACTTTCTGGTGCCTAAAAAGAAATACATAGAATTACAACAGAAATACAGTCCTCTCCCCGGACCTTTTAAGGAGAACATGAACCCCAGGTTGCAAGTTCTGATCCTAGAAAGATACTTAATGTGTAAAAAGGGAATGTGGGGGATTTTCCATCATCACAGAGATCTGACATTGAAGGATGTGGAGAGAGCCAGCAGCCGGCAGCAGCATCAGGGGAAAGCATCTTAAAAATCAGACAGGACATGGAAAGTTACTAACAAGGCTTGGTGGAGACCTGAGGGCACCCTAGTGCTATTTCCATGACTTGCCTAAAGAAGTTACTTTTTTTTGAATTAACAGAGGTTGGAAGGTTTGATGGTAATTGAAACACGACCTGATAGGACTCAATTTTATTAATTTAAAGACATAAAGCTTGCATTATATACGCCACGTCTGCACATTTGCACTTCTTGAACGTTTGCTATCACATGTGAGGGAAACTTAATTAAGACTAAGAGTTATATGAAGAAAGTTAACTCCTCACAGAATTTTGATGGATGTGATTAATGAGTTTAATAGCTACAGATTTATGATTTTTCATCAACCTGTTGGCTAAGTGAAATACGAATTGCGTCAGTCCTTGTTACTTTAGGGGGATTCCGGGAGAATGGAAGGAAGGCCAGGGGCAAAATGCCGCTGCCCTGCTGTGCATAAGTCATTTCAGAGCATGCTCTGAGTGTTTGTCCTTGCCGAAAAGTGGCTTTACAGGCAACTACTTTAAAACAACTTGCTGCTTCCGTTCTTGGTCAGCTCTGTGATCCAGGCTGCCCTCTGTGGACACAGCACAGTTCTCCCTGGCCCTCTGCCTGTGTGTGCATGCACCCATGCATGCCAGGCACCCTGACTCAGTGACCCTGGAAAGCAGGATTGAGAATGGCTCCATCTGTGGGCTTTTCTTCCCCCATGAAATACAGTGCAGGACTGCAATGCTCTCAGACAATGTGCTGAGCCTGAACCATTTCTTAATTATCTACGTTTATAAGTGATTATCTCATAAAGTTTTTGTTTTGCAAAACAGATCTTTATTTAAACACAAACACAGGTTAACAACTCTTGAAAAAGCATACATAAAAATAAGTAAATGAAACAACCATTTCTGTTGTCTTCAGGAAAATATGACTGATACATTTAGAACTTTAGAATAAGATTCCCTCTGTGGGAGTGGAGACCCAAAGCCATTATAGGCATCCCAACAATTTGGCGGATTTATTGGTTTAACAGCTGATACATAAGAGAATCACAGAGTAAGGGCCATGGGGAAGCCAGACGGATGAGAGTTTCTCTGAAATGAGAAACCTCAGAGAAGAGACAGGGACAGTCTCCAGGCTGTTCCAGCGTTTGGTAGCACACTGTGCTCTGGCGGGGTCTTTTCTTTGGAGCTACCTCAAGGAGAGCCTTCTTGTCCCCTCCTTTGACCCCACAGGATAGAGGACAACTGCTCCCTGGCCTGGGGATTCTGTCAGACCACCCCTGATAGCGCTTCTCTCACCTTACGTGGCCGCAGACACACTTGCATTTGCTTCCTTCCTGTTGTGACCCTGGGCAAGGTAGCTAGCCTGTCTGATCTCAGTTTCGTCACCTGTAAAATGGGATCATAATGGCTACCCTGTCTCGCACCCATCCTCAATAAATGGCAGATGCCATCAGACGCCCCCCCGCGGATGTAACCTTTTCTACCGTATTGTCTTTCAGGCTCTGCACTCACTCGTCTCAACATTTCCCACGGCCCAGCTTCAGCTGTGAAGCCCACAGCCATAGACTGCTCTGATGTGCGGCCTCCCACACCCAGGCAGGGTACATCTGGGTCTGGGCAGCCACAGGACAGGGAAGGAAGGAGGAGGGAGCTTGCAGGGGTGCTTGTTAAAGGTGTAGCAGGGCAGGTACCACACACAGGGGCAGGTGGAGCGTCCAGGGGTCGCCCGAGGTGGTGCTGGTCAGAGAGGGTTGGCTTCGTCCTGTTCTGAGCCGAGGCTGCTGGAGGAGGGCAGAGGCCTATGACTGCATCGTGCTCCTGGTTAGGGCAGGAACAGCACCCTGGAATACCCCACTCTCCTCTTTACTCCTGAATTACAAAAAATACATCTTGTTCTTTAGCATAAATTATAAACATAAAAAATTCTTATGGTAGAGAAAACGTTTAAAAGTCATCACAAAGTCAATATAAATTGTTCAGATCCTAACCAACCACAGCAAATTCCTAACAATTGGGATATGTCTCTCCACCGTGTGTATCTGTTTGGCCTTGTATCTACCTACCTGTCCTGCTCTTCTCAGTTAGCATTGTTTTACAAGCATTTTCCCATGTTACTAACATTTTTTGATAAGCAAAATTTTTGTTTCATTATATTCTATCTAAAATATGTATTACCATTTTATAACCAATATCCTAGTGTATAAAGTGATGCTGCTTGCGATGTTTCACTCATTATATTGCAGTACACCATCTATTTAATTTTTTGAATACTTTTTATTAGTATTGGTGCCTAGAAAGGAATTATTGAGCCAATGGGTATATATATTTTTTAAGTCTTTGCCAAATTTAAATATTTGCCAATTTAAAAAATAATTACCAGATTATTCTCTGGAAGGATTATACCAGTTCTCCCTTTTTCTAGCCACATATGAGACCAGTTCCACACTACACCCATAACAACTCTGAATATTTTACTCTTTGAATCTTTGCCATTCTGACAGATAAGAACAGAATCTCATTTTTATTTGTACTTCTTTAATTTTAGTATTTCATTACATTTTTTTGTTTGTTTGCTGTGAACCCATTTTGGCTAGTGGTCCACTGTGACCTCTGGATTTTTTTTCTTATTTATACTTTTATTCTCTGTTTGGTCTAGCTTACTTTCCACATATTTCCCCTACTGAGCTTGGCCAAGACATGTTTTATAAAATTTCACATCGATTCCCATCTGTCCACTCTCCCACTCTTCATTTTCTTTCCTGTCAGCACATTCTCCCAGCTTTGCTTGTGTTTGTTGTTGAGTGTGAATAATTTATGTATACCCACTGATATCGCAGAAGCTGTTTTTAGTGATATCTTATCCATTTCTTCTGTGTCCTCAACAGTGACTGGCAAAGAGTAGAGGTTCAATAAGCACTTGTTGAAAACATAAACTTAAATTTTAATTATTTGAAATCATAAAGAGGAAGTTAAGATATCAGAGTAATGTAATTATCATTGTAGACTTCAAATAGAATTCTTATGTTTTTAGAGACATTTCTCCTAGTAAAATAACGTTAATTAAAATTGACTTAAATTGATGTTTAAGAAAGTATAAAAAATGTAGCTGTAGTATCTTGAATTCATAATCCAAACTAACATCATCCTAATAACTGCTTGTTATGTGCCAAGTCCTGTGCTAAACTCTCATAATGTCTCATGTGATCCTCACAGCAGCCTGGGTACTGCTGCTTTCTTACAGATAAGGACAAAGGATTAGAGAGGCGAAGTATCTTATACAAGTCACACAAATCTGTCTCCCTTCTCTTTATCATCTGATCTCTTTTTTCCTGCTATTCACCCTAGCTGTACATAGTGAATTACTGTGCAGAGAAACATGATGTATTAAGTGTTATGGAGACACATGAAATAATTGGATAATGAAAATTATTATCGCTGGTTACTTTATGTTATCTACTCTTCTGGGAAAAATCCCATAGGCAGCAATTCTTATACTCTAGGTGGCTAATCAAAACAAAGTTCTAGAAAATTCAAGAGGTAAAACTCTAGCACTGAATTCTATATTTGCTCAGTGACAAGAATTCTTTCCATATTTGGCGAGATCCAAGGGGCAGTGCTTCCAGATTCCAGATCAGCTGCTGATTTAAATTTCCTCATCCCAAGTATCAACTTCCTTGCACTCGTCTTGGGCGTCAATAATGAACACGCAGGTCAGAGTTTTCCATAAGGCCTTAACAAGTCTTTCAGCAGGGTGTTCATGGAATTAAACTCTGGGAAGAACGGTAATCTGCTGTTGTACACAGATAAGTACAGAGACATTTTGAAAAGAAATGCTAAGGCCAAGCAAAATGATTTATTTTTAAAGTGCCACATCAGAATCCAATCATAACATTAACCTCAGGGCTGTTACTTTAAACACGTTTGGTAAAAACAATGCTTGTCGAATTTTTGAAAATATAATAACTTTATGCAAAGATCCCGCACTCTTGCATTTAACACATTCCACTTTTTAAATCCTTCTGCCTTGATGATTTAAAATCTCCCTTGCTGGTTTTTTTGTTTTTTAAATTTACCAAGTATTGATACAGAATCAGCACTGAAGACAGGACCCTTCTGCTACCTCCACATTCACATTCCCCCCAAGGCCATTCATTCAGATCGTCAGCCAGCAGTGAGTTTCTCATCTCCATGCTCTTTGGGTTTCATCGGGTTTTATTGGGTCTTTTTTTTTTTTTTTTTAATTTTGACAGTGTGCACATGATGCTCACCTTTGAGGAAGAAGAAACTGTTGAAACAACACTTTAGAATCTGTCAACACAATTAGTTTGTGTCTCAATTTGAGGTAGATGTCCCAAGACATTGCTCCAAGTTAAAAAGAAAAAAAAAGTATGTGGTTTTGCATTGCGTAGTCCTCTTTGGATCCATACGATATGTGTGCCTTCCCTGACCTTCCAGAGAGCATCAAAAACATGAAGGTTGAATCCAGAGAGCACAGCCCACTTTTATCTTTGGCCCAGGGAGGCACTTGGTACTCTGTATTTCTTCGTGGCATCCTTAAAATAGCCTCTGTGGAAAAGGGATTGGCCTTATCTTCCGTGCAACGGATGGGAGGCATAGATATAGCTGCTGGCAAGGGGAAGTGGAAAGAGGCCCATCTGGGAGAGGGTGGCCCGGAGCTTTAGTTTGATGCTGCAGGACTTCCCCAGGTGAACGCACCTCTCCTGGCCCTAGCTCCCTTATAGGAAAATGGAGGTGGTCAGCTCCGCCTTCTCCACAGTGACCATCTGCTGACTGTGCTGCTGCCAGGACGCAGGGGGAGCTAACAGCAGTGCCCCTATCGGATCTTCAAACCGGGGAGGGGTCTCGTGCAGTGGGCAGGGGAAATGGGCTCCCACCTGGCTTTTGGGGTTCACTCCCTGGCTGTTCTACTTCCTGGCCATTTCACCTTTGGCAAGCCACAGCCTCACAGGAGATAGGCTTTTCCATCGGTGAAATGGGTAGAGTGATAGTTCCTACTTCACAGGGTTATAGTGAGATTCACCAAGTCGCAAGAGCCCAGAACTGTATATGGCACACATAAGCTCCTCAATCAAAGTTAGTTAATTTTACTATTCATTCAAGCCAAATACATTTTTCTTCTAAGACTAAAATCAGGGAATCTATGAAAAGCATTTCCCCCTACCTTTTTTTTTTCAATTTCTACAACAGTTTGTGAATTGAATTTTGTTTTCAATTAGCCAATTTGTCCATTTTCCTGTGATGAACATGTTTTTATCTCTTCATTATAAAGTAAGAACTCTGACAGACACAGTGAGCTCCCAATTATTCACGAGCACCTGATCTGCATTGGAGATTGCTTAAAACAGGGCTGGGAAATGCTTGCTGGTGAGTTCACCGGACACTGCACAGCAGGTCCTGGAAGGAGACATTCAGGGCGTTGTTAACTTCTGTGTCTCCCTATTCTTCTTATTCTCCTTCCATACTCTTTCTCTCTCATTGCAATCGCTATCCACCTGGAAGGCGGCTTGAAAAACACAAAAGACAACAAGGATGATGAGGGGGACCCCTCCTGAGCCTCTTAAATGCTGAGGGATCCTTCCTGGACCTGTTTTTATTCATTCCAAGCTGCCTCTCCTAGACAATCACTTCTCTTACCCCAGGAAATCTGGGACGGTGCAGGTTTGCAAGCTTGATCTGGAATAAAGAAACAAAGGAAAAGACGGACCAGGAGGCTTGGCCTACGCCAGGCAAAAGTCAGCAAAAGCAGCCACTACACATCTCCTTTTGAGTTCTAACTTTTCACTTTGTCTTGTGTGAACTCCTAAACTGGAAGCATATTTATAGTCACGTAAAAATAAGAATATTGTCCAAGGCCAAATGTAAGTGACTTTTATGAGTTATTGGACTTTGTGAATTACTCATTCTACCAACCTGAATTAACATAGATAGTTTTGTTGACTTTACCTTCTTTGTAAGCCAAACAGTATGAACTCGGTTAAGCCGGTCTTAGGAGAAAAGACATAAAATGTGTGTTGCTAGGATAGCATTCTAGTGAAGGAAGCCACTTCTTTGTTTCTTGTGCATCCCTGTGAGGGTACCTCTGTCCATCCCAAGAGCTGTTTTCATGGACTCACTGTTGAAAGCCCAAGCCTATTGTAACCAATTTTGATAAGCTGGTTACAAAATAAGCACATGTATACATTTTTTAAAGCCTTGTTCTTCTGGAGATGGAAAACATCTTTTTTTAGATCACATGTTTACTGCTTTGGTAAACAGTAAAATGCTGCTACAGCAATTACCTTGAGGATAAAGGGTTTGTAGACAGATACTTCCTGCGTTCACTTCCTACACAGATAGCCAGCCCAACCAGAGACGCACTGATGCAGGAAGGGCTCCCAGTGGAAACTTCCTCTCTCCGAATGCGTGGTCCATTATTCGTTATCTCCTCTCCAAGGGGAATAAGCTTGTTGCTCCAGATTTTCTAGGAGAATTCTGTCTTGAAACAGGTAAAAATATAAAGTTTCTAAAGTAATGATTACAGTACCTCGTTCTCATCCTCGGTGTCATCTACTCGGTGATTTTTAAGGGGACGTGATTAGACTAGAATAGACTTGTCTATGAGTAACATGCCCCGTAGGCACCTCTGTCTCCTTTGAATCATGGAAAATGATGCATAATTCGAATGTTTTTATATTTGGTAGAAAAATAAGTCTCTTTGAGATTCAATGGAAGGCCTTTTCTATGGTTAGTTGAAAGGTCATTTTAGATTTTGCTTTCTTTAGTCAAGCAGAGATTACCAGATTTGGGTACAAAAAATATCAGCTCACAGATTGTTCTCTGTGCTGATTTTACAGCAGTTACTAAATTCCAACGAATGCATTGTTTAGGCCCTTTGAACCGAAGCAAATAAAACCACAGTGCACACACACTAAACAATAGGGCATCATCAATTAGCCATCTACAGGATGTGTCCTTGCAGACTGGCCCCTTTGTAGGAGAAAAAAAAATAGATCAAGTCAACAAACAATAACACTGAACAATAAACTAAACAAAATAAATAGCACCTGGGAGCCCCTTAAGCACTGGCGAAGCACCAAAGGGTGATGTTTACACACTGTACACACGGAAACCCACAGCTCCACCCAGATCTCCTGCAGGTCCCTAAAATACTCAAAGAACTCAGCAGCCAATCATTGCTGGGTCACCTCATGTTGAAGGGTACCCCCTTTGGCGATCAGAAAATGCTGAGCCTCTTAAATGCTGTTTTCATTCACTCCAAGCTAGCTCTCATAGACAATCACTTCTCTCACCCCAGGAAGTCTGGGACAGTGCATTGCGAAGGGAAGAAGGCAGTATCTAACAGAGCCTTCTGCCTGGCCTATTCCATAAGTGCCGATGACTGCCAGGTGGGGGGCAGAGATTGCATTTGACCCCGAGAGACTGCCAGACATGGTGAGATGCTGTCATGTCTCACGTAGATGTTATTGCACGAATATATTCTAGTGATTTTATCCACATATTCAATATATGTATTTTGTATTTAACATGAAATTGAATTGAAGTGAAATTGCCCAAAGAGATATTTTCCTTTAGGGACTCATTTCTTCACATACTTTTGCTTATCTTGTTGGAAGACACACTATGTCAATCTCAGTATCCTGTTTGAATGAAGACTGCTTTCCTCCTATGTATCTGTTGCCCCTAGACAGTCATTGTGCAGCTTGTTACCTTTCTGTGAAACTCCATGAGACAGCTCCAGCATTCATCCTTACAGGTGCTACCTCCTGACACTTCTGCTTCTTTGCAAAATGACTTCCCTGATCTCCTGAGTCTGTATTGTTTCCAGTGCTGCCTGAACCACATTTGGGTGATGCTACAGGACCAGACAGCAGACAGATTTGTCATGGATGCCTGATGGGATAGGACCCTGTTGGCATCCTCTCTGAAAATCTCCCTTGCCTGGCTAGGGATTGTTTTATTTTATTTTCTTTAGCCTGTAGCAAATACAGGTTCAGTATCTCCATTGAATAATATATTGTAGAAAGAAAGGCAGTAATAAAAACTTCGTTCTTTTTCCCCATTTGAAAAACAATTATTATAGGAGTTTAGAAAATAAAAATTTTAAAAACAAAATTAAAATAATTGATGTTACACCATCAAGGGTCTTTGAATACTCGATTCTTTTTTGATTTTTTTTGTCTTTACTCCTGTACCAATGTATCCTTTTTAAAGAATAATAAAATTTGAGAAATTAAACTCATTGTTATTAGTACCTTTCTATCCACTTCTTTTTTTTTTCCAGGATAGTGAAAAAAAAAAAAAAAAGAGGAGTGAGGGCTGAACTTGTTACGATTTAGAAATTAAGGCCCATTTTCCTTCTTAAGAACCCAGTTTCTCTATATGAAGCAGATCCAGACCGCAGGTCCCTGTCCCACCACGCCTTTCACTTCCCTGTGCCTCGTTTCCTCATCTGTAGAAGAGAGTCAGTCATGATAATAACTCCTACTTCTTGGTAGTGTTGCAAGGATTAAGCAGCTTAATACTTGTATGTGCTTTGAACAGTAACGTGCTGTAGTGTACAAAAGATGTAAATTGCAGACCAGGCATGCTGGCAGCTGCCTGTAGTTTCAGCTTCTCGGGAAGCCAAAGCAAAGGATCTCTTGAGCCTCAGTATCTGAGGTCAGCCTGGGCAACCTGGCAAAATACCTCATCTCATAATAATAACAACAATAATAATAATGTTAGCTGTTATGGGCTGTTATTGGTTACTTATCCTAGTCACAGTCTTCTTATTTAATTTACTCTCATATCTCAATTGTTTTTTTGAAGTAATCAATTATCTTCCTTGATTGTGTTTGTTTCCAGTATTTGTCTTTGGAAAGGAATCCTGCATTTATACCTGGTTATTTATAGCTTCTTCTAAAGGGGTGAAAGTATTTCCCTACACAGTCATGCATCACCATGCCCGGTCAGTTCTGAGAAATGAGTTGTTAGATGATTTCATCGTGCAAACATCACAAAGAGCACTTACACAAATGTACATGGCATAGCCGGCTGCACACGTAGGCTACAGGCTATAAGTGTAGCCTGTGCTCCTAGGCTACAAACCTGTGCAGCATGTGACCAGGCTGAATACTGTAGGCAATTGTGACACTTAACACAATGGTTTTTATGTATCAAAATGTGGGAAAGGTATAGTAATAATGCAGTAGAGGCCAGGTGCGGTGGCTCACACCTGTAATCCCAGCACTTTGGGAGGCTGAGGCGGGCAGATCACGAGGTCAGGAGATGGAGACCATCCTGGCTAACACAGTGAAATCCCGTCTCTACTAAAAATATAAAAAATTAGCCAGGCATGGTGGCACGCACCTGTAGTCCCAGCTACTCAGGAGGCTGAGGCAGGAGAATTGCTTGAACCTGGGAGGCAAAGGTTGCTGTGAGCTGAGATCATGCCTCTGCACTCCAGCCTGGGCTACAGAGCGAGACCCCATCTCAAAATAATAATAATTATTATTATTAAGAAGGGAAAAAAATGATACACCTGTACACCTGTATAAGGCACTTACCATGAATGGAGCTTGCAGGATGGAAAGTGGCTGTGGATCTGGGTGAATCAGTGAGTGGTTAGTGAATGTGAAAGCCTAGGACATCACTATCTACTACTGTAGACTTATAAACACTGTATATTGGCCAGGCGCGGTGGCTCATGCCTGTAATCCCAGCACTTTGGGAGGCCGAGGTGGGCGGATCACGAGGTCAGGAGATCGAGACCATCCTGGCCAACATAGTGAAACCCCATCTCTACTAAAAATACAAAAATTAGCCGGGCATGGTGGCGCATGCCTGTAATCCCAGCTACTTGGGAGGCGGAGGGAGGAGAATCCCTTGAACCAGGGAGTTGGAGGTTGCAGTGAGCTGAGATTGCGCCACAGCACTCTAGTCTGGTGACACAGCGAGACTCCATCTCAAAAAAAAAAAAAAAAAGACTGTATATTTACACTAAATTTATTAAAACATTTCTTCAATAGTAAATTCATATTAGATTACTATAACTTTTTTTACTTATTAATTTTTTAAACTTTTTGACTCTTTTGTACTCACTTAGCTTGAAACACAAATATGTGGTTCAGTTGTACAGAAATATTTTCATTCTTTATATCCTTACTCAATAAGCTTTGTTCTATTTTTTTTTTAACTTTCTAAACTTTTTATTAAAAACTAAGACACAAACACATACATTAGCGTAGGTCTACACAGGGTCAGGATCATCAATATCACTGTTTTTCATCTCTACATCTTGTCCCTGTGCCACTGGAAGGTCTGCAGGGACAATAATCTGTGTGGAGCTGTCATCTCCTACGATAACAGTGCCTTATTTTGGAATCCTTCTTGAAGGACCTGCCTGAGGCTGTTTTACAATTAACTTTTTTTTTTTTTGGAAATAGAAAAAGTACACTCTAAAATAATGATGAAAAGTATGGTATAGTAAATATGTAAACCAATAACATAGTCAACTATTATCATTATCAACTATTATGTACTGTACAGAATTGTATGTGCTATACTTTATACAACTGGCAACACAGTAGGTTTGTACACCAGCACCACCAAAAACATGTGAGAAATGCATTGTGCTACAGTGTTACTACAGCTGTATGTCACTAGGCCATAGAGATTTTTCAGCTCCATTATAATCTTATGGTACCCTCGTCCTATCTGCAGTCTGTCATTGTCCAAAACATCATTATGCAACTCCTGAATGTATGCTAATTGCTTTGTTCTCATGCTATTCCTTTGAGGACAGTAGAGAAAACATAAGAGAGTTACAACTGTTATTCCATTTGGTGGCTCAACTGACATGTTAACCAAACTTTCAACAGCTGAACTCAACTGCATTTTTGTGAGCCCAGAAAATCAGTAGTTTTGATAATTTAAAGTTGGAGAAATGAAGGACGTTCATTGTTTCCTCCCATTCTTATGCTTTGGGTGATGCTGTTAAATAAATGAATGTGTTTGTGCAATGGGGAGAGACCACTGTTCTCTGGAGTGGATCTAGAGGTTAAAAAGTCAAGCTATTTTGAACCAACTACTTAGAGTGGCACATTCTTTAGGGGAGGTGAGCAGGGATCTATTGAATTATCATATTGCTGGTTAATCATGATTAAGAATCTATAGAACCCCGACCGGGCGCGGTGGCTCACACATGTAATTGCAGCACTTTGGGAGGTTGAGGCGGGTGGATTGTCTGAGCTCAGGAGTTCACGACCAGCCTGGGCAACACAGTGAAACCCCATCTCTACTAAAATACAAAAAATTAGCCAGGCGTCAAGACCAGTAACTCAAAACGTGTGTTGTTAAAGTTCTATGCCTTAAGTTCTGTGGCTGTTGTCATGTAACCTTTCAGTCATGCTGATGGTGCCTATTAAAAAGCAGGCTATCAGTAAATGTCCATTTCATAAATGAATAAATAACTTCCTGCATGACAAATGCATGAGTGAGTGCATGAATCAGTGATGTGGCTGGCACCCTATATTAAAATCACAAAGAATTGCTGTTTTTTAAAAATTTTTTATTTTTTTGAGACAGAGTCTCACTCTGTCGCCCAGGCTGGAATGCTGTGGTGCAATCTTGGCTCACTGCAACCTCCACCCTCTCCCGGGGTTCAAGAGATTCCCCTGCCTCAGCCTCCCGAGTAGCTGGGACTACAGACGTGTGCCACCATGCCCGGCTATTTTTTGTTTGTTTGTTTGTTTGTATTTTTAGTAGAGACGGGGTTTCACCGTGTTAGCCAGGATGGTCTCAATCTCCTGACCTCGTGATCCACCTGCCTCAGCCTCCCAAAGTGCTGGGATTATAGGCGTGAGCCACCATGCCTGGCCGAGAATTGCTTTTTATATCATGAAAGATGGAGTCCATTTTCCCCAGATGCATATACAATTGTTATATACCACTTATATTAACAAATCCATACTTTTCCAAAAGAGTGGTTTGAACTATGACTTTTTGATTTATTTTTTAAAAGTTTTATTTTATATATTTAAGGTGTACAACATGATGTTTTGATATACATGAAGATGGTGATAAGGTTCTGATAGTGAAGGCAAATTAACATATCCATCATCTTACATGGTTACACATTCTTTTTTTGTGGGGCAAGAGCACCTAAAATCTACTCTTAAAGCAAAAATCCCAAGTACAGCACAGCACGGTATTATTAAGCATATCCCTTATGGTGTACGTTAGATCTCTAGACTTGTTCACCCTGCATATTTGCTACTTTATATTCTTTGACCTACATCTCCCCATTTCCCCATTGAGTCTTTGTTTGTTTGTTTGTTATAGATTTTACATATAAGTGAGATCATGCAGTATTTGTCTTTCTGTGTGTGGCTTATTTCACTTAGCATAACGTCCTCCAGATTCATCCATAATGTGGCAATTGGCAGAATCTCTTTTTGAAAGCTAAATGGGCCGGGCATGGTGGCTACGCTTGTAATCCCAACACTTTGTGAGGCCACGGTAGGTGGATCACTTGAGGCCAGGAGTTCGAGACCAGCCTGGCCAACATGGTGAAAGCCCGTCTCTACTAAAAATTTAATAATTAGTGGGGTGTGGTCGTGGGTGCCTGTAATCCTAGCTATGTGGGAGGCTAAGACAGGAGAATCACTTGAACCTGGGAGGCAGAGGTTGCAGTCAGTCGAGATCATGCCACTGCACTCCAGCCTGGGCAACAGACTGAGATTCCATCTCAAAAAAAAAAAAGGCTAAATGATATTCCGTTGTATATATCCACCACAATTTATTTTATGTATTCATCCATTGATGGACACTTTGGTTCCTTTCATATCTTGGCTATTGTGAGTAATGCTGCAATGAATATGGCACTGCGGGTATCTTTACGAGATAGTGATTACATTTCTTTGGGAAAGTACCCAGAAAAGGGATTGCTGGGTCATATGGTAGGTCTATTTTTAATTTCTTTAGGAACCTCCATACTTTTTTCCACAGTGTCTGCAACATTCCATGTTCCCACCAACAGTCTGCAAGGATTCCCTTTTCTCACATTCTCGCCAACACTTACTATTTCTTGTCTTTTTGACCATAGCCATCTGAACAGGCGTGAGGTGATACCTCATTGTGTCTTTGATTTGCATTTTCCTGATGATTAGTGATATTGGGCACCTTGTCGTATACCCATTGTTCATTATTATGTCTTTTTGGGAAAATGTCTATCCACGTCCTTTCCCTATGTTTGGGAAGGTCAGATGACCGGGGGCTGCCCAGAATCTAATGAGTGCTGCCGAGTACATGATGGTCCCTTCCAGGCCATGGATGGGAATGTTTCACTTGTAAATTAAAAGCAGGAATACAGTTTCCAGGCAACCCATAGCCTGCATTTTGCTACATGACACTTGCCTTGATGAGCAAAACCAAACACCACTTTCATTTTTATTGAGCAGCAACACCTACCAGCATTTATCCAGGATTTGCATTGGGTCATTGAAATATTCAACTTTGACAATCTATTATATAATAAGTCTTTCTGGACATGAACTAGTGACAAGTTGTATTAATGTGCTATGATAGGGACTATTCATTTTTCTTCTTTTGTTACTACAGTCACCTCTTTGAAATGTCAGTGAAACTGTAGCAATCTTTTAAATATGTCTGCTGGTGTCTAGTATATTGATTCACACTGAGGGTTTCTGTATTCATTGGAATCAGGCAAATTACAACACAGTACTTATTATATAAATAACATCTCTAATGGATATGAGATAGCATAACATTTTCAATAATAGCTACGTTTGTTTTTGTATTCAGTTTCAAGATGATCTGCTTTATAATAAAGATTAATTTTAGCAAGTAACTACCAGCTTATCTAAGCCAAATAGTAAAACTGAAAACCCTTCTGTAAATTTAAGATTATCCAGCATATTATTTAACTTAGTGAGCCTTACTGGTTAAAACATTATATATAGGCCAATGAAAATGTAATCTTTCATAAAATCTGAAGTATTCTATTATCTTGATAAGATTTTTAGTGGACTGTTTCTTTAATCATTTAAGAATTCATATCACCATTGTTTCCACAGCGTCCGCATGTAAAGTGCTACTCTGTTTCCTGAATGAATGAATGCATGAATAAATGATGCATATTGAAATCTTTCCCTGAGTAAAGCATGCATTTGGCAATGTATGTGATTAAAAGAAATCTGACTTGGTTCCTCTCCTAGAAGAACTATAATCTAGTTTTTAAGGAGTCAAATAAAAGGAAATGACCTTTATTTGAGAATTAAAATGTTGGAAAAAACTTGATTGGTCATTTAGGAGTTCATTGTTTCTCAACCTAATTATATTTTGGCTCAGTATACTCTTAACTGTTTTTAGGATAATTAAAAGGAACTCCTAAGAGAGCTAGGATGCTGTTGGAGGAGTAAGTATGCATGAAACAATCATAATTTAACTAATTTGCCCACAAATGTTAGCAGGAAAATATACCAAAAATTAGATTTTGTTTTCCATTCGTTATTTTTCTTAATTTCTAACATAATTTTTAAACAAAACTGAGAGATGTTTGTCAAAACACCTCCCAAGTGATGATTTCCATTAGAATATGAACTAGACACTTTTCCTCCAGTGGGATAAGAGCCAGATTTTCCTAATCACAAAAATTAGGGCATGGTCAGGCAAAGGAGTTTACATGAAAAGTTTTGCAAAATTAGTATTACTTTGAAAATTTCAGGCTATTTGGCCACTGCAACCAGGGAGTCACTTAATTCTTGGCATAAACTCCAGCACTTTTGGAAATTGACCTAACTCTATAAGGCAAAAAAAAAAAAAAAAAAAAAAAGGCCATATAGTGCCCTAAAGTGGCAAAATTTTTGTTAAAAACAGCATCCACAAGTACTGTTACCAGTTTCTCAGGATAGCTGTGACAAATTATTACAACCTAGTGGCTTAAAGCAAGAGAAATTTATTCTGTTATAGCTTGGGAGTCCAGAAATCCAAAATCGAGGTGTTGGCTGGGTTGGTCCCTTCTGGAGGCTGTGAGGAAGGATGCATCTGGTGCCTCCTCCAGCTCCGGGGGTTGCCTGCAAGCCCTGTGTTCCTTGGCTTGGACAGTAGTCCTCTCTTATCCGCGATTCCACTTTCCATGGTTTCTGGCAGTTTCATCTGCTGTCTGAAGATATTAGATGGCCATTTCTAGAAATAAATGAATCATACGTCTTAAATTGTTCACCATGCTAAGTAGCATGATGAAGTCTTGTACCATCCTGCCCTGCTCCACCCAGGACATGAATTCCCCTTTTGTCCACCGTATCCATGCTACAGATGCTACCTGCCTGTTAGTCACCGAGTAGCCCTCTTGGTTATGGGATCGACTGTCACGGTATCACAGTGCTTATGTGTAGGTAGCCCTTCTTTTATTCAGTAGTAGCCCCAAGGCACAAGAGGACTGATCCTGGCAATTCCGGGTATGTTAAAGAGAAGCCGTAAAGTGCTTTCTTTCAGTGAAAAGGTGAAAGTTCTGTACTTACAAGGAAAAAGATCATATGCTGTGGTTGCTAAGATGTACAGTAAGAATGAATCTTCTGTCTTTGAAGTTTGAAGAAATAAAAAGAAATCTGTGCTTGTTTTGCCGTTGCACCTCAAACTGCAAAACTGATGACCACAGTGGATAGTAAGTGCTTAGTTAAGATGGAAAAGGTATTGCATTTGTGGATGGAACAGAAAGTGTTCCAGTTAATGGCAGTTGGGTTCAGTCCTGTCTGAGGTTTCAGACATCCCCTGGGGGTCTTGTAGTGTGTCCCCCGTGGATAAGGGGAGACTGCTGTAGATGCATCCCTTCCGTCTCTGCTTTTGTCATCCCACGACCTTCTTCTTTATGTTTCTGTGTGTCCTGCTCAGCCTCTTATGAGGATGCTCTCACTGGATTTAGAACCTACCCTAATCTATGATCTCATTTTAATCATTAATTACATCTGCAAAGATCCTACTTCTAAATAAGGTCATATTCTGAGGTTCCAGGTGGACGTGAATTGTGGGGAGACACTACTTAGCCAGCTACAGGTGGGAAGGAGACCAGGCAGGTCTCAAGGGTGGCAGCTTCACCAACAAACAACGGTTGCCCATTGGAAGAGCCAGGCTCCATTCACTGATATCTCCCAACAGACCAGGTCCTGATGGCAAGATTGTTACACTCATACTTAAGTATAAATCATTTATGTGCAAACAACATTTTGAAAGTGCCAATGCAATTAGTTTTGTTGATGAAAAAATAAAACTTTATAGCATGGATATTAACCATTATATTGTTAAATCCAGCATAATAGTCAAAATAAAATCACTGTAAGGCAAAGTGTTTACTCTGCAACCATTTCAGTTTCACAAGATACTGAGTATGATGTTGTGGTTTTCCTTATCTCATCATTTTACTTGGTAAGTGTCGAGACATGCAAAAGCTTAGGGCAGCCCACACAGTTCGTCAGAAGCACACGTGGGGAGTTTGTTACTTAGGCAGCCAGTCACCCCCATTCTATGTGTCAAGCCTGGACTAATGGATGACAGTGGTGATTACATCCTATGAAAAATGATTCATGTGGCTGTCTTCAGGAAAGTCTTCACGTTGCACCTACACAGTCCTAAGACTGAACTCATAAAACGGCATCCTATACTAATATTATTGTCAAACACTATGATTTCTTTTTGTCTTCTGTCTTTGATATCTGCACCTAAATATTCAGGTGTTACTCATTCTTATGAAATGGGTCAGATTCCAAATAAAAATTGAAGTTCCTCTTATCACTGACCATGAGGGCTCTGCAAGATTGTCTTGGGAAAGAAGATTTACATTAGGAGCTAGGTCATGGATTCTTGTCATGTCTGTGTGTGCCCTTGTCTACGTCCAATGCACACAGGATGAAAAACTGGTCAGCTCACGTGCCCATAGCCCATCTTCACCTCACCTCAAGCTAAGACACCAAGAAACTCCCAGTGTTCCTGGGAGAACCAGGCCAGTGGAATCCTGGGCTTGCATCTAATTTGGCTGCAAAAATGGAGATGGTGCATATCCCTGCAATGTGAGAGTCAGTCCCACTTGCTCTATTTTCACAGTTCCTTCTCTGTACAGTAAGGATTTTCTTAGTCTTACAAAGGCAGGAAAAGGAACAGTTAAGCATGTAAATGCAAACCATGAAAACAAGACCTGTTGCCAGGATATCTTGTCCCAGGGTACAGTAGTACTTCCCATGTAACACACATCCTCTACCATGCCACTCTCCAAAACTGTTATTGGGGCCGGTCTGGAGTCCAGCATGAGTGAGATATGTCATCCTTATAAGTGAGATAGGCTCAGCCTCGTTGTGTGCAAACACGTCTCTGAGGCCTGGAGTATTATGACTTACCTACTGGAAAAAGAGAAACTGGGTTCAAGGGAGAGATAAGATCGAATGTTAGGATGGACTATTTTGATAGCTATCTCAGGTCATCATGAAGATTGCACTAAAACCTTGGGGAGATAAATTTGTTTAGGACATGCTAAATATATGTTTTCCTTTTTTCTTTCTATTTAAAAAAATCTGAGTTGCAGTCACATTAACAGGTCAGTAACATAGAGGTTTGGTTCCCTCATATGACTTTCTGCATGTACTTTACATTTTTTTCTTGTTTAAATGCTAGGCATATTGTGTACCCCACATTGGTTTGTAGCCAGCTCTATGTCATAGGGCCCTTACCCTTTACCTATTTATTGTTAGTATCATGTCCATAAACAAGCCAATGGCTCAGCATGAACTGATGCTAAAGAAAGCTCATGCCTGAGTGATAAATTAAGTGACCTCAGCTATTTCTCTTCAGTGTTGTGAAAGTTATTTTTAACAGTAGGTTTCCTGGTAGATTCTCTAACCACTCGGTATTTCACATGGCCCAACTTGGTTAACTCGACTGGTTACGGCAAATGCTGATAAAGGCAAGATCACAGGTTTGCTCCCCATGAAAACCAATAACTTCTCGGAGATTAAAAAAAAAATCTCCCTTCTGTGACCACAAGCAGCATCACTCATGCAAATGTCGGAAGAGAGGAATTGGGAGTGAGTGAGAGTCTAGCCCAGTGCAAATATTTCTACTGTTGAAAAAAGAAGTCCAGGCGCAGTGACTCACGCCTGTCATCCCAACATTTTGGGAGGCCAAGGTGGGTGGATCGCTTGAGCGAGACCAACCTAGCCAACATGGTGAAACCTTGTCTCTACAAAAAACAGAAAAATTAGTGGGGCATGGTGGCCTTCGCCTGCGGTCCCAGCTACTTGGGAGGTGGAGGTAGGAGGATTACCTGAGCCTGGGGAGGTCAAGGTTGCAGTGAGCCATGAGCGCACCAGTGCAATCCAGCCTGGGCGACAGAGTGAGACTCTGTCTCAAAAAAAAAAAAAAAAAAAAAAAGGAAAGAAAGAAAAGAAAAAAGAATCTCTCAAGCATCAAGTTGTGTTCCTATAGGACACATGGGTTTCTGCATGAAAGCAACTATGTCCAGTCCCCTAAACCTGGTGATTTTATTGGAAATACCTCCAGTTAATTTTTACGCTAATAACCTCAGCCCACTCACACCAAGGCCAAAAGTTACCAGAGTTATGAACAGAGCCATTGCCCACCTTTTCCCCCTAAACGTTGTTGTTGGTGCACATCTGCAGAAAGAGGCCGTTTACGTGGAATTTCAAATCTGGTTGTTTAGTCTACAAGGAGGGGGGAAGGATTCTGTCTCTTTAATGTTTATAACGGTTGGACAGAGCTTGTCGGGTGAAGGTTAATTGCTCTCCAGTTTAAGCAGTTCTGTGCCCAGATGGGTTATCAGGGCTGAACACTCGTTACAAGACTAATCTCATTTCCGACAAGACTTCCCTTTCCTTCAACTGATTTTTGCATGGCCATTGGAGCCGTCATCAGCCGTTAAGAGGAGGGTGGATTACTCTGGGATATTAATGCTGGTATGTGGTGAAACAATGCGGAGTGGTGTTGTATCTCAGGGAACATCTTTAGGAGAACATGTTTCGCTGGTGTTACGAAGAGCCAGGCTCCTAAACCTAAACGTGGAGACAATGGGACCCCTGAAGCGAGGCACTTGGTGAAAGGTGTAGGGGCGATTGCAGCCCGCCTCTCTCTGAGGAGGACCCTGCCCTGATAATACACAGCGACACTTAGGGCTTTGTTTGCTTTTGAAGATTTTTTTTTTTAACGTACTACGTTCAGATTTTCATTCCTAAGGACTACACCTAAGCAGCGAGGAGTTCTGTTTGCTGCTGCCACACGGAGCCCTGTGGCAGGGAGCACCTGTGATGCAGCAACTTCATTTAATTCCTGTGAAACGTCAGGCTTCTCTTTAATTTCAGAGATTTCATAGATGTCATCATGACATATTTGCCTGAAAATAGTAGGCAGATTTTTAAAAATTTAATAACAAGTAGCTTCCTTTCTTTAGTTTGTCTCAAAAAATTCTTCCAAGAAATGGCAGAAAGGCAATGTCTTTTTATCCCTTTGGGATTTGGTGTGTGGAAATTGACTCATTCATTTACTCACTAAGGATTTACTGGGCACCCACTAGGCTCATGGGTGCTGAGGGGCATGAGCAGCAGGACAGCTGGGCTCACTCAGTGCTGTCAATCAGGGGGATGCAGATGGGGGAGACTGACAAATAGATCACAGCTCAACGAAGACAGAGTGTGGCAGGAAGTCAGGAGCCTTAGGAGGGAAGGTAGGGAACATGATAGAGCCAGGTGGCCGGGGGGCGGGACCTCTAGTTTAGAGAACATGATCAGGCAAGGCCTGTCAGACAGAGACCCAAAGAAAAGGTGAGAACAAGGTTTGCAAATGCCTCGGAGGAGTGATGCGGACCAGGGGAATGGCAAAGGCAAGGACCCCAAGGCGGGGACAGGCAGAGGGTGTCTGAGAGCAGCACATCCTCTTATAATCTAGTTTCACAGAGGAGGCTGTCAGAAGAACAGCCCTACCCTAAGGAAGGGTCCATCTGCTTTGATTGTAATCGGGCACAGTCCTGGACACCGAGTCCCTTTCTGTCAGGTGCGAAAAGCTTGGGGAATGCATCTTGGTCATGGGTTGCTACTAAAATGAGCGTGTCATCTTCAGGGGACAGGAATTAAAGGCACAGAGAAAAACTGAAATTATTTAGCTTCCCTTCCCTTCTCCCTTCTTCCCATCTCCCATCCCTTGCCACTGATTATGGTGGGGCTGGCTTTATATATTCTCTAGTTTCTCATATGTTGACTTATTTTTGCAGTCGTTTCAGTTCTAGGCCATTTGGTGCATTATGTTCCGCGTTTATGGGCATGCGCTTTGGAACCAGGCAGCTGGCTTAGAATTCTGGTGCATTAACTGGCAAGATGCTCTAGGCAACTTATTTAATTTTTGGAGTCTCAGTTTTCCTCATCTTTAAAATGGGCATAATGGTAGCTAGTGTGCAGGTTAGATGCATTAATTCACATGTGCATGTCTTTTAGAGCCGCCACGCTGTGATCACGTTATTAAATGTTAGATGTTATCAGGAAGGTCCTATATTGTCTACGATGCTTCACTTTCTTTGATTCATCTGTTTCACTGAGAAAAGTGAGATAAATTATCATTAATCTAGAGACATTTTTGTAGGCTAAAGGCTTCTTATCACAACGTTTTCTCCAAAAAATAACGAACAGACAAAAAAAAAAAAATGGAGCCAAGTCTTTCACCGTATTTGTTTGTTTATACAAGGGCTATATAGTCACCACCTTCCATACAGGTAGGAGTCTCATGACTTTTTGGTGACCCTTTCAGAGCAAGGGTTATTTCTGCCCCACAGGCATCATTTGACTTAGTGAGATTTTCAACACACCCTCAAAGCACATGTTTTTTAGGGCAAAGAGTTGAGGAGAAGAGAGGCAGGGTGAAAGTCTGAGCCTTTGGTGCAGCACCTCTGCTGGCTTCTGAGACTCTGTGTCACCCAGGGGTGGGAGGACAGTTCTCTCCAGGGCACTCATCAGGACCCTGCTGCCTGTGGTCATGAGACAAGGAGATCATGTGTCACAAAGGCACTCAACATGCAGAGGCGGTGTCGCCTGTCACCTGGAGGGGCTGCACGCAATGAACTTCCAGTCTCCATGTGACCTCCCACTTCTTGGCTTTCCTACTGAGGAATTTGCCATTTCCTGTCGAGAAGTCCAGGGTATACAGGAGCAGTAAATGCCGTGGAGAGGGTGGGGGCGGGAGAACCACAGGAAGTCCTCAGATATGACCATTTGGGTTGGTGGAGTCGGGACCAACAATGGGTTTTACCTCTCACAGTTAAACTCCATTGATGATGCACAGTTGACAAGAATTGCCCCTCCAAGATCTCATTGCTGTTTCTGGGAAGTAAACGCTCCTTAAAAGATTTACTTGTGAGTAAACTTCTAACCACTCTTCTTTAGCTGTCTAAGGAAAAAAAAGTCAGTTGGCTCATGTTTTCCAACTTACTTCCTATTATATACACACATACATATACACACACATACACACATATACAACACTTACACACACATACGCTCACACATACACATGCATACATACGCAAACATGTACACATACACATGCATACGTACGCAAACATGTACACATACACACACACACACATATATATATTTATGCCTGTTTAGATCCAAAATCACACACTTTATATAGATAAAACTTAAGTGAACTTTAATATCTGTACCATACATTTAACTTCATTTCACAAAATAGTAATATGTCCAAACCACGTCTTTCAAAAAAAATTTTCCCTCTCTCAATTATTTTCTCTGAGATTACAAAGGATATCTTCTCCTAGGATTTGTAAATGCATCTTAATTTTTGATGCTCCCAGATTTGAGTCAATTTCCCCTACGTGAAGTGAGGATTAAGTTTGAATCATTATTATTTCACCACTCTCTGGTATCTAAAATAATTATTTTTTTCTTATTTAAAATTGTCTTTAAAAAACAGCTTTGTATATATATATATATGTATATATATAATTGAATGCAAGGTCATATTAAGATTTAAAACCATGGGCTCAGTTTCTGAAAGAGCAATGAAAAGCTGGACAAGATAAAGGAAAGAATTCACTAAAGACAGAGGATCCCACGGAAGCTTCGCCTGCCTAGGCAGAGTGTGGGTAATATCCAGATGAGGCTGAAGTGATGTGAGTCAAATTTGGGAATTTATTTGACCTGGCTGAGCTCCTGTGCCCTTTTGACGTGTCTCTAAGCCTTTTTTTTTTTTTTTTTTTTGAGCGCATCCTCCATTTCATTTTGAAGTATGTATTTGTAGACGGTTTTATGCTGTGAAAATGAAAACTTGCTACACCTCAGAACTACGTCTCAGAAGGCAGCGGACTGGTCTTGCAGGTCCCGGAAGTTCTGCCCCGCAGTGCCTGCTGCCTGCCTCATGCCGGGTCTGCAGGCGGGGAGCCGAGGTCAGCCGAGGAGCCAAGCTCAAGGGCCGAGATGGGCTGCAAAACTCATTTCCTCCAGGCCCTGCTGGGGCTCCTTGAAATGGAAAAATAAAAAAGTCAGGCCCAGCATGCACCAAGACAGGGCAGACAAACGACAAGACTGCAGGTCTGAGCTCCAAGCGCACGAATTGCCCACGTGCAGCCATTTTCTGCTTTGAGCGTCATGGAAAAGAGAAACTTAGTAGCTGAGACACGTTTCTTCCCCTTCTCCTGTGATTTGGGAATGCCCTTTTCCAAACGTTCATTTTCTTTTTTCTCCCTCCTGACTCTCAGGGCTTCATGTTCCTTATCGTAGAGTGTAGCTGCCCTGTGGAGGCCTGCGCAATGTGATGAGCTCAGCGGGGGTAACCAATATTGCCACCTCACGTGGGAGCCTCACCACTCTTAGGACGTGTTTTCAGGGGAGAGTTAGAGTTTTAGAAGTTACAAATACCACACTCGCAAGCAAACTTTGGGGACACAACCTCTGTCTTTATCTCTAAACTGGTGATCCTAAAATATGTCCCGTATACTATGTGGAGTGGCATGGAGGAGCAAATGAGACGGTAATTGAAGGGTGTTTATTAAATTATAAAGTGCCCAGCGTATAATCCCGTCATTGACTTTACATAATGGCTAGTGTAACACCCATTGCATAGAGTGCTGGCATGCAGTATTTTCTATGAGTGACTTAAGGTGGCATACAATAATAGTGCACCGTTTCATGCCTTCCTTCCTTCCTTCCTTTCTTTCATTCTTTCTTTCTTTCTTTCTACAATGATTTTACATCTGGTATGTGCCAGGAGTTGTTCTAGGTTCTGGGAAAACAGTCTCTGCCCTCCTGGGTTTTACATTCTGGTGTATCTTTTGTTTCAGGTAATACTCAAATCAACAAATGCCCGCATTCAGGCTCATCATACACGCTATACGATCAAATGAAGCAGCATATGGAATAGAGATCAACAGGGGAGGGGGAAGCTTTTGGAGGGAGGATCCAGTGATCTCATAAAGATCTTGTCTGAGCCTGTTAGTTCTGAGGTGTGTTTTGGACATTGAAAAACCTGAAAGTAATTAACCTTCCCAATCTAAACCGTATTTTCCACAAATAGGTTTGTTGGATACTAGTATTTTCACGTGTAATTAGAAAAGGAATTACTTTCCATTATTAACAAATAGATGTGACTTTGACTCATGTTCATTTTTTTTGGCCACAAATTCTCAGACTTTTGATCTTAATGGTCAAGTGCAGGTAAGAGGAAATGAAACAAAATTAAGCAATGATTTGAATACATTTTCTCCCTTGTAGAAGACTAATTATAGTTTGGTCATTGAGTAATTTTCTCAGCTGCTTAGGATCTTTAATTAGGTTTGATATTCACTATGAATGTGTGGCAGGGTTTCTTGGGAAAGTAGAGACGGGATAAAACATAAATGATTTATGTAACTGGATATGTCCCAGAGTGAATGAGACTTTGGTCTCAAGAACTGTTCCAGTGGTTTGTCGTTCTTTGATGAGCTCCGTAAGTGTTGCTCTTCTCAACAGAAGGTTGAATTTTAGGTGAACAGCCTTTCCTGATTGTGTAGATCTGGACCACAGTTTGAAGGTGCCCCTCCCTCTCCCTCTGATTGCCAGAGAACCCCTGCATTATCACAGCAACCCAAGTCACCCCACGTATTCCCAAACACCCATCTGCTCAGGACAGAAGAGGCATTGCCTCTAGTTGAGAACCAAGAAGTGGTCATTTCCTTAAAAGCTTTGTCTTGTCTTATTTTAATATTTAAATCAAATGACAGAACTGTTTATCTATTTTTATCACTAAACTCCATAGTCCAATTTTCGTCTTCATACAAATTAACATGTTTTTACAAAATCTCTAATCTTATGCACTGCTCACTGGCAACCTCTGTGGTGAACTAAACCGTAATGAATAATAGGCCAGAGAGCCAATGCAGCCTAGGTTGCCTAGAGGACAGAGAAACCCAGTGGCAATTTCTGCAGCTTTGCCAACAGCCCTGAGTCACCTCGACCCTCCCCTGGCTCCTGGTCCAGTCTGATGAAACAGTTTACAAGATGTCTTCCAGGTTAGCTTTTCTTGTTAGTATCTGCTTTCAACTCAAAATGCACACACTCAATTAAATCTTCTACTTCTGTATGACAATGTTAATAGACTCTTGGAAAAAATAAATGAAACAGAATTTAATGGTGCCAAAGTTGATTATACTTTTAGTTTTCCATGGTCGGAAAGCTGGGTCAATTTTATTTGGTTCCTGGTCCAGGACTTCGCCTGTGAAGCAGTTTGACAAATGTAATTATAAAATGTAAATATGGAAGAAAAGAGATACCAGTGCAGAGTGAACTAGACTTTACTCATTTCTGTGGCCCCTCTGCTATCCACTGTGTAGATGGTCAATATGTATTTGGTAAGGTAAATGCAATTATGACAGAAAAAGCAGCACATGGAATCTTTACAAGTAAATAATTTTTACTAGCTTAACAGAAGTATTTTGAAAAGAGAAAAATCTTACGACTTAGCTTGGCAGATTAGACAAAGCTAGGATCAGCATATAAGATCCCTGATATTCCTTTCTTTCTGCCGTTTATTCATCACCTTCCCCCAAATGAGTTAGGTCATCTTTTTGAACTTTAATTCAATTAACTCCAGATAATTATAACAATAATAATAATAATAATAATAATAGAAAACACTCATAGAGTGCTTATTATATGCTAGACATTGTATTAAGTGTTTTGCTTAATACAATTGGGACAGAGAAGACAGGTTCCTGCAATCATTATAGCCATTTCACAGATGAGGAAACTGAAGGACACAGAGGTTAAGTAACTAGATGTGTATCCATTCAGCAGCTGTGCAGTGGGTTCCGGAGATACAGAAATGAATCAGATACATCCCTGCCCTCCAGGAGCTTACAGTTTAATGGCCTGAGGTAGATGCATAAACCATAGGAGTACATAGCTGCATATACAAACTGCAGACATCTGTTTGCAATATAGATTATACAATTAAGAAGACAAATTGCTGGGGAAATCGTTGTAATAAATATGGCAAGTGTTAATACCCATAATTTATGCAGATCATGTTACAACTGAATGAGATCACATGTGTAAACATATTCTGTGAGCTGTAAACAGGAGGGAATGTAAAAGGTTATAATGACTACTCCAACACAGCTTTATTAACATAGACAATAAACCTGTGAATTTGTTACTTTTCCAAGTAACAGCAAGACTTGTTTAAGAGCTGCCTAGAAGTTCTGGGTTTTTTGTTTTTTTACTTCTCCATGTATTTGATAGTAAAAAATGAAAGATAATTTATTATATCATAAAATGTGTTTGTTACAAATTAATATTGCCTGAAAGGAAAGAAGGAGAATAGCCCAAAGCAGTTAATACAATGATTCCGCAGGAATCAAGGTGCAGCTAATTATATTTATATGTACTCATCGATTTTTCTAAGAAAGTAGGATATTCCAAAGCACTAGAGCCCAGCCCATGTGATGGTGTTCGTGAGCATTTGTGGCAGAGTTTCTGTGAAGTTTGCATCCAAACAGATGGGAATTTTTCAGGTAATGGCATACAAGTAACAGGTAGGTAGACTACTCATGTCTTGTAAGAGGCGTTTAAATTTTATCACGGGGAGAGATAGACTAGTCAGTCACTCAGTGTTTGCTAAGTGCGTTAATGAGTCACAGATGGATAGACATGGCATTAAAAACAAGCATGCCCAGAGTTCTGAGGATGAGGCTGGACTTTAGCATAAGTTGCTTGGATTCTCTGACTGAAACCATTCTTCTTAGAAGCCCTTCTATAATGTAAATAGATAAGGGGACCCCCAGTGGCATGTCAAGGCCATCAGGGGTCTCGGGGGCTATGGTTTTTTTTTGGACAAAGGGCTAGAGTTCTGGTCTTGAAGCCACATTTTCTTTTTTTTTTTTCTTTTTTTTTTTTTTTTTTTGAGACAGAGTCTGGCTGTCTCCCAGGCTGGAGTGCAGTGGCGCGATCTTGGTTCACTGCAAGCTCCGCCTCCCGGGTTCACGCTATTCTCCTACCTCAGCCTCCCTAGTAGCTGGGACTACAGGCGCCCACCACCACGCCCGGCTAATTTTTTGTATTTTTAGTGGAGACAGGGTTTCACCGTGTTAGCCAAGATAGTCTCGATCTCCTGACCTCGTGATCCGCCTGCCTCGGCCTCCCAAAGTGCTGGGATTACAGGCGTGAGCCACCGCACCCGGCAGAAGCCACATTTTCATAGTGAGCATGGTCTTTTCACCGACATGGCAGGTTTGTTGGGGTGGCTTGATGAGGTATATGGTGAAGGCTCCCCTGGCATTCCAGTTGCCAGAGGGGACTTTAGAATGTTCAATTCTTTCCTCTGCTGTCACATGGGTTTTAGCATCATCAACTGTGGTGAATGGAGCATCCAGATCTTCCAATTCATCCCATGATTCTTGTCAAGGAAAAAAATCTTTAGGATTTGAGGCCAGCACTATGGGAAATTTGAAAAGCTTTGCTCCTTTCAAGTTTAATTTTTGCTTTCAGAAAACAAATAAGTTTACAGTATGCATTCCATGTGAACTCCAATTTCCCTCTCTATATTCAGAGAAATACATATCTATTTTCTATTGCACAGAGCTACGGAATAGTTTACCAGGCCTGGTAGCAGCCCAACAGGAGAGAGAAAGGAGTGAGACAGGCTGTGGCAGCTGGGAGATAAGTGCAATTGATGAGCTGACCTGCCGGGTGGGGAGGAAGGTGCCGACCTATAGGAACCACAGTCTCATTCCACCTAAGGGCTTTCTCTGGCTCTCCACCACAGCCCTTTCACTTGAAGCACTAACACGTCACCTTGTGGACTAAGAGGAGTTTTCACCTTTTCTCCTTTTCTGCACCCAGCTTCAATCATTGGTTGATGACCAGTGAAATGTTTTAAGAAGGCAGGAAGCTGGAGGGAGAAAGACAAAGGCTTACATATCTCCCAGAATGGGTAACAGGCTACAGCATGCATGGCCATGAGTTGGATGTGCACATGACCTGTGTACATAAATGACACCCTCATGCACACATGCCGTAAGTGTGCATATACATTTTGTTAGGTCAATTTCTACATCATATTCCAGAAAGTCACATAATCAGTTTTCTTTTTTGGTATTCACAATTCACTTGGAATTCACCAATTTATTATGTGACTTGAATATGTATGGCCTTTCTGCTGAGTGGATCCTGAAATACAAATACTTACTGTTACTGGAAGCCCCAAAGTCAAGATGCAAATTAATAGATTTCTATATGGCCTCAGATCTGAGTCCTCTGAAACTGGCGATTTAACAAGAGCACATGTACAGTTACAGAACCTCCGCGGGTGTGTCTTTCAGGGTTCCTGTTTCTTATTTCCATGTCTCTGTACCCAACACACTTCCTCCTGACCCTTCTTTCTCTCCTCCTCCTCCACACCCGCAGAAGCACCTAGCCCCACCACACATAACTTGCTAGTATAATGCATTTGTTCTTGGAAAATGTGTGTTTTTGCACACTTTGGTTTCCACCTGCTTTTTTGGGAAGATGTACTATATGATGCATAAAAGATCCGGAGCTAGCTAGGAGGAGGGAGGTTTGTTTGAGGCAACAGTGCAAGAATATCAGGTCATTCTTTCAATTGCACACTTCAGAGTATGGATACTTCCCTTGAAACATTTGCAGCACAAGACTTTTGCATTGACAAGCCTCTTGCTTTTGAATTTGAGCTGTCAAATGTTGTTTCTGCTTTCATTTGTTGGATGTTTCTGCTTGAACTACAAGGTAGGACCTCATATAGATAAAAAACCAAGTCTTTAACCCATGACTTGAGGGCCGAGATTGGATTCTGATTCTCAGCACATCCAAACATGTCTTGAATTTGTAGCCACTCCTTGCCAAATTAACTACCTCTGTGACTTTAAGAGTAGCTAATAAGAGTAACAAGCTCTAGTCCCTCTTTGCAGGATGTAAGGGTTTCTAGGGGCCAGAACATGTTGGGCTTCTTACGCCAGGTGAAAGATGTTGGATTTCATTTTGGGGAAAAGTGTAACATGGTAGGATTATCATTCCAGTAGAGAAACCCTGTTTTTCAGTTTGTATATGACCTCACATGACTTCACAGTTTGGGGCTCCCACCCTGTTGTAAGTTGTCCACATTTGGAAGAAACTGTAGTTCCAACCAACTGAATCAATTATCTGTAAAGTTGGTTCATGCAAATCAGTGCATACATGAGACTGTGCCTGTTTGGTTTGTCATAACTATTTTATCATATGAAGAACTGACCATCCATAAGAATAATTTCCCAGACCTGTCATTCTTTAAATTCCTTTTATTTTTGCTTCCAACATAGACCCCCCCTCACTTTGGGAGTATATCTTCCAGGATCATGAGCCCACGAGAGGCCATCTTAGTACACTGTGTAGGAATTAAACCACTCCTGCAAATGTGAAACAAACTGTACTTTTCAATTAATTAAAATCATATTCCAGTGTGCCTACCTAAATAAGAGTGATATTGTTTTGAGCAAGATGAGATGATTTATATATATATAAATCATATATACATCATATATATCATACATATCTATATCACACACACACACACACACACACACACACACACCCCAGACCATCAGACAGCCTAAACTGTTTTAATGTATGGACCATTATTGTAGTGATGGATTTTCTTCTTGGTTCTAGTTTCATTCATACAAGAATGCTGATACATGGACAACAACAAGACAAGAATATAACTATTTGCAGCCTATTATGTATTATTTCAATATAACATTAAAGTCTCTAGTACTGGGGACAAATTTAAACGTAGCTTTAAAATTATATAAATAATAATGAGCATTTATCACTAGTCCCCAGAAATACAAAGTCTAGCACTCATCTCTCCAACACCGTGCTAACTGCAGACAGTTTCACACCCAGCATCAGAATCCCACAGGAGTCCTTAGCTCCTCCCCATTCCAGCCCAGGCACCTCCTCTGAAAGGCACAAGGCGGTCAGGGAGGGCCATCTCATCTCCTTATTTCAATCTCTAGTTTTGATGGGGATGGGATCAAGGAGGATGAGATATTCACAGTGACATATTCAGTATCGGAGAACCAAAGTAAAGTGGTTAGGGCCGTCATTGCACGTGTGGCAAAACTTATAAATTAATTGGAATACTTCATTTTTTAAAAAATAGACTTTATTTCTCAGAGCAATTTTAGTACGCAGCAAACCCGAGAGGAAGATAGAGTGATTTCCATACACCTGCTGCCCCTACACTTGCGTAGCCTTGCCCACATTATCAACATTCCCCATCGGAGTGCATTTGCTACAGTTGATGAACCTATATTGACAGGTCATTATCACCCAGTGCCTGTAGTTTACATTAGCGTTCATTTGTGGTGCTGGACATTCTGTGGGTTTGGACAAATGTATATTTACATGTATCCAACATTATAGGATTATACGGAATAGTTTCACTGCCCTAAAAACCCTCAGTGCTCCACCTGTTCACCCCTCCCTCCCTCTAATCTTTGGCAAACACTGATCTTTCAGTATCTCTGTAGTCTTGCCTTTTCCAGAATGTCATATAATTGGAATCATATAATATGTAGTCTTTTCAGATCGGCTTTTCTCTTGGGATGCTTAATTTTTCAAAAAGTCTCTGTGCCCATCTCTTTTCATGGGGAACTTGATTGGCACATTTAAAGTACAATTCAACTAACAAAAACCTACTTACATAGAACACTTCAGAAACACAATTACAGACAGCAGGGTACACTTGTAACATCCCACAGGCAAAAACAGGACAAATTATTTGGAGTCTAGCCTCTTACAGAGGAAGAATCCATGTTGCACTGGGGCTTGCATTCCTTGGAGGTGGAGAAGATCATTCCTAGGACTAGGGAGCAAATTGAGATTTTAAAACATGAACCCAGAACCAACTCAAATGCTCATCAACAATAGACTGGATAAAGAAAATGTGGCACATATACACCATGGAATACCATGCAGCCATAAAAAAGGATGAGTTCATGTCCTTTGCAGGGACATGGATGATGCTGGAAACCATCATTCTCAGCAAACTAACACAGGAACAGAAAACCAAACACCACATGTTCTCACTAATAAGTGGGAGATGATCAAGAGAATACATGGACACAAGGAGGGGAACATCACACACCAGGGCCTCTCGGGGGGTAGGAGGGTAGGTGAGGGATAGCATTAGGAGAAATACCTAATGTAGATGATGGGTTGATGGGTGCAGCAAACTACCATGGCACGTATATAACTATGTAACAAACCTGCATGTTCTGCACATGTACCCCAGAACTTAAAGTATATGAAAAATAGCATTATCTAAAAATGAACATATCCTGTAGAATAAAGGCAACTTCAAAGAATTCGTCGATATGATAGGTTAGCAGTTGGAATTTAGACAATAAAATAAATGCAGTTAATTATGAATTGTATTAATGAAATGAAATTGCTTTCCACAGTGTGTCTGATGTTTTAGGACTTCTTGTCCACAAATAGTTTGAAGCACTGCTGTTACTCTCTGGGTACTAGGCAGAAAAGCCTTTGGGACTACGGATGGATGTGTGAGGCTTTTATTTCTGGGCTTTGGAAGTAAGAAATATGACCTATTCCCCAGGAAAAACACGGAAACCAGAAGGCATGGTAATTCAGGGTTCAACCACAAGAAAACAAAAAGTTCAGTTACACATAATTACACTTTTCTAAGATAGAATCCAATAGTAACATATTAACAAATAGTTGTTTAATATTTAATTTGGTTTGCCAAGGGAATTCTTAATAAGTTCTGAATTATTTCATAAAAAAAAAACATGAACCCATCCCCAGTGCTCATCCTAGTGTTCGGAGTTTTTACCATTTCTGAATCACACCTTGGAATCAATGGAGAAAATCCTGCTTTGATGCACCCTTGCTGCTTAGACGACAGGACTTCTTAACCCATGACCCCAGTAGCATCATAGATAAAAAGGGTGTGTGAAAAAGGAGTGAGGGGATACGGGAAGTGGGAATACAAAGCCTGGATTACGTGCAGACTGAAAGTCAAACTCTGGACGGGGCATCCCAGGCCTGTGGAAACCAGAACCAGGCTATGGATCCAATGGGAATTTCCTCAGTTTCAGCTTCCCCCCAACCAGCACACATACCCTGGGCCCTCCCCAGCTCACGAGGGGTGGCCCCACTTCTATGCTTTTCCTTGCAGTTTCTCCATCTGGAAATGCTCCCCACCATTTTGATTTACCCAGTACACCCCATTCTTCAAGGCTCAGGCCAGTGCACACCAGTTCCTTTAATCCCTCCTTCCTTCTTCTGTCATCCAGTCGACACACTTAGCATGACATTTGGCACCTGCATACCAGGAGCTCATGCAACAAATACGCACTGCATGTGCATGATATGTGGACACTTACAGGCTCTGAAAAAGAGAAAAAATAGAAAAAAGTCTCTGCCCTCATGGAGCCAGTATTCCCCCAGCCCTGACGAATCTCCTGCTCCTTTCTCCCAGTGTATTTCTTCCCCTCTGTTAAAGTAGTTCCTAGAGTCAACCACATGCAGAATGAGCCTTCACCACCATCAGGCTCCTGCTCTGCACATGATGGATGCCCAGCCACTTGATCTTAGTATTAAATGCCTTTGAGACTCTGTTTTATAATAAAATGAGACACCCAAGCACAGACCCCAGCAAGCAGGTAAACAGGGAGGACCTTTCAGTGTCCAAGTATGGGATACACATTTAAAAATTAAAATAATCTGGTTATATTTAAAACAAGTGGCCCTTAACATTAATTGGGGAGTGCCACTTGCCAATCCAGAGATGCACCAGGTGTACCAAGATGGACACACTGGGAGATAGGCAGGGAGTCTGTGCCCGGGCTCTGCAGTCCCTCAGCCCCAGGGACCAGTGTCTCAAGCTGCCTCTGATCCAGAAAAGCACAGTTAGCTTGGCAACAGGTTGGTGGTATGCAGTTGCTGCTCATTTCCTGGTCCGCTTTACAGGCCTGCCCCTTGATTTTGCCATAAGACAGGCCACTTGCAAGAAGGTTCATCTAGAAGCAGATGTGTGCTGTGTAGCTGATGGGTGGGGGTCATGATGGGCAGCCTGCTTCTTTAGTAGACTGTGTGCAGTGTTAGAGAGCCCTGGGGCAGCACTCGTCAGTTAGGATGCACAAAAATGCCAACCCCCGACTCTCAGTTTTTTAAGTTGCATAAATTCCAAATTTAACATATCACCATGTGCAGTCTTGGAAGGCTCAATATTGGCTTTAAAAAATTATTTTCCTAAGGACTCTCTGTTGTCAACTTGAGGAAATGGCTAACAAGCTTCCTTTTCTATGACACTTAGCTACTGAAAATATGTTCTTCATAAAGTGTCTTATTACTGTCATACTGTGGGTTACTTCAGTAAGTACAGACTGTGTCCTAGCCAAGCTTAAAACCTCGACGGCAGTGATTCTTAATCTTTTGGTCTCAGGACCCCTTTACGTTCTTAAGATTGGTTGAGGATTCTTAAAAAAAAATTGTGTATATGCATTATATCTATTGGTAGAAACAAAAACAGAAATTTTGAAACATTTACTTATAAATTCATTTAAAAATAACAATAACAAGGCCAGGTGCAGTGGCTCATGACTGTAATCCCAGCACTTTGGGAGGCCAAAGCAGGCAGATCACCTGAGGTCAGGAGTTCAAGACCAGCCTAGCCAATATCATGAAACCCTGTTTCTACTAAAAATACAAAAAAATTAGCCAGGCGTGGTGGCGGGTACCTGTAGTCCCAGCTACTCAGGAGGCTGAGGCAGGAGAAGGCATGAACCCAGGAGGCAGAGTTTGCAGTGAGCCAAGATCGCGCCACTGCATTCCAGCCTGGGCAACAGGGCGAGACTCCGTCTCAAAAAAGAAAAAGAAAAAGAAAAAAAAATTAGCCAGGCATGGTGGGACACGCCTGTAATCCCAGCTATTCAGGAGGCTGAGGCAGGAGAATCACTTGAACCCAGGAGGCGGAGGTTGCAGTGAGCCGAGATCACACCATTGCATTCCAGCCTGGGTGACAAGAGTGAAACTTCATCTCAAAAAATAAAAATAAATAAATAAACTCATTGCATGTTAACACAAATGAGATATTTTTATGAAAAGTAACTCTATTTTCCAAGAAAATGTTAATGAGAAGTGGCATTGTTTTGCATTTTTTGCAATCTCTTTAATGTCTGGGCTAATTGGAGGCAGCTGGATTCTCAGATCTGCTTATGCCTGCCCTTAGAGGGGTCTGGGGACCCCAGGGGGTTCCTGGACAACACTTTGAGAATGACTGACCTACAGAGCTCCGGAGAATCACTGACCTACAGAGCATAGTGTGGTACCTGGCACTGTGCTAGGCAGGGAGATACAGCAGTGAAGAAGAGGGACACATTCTCTGCCTTCCTGGAGGATGGTATGGGTTGAATAGTGTTCCCTGAGTTATGTTGAAGTCCTAACCCCCAGGACCTCAGAGTGGGACCTTATTTGGAGGTAGGGCCTTTACAGAGGTAATCCAATTAAAATGAGGCCCTTAGGGTGGTCCTTAATTCAGTGGGACTGATGTCCTTATAAAAAGAGGTAATTTGGACTCAGAAACAGGCATGCATAGAGGGAGGATGATATGAAGAGACAGGGAGAAGATGACCATCCACAAGCTAAGGAGGGAGTCCTCAGGAGGAATCAACCCCGCTGCTACTTTGCTCTCTGACTTCCAGCTTCCAGAGCCATGAGAGAATAAATGTCTGTTGCTTAAGCCCCTCAGTCCGTGGTACATTGTCTTGGCAACCCTAGCAAATGAATACACAGACTATGTATCGAATATTGAAATTGGGTTTTAAGGCAGTAATAAGGCCCATGCTGCTTCCTTGAGGAAAATTCAGCCGCAAAAGAGGATTCACTGCTTATTAATATGGAGACACGTTCTACCAGATAGAGCTCTGGGAATCCAGGTTCTCCATAGGCAAGCACAGCAGTGAACAGTTTTTCCAAACGTCTCCTTCCTAAGCAGAAAGGAAGTGACACCATTGTCTGCCATTTGCCATTCAGAGCTCGTTAAAACCTACAGCCTCACACCCATCACCGGTCCACAGGTAAACAGAGATTTCAGGGCAGGGGAATACTTTGGTGCCGTTATTCCTTTCAGTTGCCACAAGTCAGTTTCCCTAAAGGCTGCCCTATTAGTGGATGGGTGGGTGGGAGCCTCAGTGAGGTATTTCCTGTGTGAGTCAAAGCCTTTCAAAATGGCCGTGACCCCTTGCAGACTCTGAATGAAAAGTACAGATTCTCAGTTCCCAGAGTTTCTGCATGTGATGATGAATGGAAGTTCCCGTTGCATGTGGGACAAAGGATGGCTGTAACATTTTATTAGGTGTGGCTTTTGGTGTACACATGGCATATGCAATATATGCATTCTCATCACATTTAGTTTTGAAAATAATAAAACTTTAAAGATAGAAAGAATTTTCTTTGCAGAACCCTTATGAGATGGAAAATATTAGTGCAACACAGAAGAAGACAATTCCCGGGCTTTTAGCCAAGACGGCTAGAGAGACTCCACTTCTCTCTGAGTCAACACCCAGGTTCCTGCCATGGCCTGCAAGGCTCTACCACCCCCAGCCTTTCCTGGTTCACCTCCTGGTTCTTTCTTTCGCTCCTTTCCAGTAACCCCTCCTCCCTGGCTGTTCTTGGTCCCATTGTTCCTCGTGCAGCCCCCGCAGTCCACTCTGGCCTTGTTCTAGCTGTTGCCAAGGCTGGAAGGCCTATTCTTCATGAATGCATGGGGGCTCACACCCTCCCCTCCTTCGCGTTTTCTCAGGACCACCCTGGCCACTCTAAATGAAAAGCAGCAGTTTACCTCTCTTTTCCTGAGTCTCTAGTTCTGCCTTCTGTTTCTTCATACTTATCACTTACCACCTTCTAACCCTGAGATCAGGCTTGAAAAACAAGGTTATAAATTTACCCTATCAATTATTGGTTGATTAATTGATTTTCAAAAATTATCTGTGGCTTGTAGTGCTAGAATACAAGCCTTATGCAGATAGGTGTCTTTGTGGTTTTGGGTCATGGATGTAATCTAGAAGCAGCTAGACAAGTTTCTAAGTAGAAAAGGTGTTCAGTACATATTTGTTGAACTTATGACTAAGAGAATATTCTTATTCCTGGAAGATATGTGTGATTTCTAGTGGAGACTAGAAATGGCCTTTCTCTGAGGCAAACTTCTAAATCCTCTGAATAAAGGTATCTCTAGCCCATCTGACTCAGTCCCACACCCCTGGGCTGTGGAATAACCAGTTTAGGGGGTGATTAAAATGGCTACATAGGTACAGAAATGTTAACTTCAGGTTGTCAGTGTAGCAGAAGCAAAGATGTTTGTCGTGTTGTCTGTGAAGACGTGCTATAAAATCGTCCCCCAAAGTAAATTGTAATGGCAACCATGCCCTCAGATTGTTCTGGAGGATATAGACAGGGAATCAGACACTACTTTCAAAACTGTTACATAATAAATCTTACATTGGAAAACTGTCTTAGACCTGTTTAGAAATCTTGCATTCTCTGTCTTAGAACTTTCCCTCTTGAGCTGATAATTATCATCCAGTAATGACACTTATGTGGCCTTGGGAAACAAGTTATTAAGCATGCACCTGCCATCCCTCCAAGGCAGTTTCACCCTTCAAATTAAATGCGCTGCGCTTCCTGGCAGCGCTGAGGCCATTGGAGTGGCTCCTGAGTGATGGCTTGGAAGAAATGATAGCCTAGTAGAGAAGTGGCCCAGGAGAGTGCACAGAGGAAAGCTGACATTTAGAGAATGAGGAGAGAAAAAGGAGGGCATAAAGAGATGGGGGATGGAATTGTCAACCAAATAGGAGGAATAGCAGGAATATGGAAGCCAAAGAAAAGAGGGTTAAAAAAGGGGAGAGTGGCCAACAGTATGAACTGCTCTTGAGTAGGTAACAAAGAGACCAGCTGGGAGTGAATGTTTGAGGGAACCCCAAAAAGCTCACTCCTAATCGTGGCAGGACAGTGTCAGAACCAGACGGCAAGGTTGGAGAAGAGAAGAGAGCAGGAGATGAGAATCTGTTAAAGAGCTGTGAAATATTTAAGTAAGTAAGTATGGCCAATTTTTGGTTCCTTGCATCACCAGCTACCACCCCCACCTTCGGACACCCAGACCAACACACGACTCTTGCTTGAAAGCAAAGTATGAAGGTTAGAGACACTGACGTGAGTGAAACTAGACTGAACGTTTGCGAGATCCTGGATAAATAAATATTGGATATTTTTGTTGGATAAATATTGCTTGGATAAATATTGCGAAAGTGCATTGTGATTGCAGAAATACTGAATTGGCATCAGATTCATTAATAAAAATTCTGCCTGACATCTCACGTGTCAAGGCCCATGGGAGCCTGACTGGCCACTACTTGGTGCATTCTTTTTTTTTTTTTTTTTTTTGAGCCAGAGTCTCACTCTGTCACCCAGGCTGGAGTGCAGTGGCGCAACCTCAGCTCACTGCAACCTCCACCTCCCAGGTTCAAGCTATTCTCCAGCCTCGGCCTACCGAGTAGCTGGGATTACAGGCACACGCCACCACACCTGGCTAATATTTGTATTTTTAGTAGAGACAGAGTTTCACCATGTTGGCCAGGCTGGTCTCGAACTCCTGACCTCGTGATCTGCCCGTCTTGGCCTCCAAAAGTGCTGGGATTACAGGCACGAGCCACCATGCCTGGCCAGTGTGCTCTTTTACAGGGCCCAGGGAGCTCAGTGCTCCAGTCGGCTGGTTTTCCAGTTCAGGAGCTTAAGGCTTCAGATTCAGCAGTGGCAGAAGTGGTTTCCCAACTTCCAGCTGCCCTGTTCTTTGCACTTTTTTTTATTTTTAAGTCAATCTAAAATGAGTCTGTGTTCACAAATAAATAGCGACAAGTGCAAGTCTGCTAGAGTGGAAGAGAGCAAGTGCAAATTCTCTTTCCCTTTAGCTAAGTTGCTCTTTGAAGTAGGCGTAGCCCCATGACGCTCCCATAAGGCTTACTGTGCAGGTTGGATGAGTAGGCAACTTGGAAGGCCCCACCTGCTCTGCAAGGAGGTAGTCCTGCACAGCGCCTGGTGGTCAGATGTCCACTACTCACCTACCCGCCCACCCCACAGGTGGCTCTGTGCTGCTCAGAACCTGCACAGTGGTGCATAGCATTTCCCAGCTCTTGAAGCTTCCTTTTCTTCCTGGGAAAGATAGATGTGAACATCCATGACCTCACTTCCTCCACAAGGATGAATCTTAATAAGTAAAGAGGTCCAGTAAGGAGGCAATCTAAAGACCGAGGTTTAGACTCTGTGTACACGTCAAGATTTCAAGTCACCAGGCTGTTGGGCAGGCCTTGATGGTTTGGATATGAATGACTCTGCACACTTTTAAAGAGTATTTGTGACTTTTTTTTTTTTTTTTGAGACAGAGTCTTGCTCTTTCGCCCAGGCCAGAGTGCAGTGGCATGATCTCGGCTCACTGCAACCTCTGTCCCCCAGGTTCAAGCGATTCTCCTGCCTCAGCCTCCTGAGTAGCTGGGACTACAGGCATGTGCCACCACGCCCAGCTAATTTTTTGTATTTTTAGTAGAGATGGGGTTTCACCATGTTAGCCAGGATGTTTTCCATCTCCTGACCTCGTGGTCTGCCTGCCTCCACCTCCCAAAGTGCTGGGATTACAGGTGTGAGCCACCCCGCCCAGGCTTGTGACTTTCAAAGTAGACATATTTATAGAGGGGCTCAAGCCAGATGGCAAAAGAGCCCTATTGGATGTGATGTAAGTATGTGTAGTTTGAAATTGTTGGAGGGATTGCTCTCCTAGTTCAAATGTATTAGGTTTTGAGGTCAGCACTCCCAGAGTCATAAAAATCAAGTCTCACTGGCAACCAACTTGTTAGTGCATGAAAAGTGTTACCAGGACGGGGTCTACCCAGTGCTCATCTATGTCATAGGAAAAGCATGAGCTCAGCGTATAACATTAGCAAAGGGCTCTGATGACCTGGCTACTTAGTCCCCTTTCCATGCAGCAACCAGGATATATTTATGTGCTGGAAAAATCTTCTGAAAAGCACAGGCTTAGCATCCCAGCCCCAGGGAGTCAGACATCATCACTTACCAAGCTGAAGAAAGACCTTGGCAGGGATTGGACCCTCACAGTGGGTGAAGACTAACTCTTTCTACGTAAGTCAGCGTCTAAGAAAAAGAAAACGTCTGTGTTCATGTCTGCGTTATACAGTGTGTGGCCCATGCCAACAATGATGGGGATGGGGATAGAAAGCAAAAGAAGGAGACCCCTGGACCATCATGTGAATAGTGGAGACTTATTCATGTGCTCCTCTGTCTGCCAGAACCCCAGTTTCTACAAGACTTTCTGTTGGTATTACCATGTTGCCATGTGTTTTTTATTTTTTAAATTTTTTTATTTATTATTATTATTGAAGTGCTTTATGTGTAGAACAGATGCCATATTCCCATGCAAGAGAGTAGATCCTTTCCACACTTAAAAACATAACACTAGCTCTCAGGGTGCTGACTAGCTTCTTACCATTAGCACAGAAGGAGATACCTACAAGATTGAGGAAAATTAAAGTCTGGGGGCAGCAGGGAAAGACCCTGCAGTTAGCATCTAACCTGGATGCATAGGAACTTTTTAGCAACTCCATACATGGTAGATTTCTACCTTATCTGCATGTCTGCTCAGAGATGGAGGAGGTAGAGACTGCAGCCTGGCTATGGCTGAAAGAGGATGTTACTAGTTAAACAAATCGATCTCATTTTGGTGCAAAATGGAGTCTTAGAAAACATCAGTAGACCAGACCCTCATTTTAGACGAGGAGCTTGAAGACTTGGTACATGAGGGGCACGGAGTGGTGGAGCCCCATGGCCAGTGGCCCTGTGGTCTTGCGGCTTCTTCTTAAAGTGCCCATCCTGCATCCTGGCACGTGCATGTTGAACCTGGTGTGACACACCTGTCTGTGGGGAGGGGGGGGACCGTACCAATTATTTAAAAAATTAAGGCTGTTTTGACACCCCCACCCCCTCACCCCCGTCTTATGGGAAATTTTGAATTGAGTGTTTGAAGGCATGAGAGTGACACCTGATGAAAATTAGCTAAAAGCAGAGACAGAGTTGTGGGTGGAGGCCAGGACATCTGCTGCCCCTATCTTTTGCTTGCCAGGGTTTTCCATTGTGCCAGAATTTTCTCATGAATAAAATTCCTGGAATTTTATCGAAAACAATGAATCCATGTGTCAGAGATTCACAGATGAGACACATTCCAGATGCGTAGCACACTGTATTTTTAGCCTTTGTGTGTTTTGAAAGGGCCAAGCATAAAACTGCCGATTTTTCACGGAGCTCCTTCTGAAGAGGAGAGAGGTGGTGCACCACCCCTTCCCTGGTGTTCAGAGAAGGACCATGCCAATAGAAAAAAAGTGCAAGCAACTTTGCTACTCCTTGAGCTTGGCCTTTGTGTTTCTCAAGCCTTGAATCACCTGAGTTTCAACCTGGGCTTGTAAGTTTCAAAAATCACCAGGACAGAATGATGGTGTGAACCTCTTAGCCAGACTGCCATGGAAACACTTCCTCATAGAAGTTTATGAAAAATTCAACAATTTTTAGGGAAAGTTAACATAGAAAGCATTATGGATTCCACATCCTGGAAGAAAAGACTTTTCTTCAGAAGTTTGAGGGCTATCAACTTTGTGCCTTGTGCTATTCTAGGTAAAAAAAAAAAAAAAGAAAGAAAGAAAGAAAGAAAGAAAAAGAACATTATGTTATAAGACCATGGTATATCTATTAATTTATTATCTTGTTATGTAGAGAATACCAACAGCACGCTGGGGAGTGTACCAGGATTCATTCCTTCCTGCACAAAGCTTTGATTTAATTGACATTAAACAAACTAATGTAGAATTTGAATGGAAAACCCACAAAAGAACTGGACCAGGGACCAAAAAGGCTATAAATCAAAGTGACAGACGTGCTCTTGAAGTAAAAGATGCTAGATCTCCCTTCCCCTCTGTTAGGTAGATACTTGGTTTGAAAATCCAGTACTTACAAAAAATAAGTGATAATTTGCACACAAGAGACTGTGATTTTCCTTGCATCTGGCTTGTTAGAATAATATGACTAGAATGGATAATTCTGATGGTTCACATGCAGAGGTTTGGAGTCAGTCACATCACCCTTCTATCATATGATAATTTAAATACAATATTAAGATTTATGAAACCTGTTACACACACTAGATTATTTGGCCCATTTAACTGTCCTGGGAGAGAGCTGCTCGGCAGCTGGTTGCCATCAGTACCACCTTTATAGTTGAAGAAATTGAGAGTCAAAAAAGGATAATGCAGCACTTGTTGAAGTGAGCAGGCACCCAGCTCACCTGGGGAAGTTGTTACAAAGCAGATTCTGACTCAGCAGGGCTGGAGACTCGGAATCTGCATTTCTGGCAAGCTCTCAGCTCACACTTGGGGCAGGAAAGGGTTAAAGGATTTACCCAGGTGATTCCCAGAGCAAGGGCAGAGCCCAGCTTGAAACTCACATCTTCCATCTTCAGATCCCTATCCCTGGCTCCCGTGCTCTACCAGACGGTCTCCTATCCATTGGTACAGCTTCATGTTCATCCTCCACTGAGTGATTAAAAAAAGCAAAGAAAAACTTCTTTTTATCTCAAATGAATTATTTAAAACTAGATAAAAAATAAGGAAAAGGGTTTTGATGAATATTCGTGAGTAACGTATAACAGTGATTAGAGAAACAAAAACAAGTATTGAGTGTCAAGAGTAGAAACAGCCCTCTTAGAAGGATGTAAAGGAATAGTGAGTGTATTTTTTGCACCCATTCCAATGTAAAACATACAAACAGGAGGTTTCCACAGATGTTTTTATACTTTTTGCTCATCTCCAAAGAAGGAAAGAAGCCTACTGGGAAGAAAAAGTGATTCTTCTTCTTCTTTTTTTTTTTTTTTTGATGGAGTTTTTCTCTTGTTGCCCAGGCTAGAGTGCCGTGGCGCGATCTCAGCTCACTGCAGCCTCCCCCTCCCGGGTTCAAGCGATTCTCTTGTCTCAGCCTCCTGAGTAGCTGAGATTGCAGGTGCACACCACCACACCCAGCTAACTTTTTGTATTTTTAGTAGAGACAGGGTTTCATCATGTTGGCCAGCCTGCTCTCCAACTCCTGACCTCAGGTGATCCACCTGCCTCGGCCTGCCAAAATGCTGGGATTACTGGAGTGAGCCACTGCACCCAGCCAAAAAAGCGATTCTTTAAAGAAGAAAATAAGAAGCTATTCACATCACAGGCATGTTGTTTCTTAAACAGTTAAATGGCATTTGCCAGGGCAAAGAGTCCCAGTTCATTGTCCTTTCAAATGCATTCGAGGTTTATTCTGCATGGCACTGAGAAAACAGAGTTGTTTTAAAATGATGTTGGTTGACATTCTTGATCTCCCAAGGCTCATTTAAATCTAATTTTCATTATGTGGACATAACTATTCTTTCTTTAACATTTTTCTACCATGCTCCAATCTTTCACAATATTTCTAGAGTTTCTGCTTTCCAGATTGAATGCTCCCTCCTTCTTTTGCAAACGTTCATTTTCCAGTAAGTCTTATTTTGTTCATAGGTTGCTTAGCTATAGGAAGTCCCTATTTAAGCCTATGTGGATTGAAGGTGAAACTCTGCAATAATACGCTCTTTGGTAGTATGACTGCAGACATATTGCCAATGGCAATTATTTTCCAAACTCCCTGGAACTCCTGGGCGTTGGCTACACAATCCATTCATCTCACAAAAACACGTCTCTTCATTTGGATGTAATAGAAGTTTGTGGATCCCATTTATAGCATTATGATGGGGCTGTAATATCACCTGATGTCTTAGTCCTAGGGCTAATATGAACACCAACAAGCATTTGAGGTTAAGAAATTATCTTATTTCTAGAGGCAGACATACAGAGGAGCCAGCCCTGAAAATGCTTATATTTGAATAAAGGCAAGGCCAGGGGAGAAGTATGTGGGCAAAGAGAATTGCTGGCACCAGCCAGGCCTTCTCAGAGCCCTGAGAAAGTCTGTGAGTCCAGAGCCGGGAAAATTGGCTGAAGGACATGGAGGGGATGGATCCCCAGCTAAGTCTGTTCTGAAGGGATGTGCTGAGCATAGGGAAAAGCACCTTCTAGGATGAGAGAGGAAGGAGCAGAGGTGAAATGGGAAGAAGCCAGGTTCTCTGTATCTTTTAGGCAACATTTGCCCTAGTGGATATGATTAAAGATAAAGAATATCTGAAAGTCCTCTAAAGCGTTCTATTAATAAAGATAATAAGGATAAAGATTTTCATCTCTCCTTATTATCTTAGTATGTATTTAGTAATATGTATACATATGTATGATATTTTTGTATATACATTATGTATTGTATATCTGCATGTATTTCTGTAGGTATCTATTTGCATATATGCATACACTTATATATGTATTTGTGTATATGCATGTGCGTATCTGTATATATGTGTGTGTATGTATATATGTATTTGCGCATGTATGTATTTGCATGCATGCACACATGTATATGTGTACATATGTAAGCATGTGTATGTGTTTGTATATCTGTATGTGCAAATGTATCTGGACACTAGTTCTGGGTCTCATTTCTTAGCACTGGACTAGTGTTGTGAGTGGTGAAATTATTTGACACTGAAGTGATACCATATTGGAGAAATACTCTCTTTAGATGGACTTCATTTGCCTACATACATTTTTCCTTTGAGGTTAATCCAAGATTTTTTTTATAGTTTTGAAGGACTAAAATTGCAATGTGTTAAATTAGAAAAACGTGAACACAAAGCTAGATGCTGCATTTAATATACGATGTTAATACTTCCTTCTCTGAAGAATTAAGAAGAAAAGAAAATCATATCAAGAAGGGGCAAAAATGATCATACCCAGCTTTGTGAAGCTTCTTTCACTTACCACGTTTCGCTTTTTTGTGTGTTGTAAATAAAAGACACACTGGTCAGATGAAGATTCTTGTTTAATGAGATACTGGTGGCATCAGAATTGCAAAAGTGCACACATTTAGAATAAAAACTCCTGAAGGACTGGAGTATCTTTGTCAGGCTTATGGTGGGAGAGCAGAGCTTTCTCTAAGTGCATTGTCTATTTTGTTTGTGTTGTTTTTTCCTCCTCCAAATACAATTAGATACTAGACCTTTTAGAAGCATCTACTGCATATGTGCTGCCTTGAAGAGAAACTATAAACAATAGAGCCTGCGACAGCCTAATAGATAGATTTCCAATATCCTTAGGTCTGCAGACATCCACTAAAGGCCGCCCAAAGTGGCATAGGCTCCAGCATATTTATAAATGGTACTCCTACCTGTCCTAGTTTTCCTGCATAGTACTCATTAAGAGAAGGCAGGCATCCACCTGCAATGAACACATCCCAACACCTGGCCATGTCTTTGTGTCTGAATAATCTGATTAATCAAAGAAAAGAACAAGGTTGTTGATTTAAGCCATTGCAAAAGAAATGATTAACTGTATGCAGGGCCCATTGCTACACATCCCCTAGGCTCATAGAAGAGCATGGTATACCTAGAGAAGTCCTTACTGGTTCCCAGCACTCTCCGTTTACCATCCAGATCCTTTATTCCATCCCAGATCCAGGGATTCTGGACACTTATCCCTTCATCTTTCTTCTGTCTCTTCCCTCTACCAGCCTCTCTCTCTCTGTCTCTCTCTAGGTGATTCCATCTCTCATGGCAAGAGCAGGCACCAAAACACTCCACCGTGTGACTTTTCTTAATCCAACTTCTTCCTTCCAGTAACAGCCAGGTAGTGGCCAGTCTACAGCCTTGGGGAATGATTCCATTCACAGACACAAACCCTGTTTCTGCCTCATCCTCACTGTTGATGTTACTTCTCTAATCGCACTTTCTGATGGGTGGGCAAGAATCACAGCTGACCTTATAGGACAATTGTAAGGATTAAATGATCATTTTTCATAAAATGTAAGATGTCATTGGATATAAAATGTCCCATTATTTTATCTGCCATCAGAGAAGAAGAAATGCTGCCTGATACCTAGGATAAGCCTTTCATTTTCATATTTCAGAGCTGATAAAATGTGACAAGTGGTGTATCTTGTAATCAACAAAATAGAATTTAAGAGGATATTGCATGAAAGTGCTTAAGGTAACCTGGTTTATTTGGTGGATAAGCTATTTATGAAAGTGGTTAAAAGATGGCAATATAGGGAGTTAAGTGATGTACCAAATTCTGCGTGGTTATATGTGAGGGAAATTTAAGGAAGGGTTTTGTATTGGATTGTAATGGGATTAAAACTGACAGAAAAAGTAGGCTATTGATTGAAGATGATGCTGGCTTCCTAAGTGAATGATCTCCACACTGTGTTGTGATAGCAGCAAGGACTTCTTTAAGATTTTTTTATTTTTTATTTCTTATTTTATTTTATTTTTTTGAGATGGAGTCTCACTCTGTCACCTCGGCTGGAGTGCAGTCGCGTGATCCCGGCTCACTGCAACCTCCGCTTCCCGGGTTCAAGCAATTCTCCTGCCTCACCCTCTTGAGTAGCTGGGACTACAGGCGCCCACCATCACGCCTGGCTATTTTTTTTTCTTTGTTTTTTTTTTGGATTTTTGTATGGTCTCGATCTCCTGAACTCATGACCCACCCACCTTGGCCTCTCAAAGTGCTTGGATTACAGGGGTGAGCCACCATGCCCGAACCAAGATTTTTTTTTTTTTAAGCATGATCATGATCATACAATTCTTGTTCCACTTAGTTGTTCCATTTGTTTTTCATAATTATCAAATAATTATAGCATATAAGACTTGAAAACATTGAAGGTGGGTTTGATAATCCAATTCTCGAGAGGCCTAGTTCTGGCCATCTTCCTAATTTTTGAAAACCACGAAAGGACCATGGATGCCTTTGCTTACTCCAGATGTGAAATTCACCTGACCATTCTTAAAGATTTTCTCAGTTTCAACACTTTACCACTCCCAAATTTTCAAAAGAGGTTAAGTATGATGGATTCTCTGTATTAACAATGTAATATTTTTATGAGCTATAAGGATCACAAATTAGAATCAATTTTGGGCCTTTATTTTCTAATACTTTGGTTGAGAAATAGGCATCTTGCAAAGTATTCATCTGTTATAGAAAGGCATCAGGATTCCTGAAATACTTTGCTGAAAATGTCAGTATGCATTCAACTTTGTTAGTTTTCTTTTTCAGTGTTCTAATGTATTTTGGATCCTTTTTTGTACTCTAGTTACTTGAAAATAGATGCATATTTTAGAGTTATAATATGAAATATAACCTGGTGGGACCTCCCTTCATTTCTGGAACTGTTATCCCATGACCAAAATCCAAAGGAATGGTCCTCATGTGTTATTGGTATATTCCGTATTGAAATGAAATAATCAATACTACAGTACTAACACAGTAGTACCTTTTGTTTGGGGGTAATTTGCTTAGAATTATGTGTTTCTCGTAAGTTATTTAAAAATGAGCTTGGTAGCCTGCCATTTGCCTGATGGGAATATCCCAACTTTCCTGGAGCTACAGAAAAAAACACCCCACACATTGGCAAACACCAATCTAAAGTTCAGGTCTTTTTATAGTAACATAGAAGCAGGCATATGAAATGATTATGCCACATATCTGCCAGATTTTGACGTTTAAAATATTCTCTGTTATAAAGCCACTGAAGCAGATCCCAAGCCTTGTGGCTGGCCAGAGTTTCTGCAATAACAATCTATACATGCTAACTAAGGCAGCTGCCTACCTTGGCCGGCAGGTAGGCAGGCAGGTAAGTAGGTAGGTGAGATCTGCTAGTTATAAAGAGGAGGAGCCAGGCTGCAGGGAAGGAGAGACATGTCAGTCAAGGCCAGGAAGTCTCTCCCAGAGCTGGAGTTAAAGAACTCATGTGGTCCTGATTAGCAGCCTGTGTTCAGCACTCTTTTTCTGGTTTTAATCCTACTGGGCTAGATCCTCTCTCCCCTTTGAAGTCACAGGGCTGCCAGGCAGGGAGGGCCCTATGCAGCAGCGTGTGTCCATTCAAGCTTTAACCGAAGGGATGATGAAACCTGCCAACAGCCAAGTCAAGTGGGAGGACAAAGATGTGGCAGGGCTGTGCCTTGGTTTGCTTCTGAAGAGCAGCACTTAACTTTAGTGACCGCTGTTGTGGGAATGGGTCTGTGAAAACCCCTCAGCTTCTTCTTACTCCCAAAATGTGTATGTGAGAGAGATTTTCTTTATTCATTTGTTTCCTTTTCCTGAGCTGTACTTCATCCTAGGTGTTCAGCAGCCTTTGTTGAGTGACAATCAACAAAGTCTTTGGGGCATAGTTTGGGTTGCTCTGTCTTTTCAAAATGTGGACTGTATTTCACCTCTTTTGAAGTGTTTATCCTGAAGCTTCCTTATTTTCAGAATTTTTCCCTTCTAATGAACAAAAGCAACTGAGGGGTTGCTTTCAATATTCTGAATTATATTCCCTTCCTCATTTTTGTGCAATATTAGCTGTGAGAAGAATTTTAAGATGCAAAAAAAGGAGGCATGCCTCCCCCATCTCTAGCATTTCTGAGGGTTTTTTCCTTCCTAAATCGATCTCAATTAACTTTGATTTCTTTCTTTAGAAAACCATGTGCTGAAATAATGCTTTGCCAGATGTGAGAATGGATTCCTTCCCCTACAAACACACACTTAAGCTTCATTTTAGTTCTAATATTTTGGTCTTTTTTTTATTATTCAAACTTACACTACATTTTTGTGGCTATTGGCTTTGTTTGCAGAAGTAAGCTTACTTTATCTTGGAGAAATACTAATACTTTAAAGTTATTGCTTGTTTGTTATTGTTGCAGCCATTTCCTTTTTAGTTTGTAATTTTAAATTTAGCCTGTTTCTTATATATATAACCTGTTTTCGCCAATTTCTGATATAAATCACACATTTGTTCATGTTTCTCATCATGGGTGAGCCAAAGCTAACATTACATAGTGTGTTATTCCCCTGCGAGCCTTGGTCGAGTCTCAGGCCCAGGAAGGAGAGAGGCAGCAGCCATCAGCTCTGTTTCCTGTTCTGAGCCTGTAAAACACACTAGCCAGTGCCACCATGGGAAGGGAGTATCTGTTTTGCAAAAATTTTTTAATAAGGTCTAATTTTTGTCTTAATTAGCATGACTAAGTCTATGGTGCTGATTTTACTTTGAAACCCACATCTATGTGTTTAGATTCCTTGTTTTGGCCACTCAATTGTGACTGGAAGAGAAAGCCATGAATTTCAGGTTCCCTAACATCTAGGATGCCGTTTCTGTACTGTCAACTTCTGTGTCACTGCCTCGTATCATTTTTGGTTGTTGATGAGTTTGATTTTGCTGTCTATTCAAGATGACTTTTTTCCCTTGTGCCTGATTCTGGTTCTCTGTCTGGCCTACCTGACTCTTTGGTACATTTTGCATTACTGTTTGGACAGCAGGCTTAGTCTTTCCCAGGGTGTCACAGGGCTGTAATTCTACAGATACTTATGGAGTCCAGGATGGGGGCTTTTGCTTTAGCACAGACACCTGACCACCACTTTGAGAGACAGAGGTTTGAGTTTGTTTTGATTCTTCCTCCTTGCTGATTCTCAGTGCCGTGTGTCTGGCAAAGAAGTTTGTGCACTTGGGAAGCTAAGGAAAAAACTTGGTCCTGGGACAGGTGGAGGATCGAGCGACAGAGTAGATGTGGAGTTGGGGGTGATTGTTTCCTAAAAATTCTGATCCTTCTGGGTGGAGAGGAAGCTCTCCATCTCAGAAGGGCTGCTTCTAGGGTGTGATTACTGATGGGAAGCACCCTTATTTATGTAAAGGTCATCTCAGAGAAGGGGAAGAGGGTGCTAATTTAAACACATGTCCCAAAGGAAAAAAATGTCACAAAGGGCATCATAGGGCTGTGGGGGCAAGGAGAAGGCAGATGGTAATACACAAGTCATTCCCATCACTAATCCCCTGGTTGATCATGGCCAGCTCATTCAAGATTAGCTCTAGACCTTTCTGGGTCTCAGATTTCTCATTTGGAGATGACAAGTTTGGACTGGAAGGGTCTGCGCAGCCCACACTCCCCTGCCTCCCCTGCTCTGCCTCCAAAGTTCTTTTCTTTTTCTTTTTTTTTAAATAAAAATGTGTGGCCCAACTAGCCTTTGCTTCTCACTAGTTGATGTCAATACTGAGGATGCCAAAGGACTAATATAAAAATGAGCATTCATGTGGAATTCTTTTTGTCTGTTATAAGAACCAAAATTGGATTGTATCACAACAGCTCTGTGTCATTGCAGCACAAGCCATCATTTAAGTCGTTGAAATTTCCCAAACTTGCCGTTGCTCATTGGCTGTAGAATATAAACATAGCCATTGGCTAACCACTTGTTTGACTTAAAACCACGAAAAATGATTGATCCAACAATGACAAATTGCTATTTCTTCTCACCAAATCATGCAAAAGAGCGAAGATATTAATTGAAAGTAAGGGGAAAAAAGAGCTTGTCAGTGATCCAGATATTTTAAACATCCTGCTGTTTGGAAGCATCTGGATACTTCACAGCTTTTTTTTTTTTTTTTTTTTTTTTTTTGGTTCATTTATCATCCAGATGCTCACCATCATGGAAGCACCACTTGAAACTGTACTTCGGCTAATAACTTAGAGTGGAAACGTTTGTATCTTTGGTTGGTTGCCCTTTGGTGCTCCATTGATCCCTCTGTCTTCCTCTAAGTCCCTCTTCCGCAAAATCCCCAGGAATGTGGCAATTTTGCCAGATGCTTAGGTGTTGGCCTTCAGATTTCTTTTTTTTAATCCTCATGACCGCTCTGTACCCTGTCTGCTTGAATTATAGATTGCATTTGTCAAATAGTGACACATGCAATTGGATGTCTTCTAAGACCTTTGAAATTCAACTTCCTTAAGTTGAGATTAAAGTGGATATTCTGCTGCCCTGCCACAGTCAAGCCTGGGATGCTTCGAGACCTGCATAAAAGTTTTTCTAGGCTGGCATTTCTAACTCTTACTGTCCCGAGGAAAGAAAAACAAGCTACTTTTTTCTTCTGAAAGGTAGAAATGGAGACCATAAAAACGATCTAAAATGTGGTCCCAGTTAGAAAGGACTCTGAAATCAACAACTTTTTGAAACATGACTGTCTGTTGGAGTGTCTTGAATTATGTGTTTCTTTGGGCATTCAGGAAGCCTTATCAGTTGTGAGTGAGGACCAGTCGTTGTTTGAGTGTGCCTACGGAACGCCACACCTGGCTAAGACAGAGATGACCGCGTCCTCCTCCAGCGACTATGGACAGACTTCCAAGATGAGCCCACGCGTCCCTCAGCAGGATTGGCTGTCTCAACCCCCAGCCAGGGTCACCATCAAAATGGAATGTAACCCTAGCCAGGTGAATGGCTCAAGGTAAGGAGACTTCCGCCCCTTTCTCTCCCTGACCTCCCATTTTCCTATCCTTTGCAAAGGCAAAGTGGAAGTCAGTCATGCTTCTCTAAAGATTGACTTAGAAAGCAAGGCCACTGTGCCTGTAATCCCAGCTACTCGGGAGCCTGAGGCAGGAGAATCACTTGAATCCAGGAGGCAGAGGTTGCAGTGAGCCGGGATCATGCCACTGCACTCCAGCCTGGGCGACAGAGCAAGACTCTGGCTAACAAAAAAAAAAAAAAAAAAAGAAGAAGAAAGAAAGAAAGAAAGGCCATTGAACGGTGACGTTGGACAGCGCTGGGAAAATGTGTTCTCCAGTGGTTTGTGTAGAGGATGGAGTTTGTAAAATTAGTAGTATATTTACCAAGAACTCTCTTTGAAGATGTGTTCAATTCTATTTCCCAGGCACGAGGGCTCTGTGGGAGGGGAGCCTTGCCCACATATGGCAGAATTCATCTGAGGTTTGATTGCCTGGAAAATAATGCCGTCTTATGTTTTCACAAAGGGAGAGTGTCAGCTAGTGGCCAGGCAGTGCGGCGTATGTCCAAGCCACTTGAATTTGCTAGTGGATCTCCATTGTCTGCCCTCCACCCTCACCCCACCCTCTGATCTCTGCGGTCCTCTTCTCTTAATGCCTGCTGTTTGTTTTTTTTTTTTTTCCTCCTCTTAGCTTACACATAAAGCCCTCTCCAGTGTCTCCCATAATTATTAGCTTCCCTGAGTTTGTCATGAACATACAACTGTCACGTAAAATGTATTACCAAATGCAGAACTGTCCCTGGCCCTCAAAAAGTGTTGAATTCTGTGTAGTTTTGAAAAGTAAAATTAATTTCAATTATGATCTAATACCCCATATATATTCAGGAAAAAGAATATCAAATCTTAGGATAAAGAACAGATTATTTCTTCGAAATGTTGCATAATCTACCATCAGGTCATAAGAACAGCTCACATTTTCGGAAACTTTACTGTGTACAAAGCCCTTTTATATCCAGTAGCCCCTCAGTCCTCCGAGCAGCCCCTCATGAAGTATACTTGACCCCATTTGATGGATGAAGAAACCTGTGATCAGGCATTTCCAGTCTGACCCCAAATCACCACTTAAATGGAATCAGAGTTTGGATTTAAACCAGGAGTGTTTGACTCCACACCCTGAGCATTTTCCACTCTGTTGAAGCTGTAATGGGGCCTTTTTGTTACATATATGTTTTAACGCTAAAAAGGTTTATTATAAGTGTCATAGTTTATAAGTCTGGAAACGGTTGCGTCAATTCCTAGTGTGGTGTTAATGAAGGTGCCAAGTCACAGTGTCCTAGAGGGAATGTCAACGGCAAGGCTGGACGTGCCAGATGGGGAGATGGGAGATGCCAGAACACTCCTCCACTCTGAGAAGTCAGTTTGCGTCTGTGCATCTGCTTCTTGAAAGTGCACTGGCTCTGATGCTACATATTGCCACCGCACTGGTCCTTTAAGTGGAACTCGAGGCAGGCCCATCTTGAATCTCATCAGGAGATTCATTCCTGGAGTTACAGAAGGACCTGGGTAGAAAATGCAATGATGGGTCCAGGACACCAAAGTTGTGGGAAATTAATGATTACATGTAAATATTTTTGAATCTCATCAAGAGATTCATTCCTGGAGTTACAGAAGGACCTGGATAGAAAATGCAATGATGGGTCCAGGACACCAAAGTTGTGGGAAATTAATGATTACATGTAAATATTTTTTACCCATAAATCCTATGCATTTGATACAATGTTTCTGTTGATCATTAACTATATATATTTCTGAAACACAGAAGAATGCAGGGTAATCATGTTCTAAAGAATGCAGCAGTGTTTATGCAGTAGATCAGTTGGTGGAACACAGCCTGGAAACACTGAATGAATTCTGTTTTGGGTGGGGTCATATGATCCCATATATGCCAGCGTGATCACGGCGGAGACACTAAGACCGGGACACATTTCTAAAGCTTTTCTTCTGCAGAGGCTAATTTCTACCTATGAGCAATTCACCTGCAGGGAGGAGGGGGATGTTGGAAGGTGGGGAGAGAGGAAGGAAACATCTCAGACAAAAGGGCACTGAGATGATTTCCGATGGACAACAGGCAGAGTGAGCCATGTCCTGGCCCTTGTTTGAGAGTCTGGCCTGGGGCCAGTCTGGATTCAGCAAGCCTCCGAAGGGAGACTGAGTGAGGAGGCGAGAACAGTGCTCCAGAAATGAAAGTTTCTATTGTTCTCACTGTGTTACTCCCGAATTTAAAATAAAATAAGCATTCTGGCCGGGCGCAGTGGCTCACGCCTGTAATCCCAGCACTCTGGGAGGCCAAGGCGGGTGGATCACGAGGTCAAGAGATCGAGACCATCCTGGCTAACATGGTGAAACCCTGTCTCTACTAAAAATACAAAAAATTAGCCGGGCGTGGTGGTGGGCACCTGTAGTCCCAGCTACTCGGGAGGCTGAGGCAGGAGAATGGCATGAACCCGGGAGGCGGAGCTTGCAGTGAGCCGAGATCGCGCCACTGCACTCCAGCCTGGGCGACAGAGAGAAACTCCATCTCAAAAAAATAAAAATAAAAAATAAAAAAATAAGCATTCTGTTTGTGGGAGAAGTGCAAACACTGTTTTCCTTAGTGTGAGCCTGTGATGCCCCTTGGTAGCTGATGTCTCCTCTCCCTCCTGGCCAGGCATGGGGAAGCTTTTCCAGCCTGTGTTGTGACCCCAGGGGTACAGGTTGGGAGTTTGGGGTAACCCTGAGCCCCAGGCAAGGGGCTACAGTCTATAAGAAAGAAAGACACCAGGAGCTTCAGTCCATAAGAAAGACACCAGGGCAGTTCCGCCCCAGGGCCCTCAGCGCAGCAGACTGGGGAAAGCTCTTGGGTGGTTTTTCTGTCAGGCAAGTGAAAGGCTGGTGCTGCGCTGAGGGTCTCTTTCCGGGAAACATCTTTTTCAGGGGAACTGGACATTTTCTTTCTTTTTTATTTTTCTTTTAGATGGAGTTTTGCTCTTTTTTACCCAGGCTGCAGGGAAGTGGCACGATCTCAGCTTACTGCAACCTCCACCCCCCGGGGTTCAAGCGACTCCCCTGCCTCAGCCTCCTGAGTAGCTGGGATTACAGGCATCCGCCACCATGCCTGGCTAAATTTTGTATTTTTAGTAGAGATGGGGTTTCACCATGTTGGCCAGGCTGGTCTCGAACTCAATCCACCCATCTTGGCCTCTCAGATTGCTGGGATTACAGGTGTTAGCCACCGCGCCCGGCCTTGACATTTTCTTTCAAGGAAACAATGGGAACTTTAAGAGTTCCTCTCTCAGGGCTCATAGAATTCTAACATTGCCCAGATTGCTGCCGTCATAAACTTTCAATGCTGTTCCAGCTCCTAAAGCATCGGTGATGTGTTTTGGTGGGTGGATACCGAGTGAAGACCATCATGTCATCCTCTTCATCCTCCGGGTCCTCCGGTGGGTTCGGTGATGTCGGTTTGGCAGGTGCTGTTCATGAAGGGAACAAGGTGGACCTCATCTGCCTTCAATCCAGGCCTACGTGCCTCCTTTGAGGAAAAGGGCAGCTGGGTTGTAATAGGCAGGGGAGGAACACTGGCTGCAGAGGCTGCCTCCGCTTTGAGGCATCTAGCAATGTACAGATGTCAACCAGTCACCAAGTGTCATCGTCCCCTACCCACAAGGATGTTCCAGGGGGAGGGAGAGGAGTGGCTGACACTAATCCCCTTTGTAGAAGAGAAAGATACAGAGCTCATGCCCGTCTCCCCCAGAGCTCAGTGTGTCTCCTGGCATTGTGTCTGGGTGCTGGCCTGGTGTATCAGTTGGGATTCTCTAGAGAAATAGAACTTATAGGATATTTTTACATTTTAAGATATTTATTTGAAGGAATTGGCTAATGCAGTTGTGGGAGTGGGCAGGTCTGAGATCTGCAGGGGAGGCTGGCAGGCTGGAAAGTAGGCAGAATTTCTTCTGCTCTGGAAACCGCAGGCTTTGTTCTTAAGGCCTTCAACTGATTAGACAAGGCCCACTCACATTATCTGACATCATCTCCTTTAGTCAAGTTCAACTGACTAGCTACCTGTGCAAATGCCTTCCCAGTACAACCTCAGTTAGCATTTGATTAAGTCACTGGGTGCTACGGCCTGGCCAAGTTGACACAGGAAACTGACCCCCACACCTGACTTCCAGGGATGCTGCACTCATCAGTGACTGGTGACCCATTGTACTTTTTAGATCTCCAAACCAGTGTGCTCTGGGGGGCCAGTTCACCGCTGCTGCTGGAGCTCAGCCTGACTGGACAGCGGGTGGTAAAGGGGGTGGCGTGTCAGGTCAGAGGTTCACTAGGGGGCTGCTCAAGCTCAGTGATCTGAAAGAATTGAAACATAAGTGGTGAGTCAGTGTTCTGCTATTAACAATCCAACGGGCTTCCTGAAGGGGAATGGGGGAAAAGAAAGCTGAACAGTTATCAGTGGAGCTAAGACTCATCTCAGCCAGAGGTTGGAGGCAGCCTTGGGGCAGACAAAGGACTGCCTGGGATCCCATCCGCAGGCTTTGCTGACTCACTGTGGGCTTTTTTTTTTTTTTTTTTTTTTTTTTGAGACAGTTTTGCTCTTGTCACCCAGGCTGGAATGCAATGGCACAATCTCGGCTCACTGCAACCTCTGCCTCCCGAGTTCAAGCGATTCTCCTGCCTCAGCCTCCCGAGTGGCTAGTTTTCATATTTTTAGCGGAGATGGGGCTTCACCATGTTGTCCAGGCTGGTCTCGAACTCCTTACCTCAGGTGATCCACCCGCCTCAGCCTCCCAAAGTGCTGGGATTACAAGCGTGAGCCACCATGCCCGGCCTCACTATGGGCTCTTTACGAATGTCAGGTGCAGCTCCATAAAAGGGAACATGGGCGTGATTCACTCTGCTTTATTTTGGACACCGTGAACCAGCACCGGGCTGTGTCAGCCCAGCTCGAGGGGCCAGGGCAGAGGCAGGGTTCACGGAGACGCAGATTCTGCCACGGAGGGGCTCACAGATGAGATGCTGCAGAGCAGTGTGTGGCTGCCTGCCTCTGGAGGAGCCCCGCCAGGAGTGCAGCTCCTCAACGCTCCACTACCTGCACCTGCATCCTTCCAGACTCGGAAGCCCCAGGCCAGCTGTGCCAGGGAGTTAGCCCATCTCCTGGCCCCTGGCCCAATAGCTTCTTCTAATTGTCCCTCCTCTTAGCTTATGCATAATGGGCTTTCCTGTAGTGCACATGCCACTTGAAGTCAAGTCCAAGGGGAAGTTACGTAAGTCAAATATTACTCTTTGGCTAGAACTTGTGGGCTGTTACCTTTGTGGCCCCTGACTATCTTGCAGACACCTCCACGGGAGAAGTGCACTCTCTGCAGCTTAGGTCTTTCCAGAACATGGCCCACCTCCTTCTGCCTAGAATACCCAGCTTGGGAATAGTGCCCTCTGTCCATCCCTATCCATCCAGTACCCACGGAGAAAAAGGCCATGTGCTTTGAGAGAAAGGAAGGACTTAGTTCCCAACCGAATAGTGGAATTCTACAAAACCTCAGTCCTAACGTGCTTACAAGCTCCTGAAATGAAATACAAGTGGTGAAACGAGATCTGTTGCCATTATAATAGAGTTTCTGTAAAGCATAATAAAAGAAAAACAGGAGAGAAAGGAACCACTGCTTTGCGAGCCAACTGGGATGTCCTTGTGGGTTTGGCTTGGCCACTGCCAGATCAAACAGCAGCATTCTTGCAGACAGTAATCTAATTGCACGTTGTGTAGACACAGGACATCATTTTTCAGCTTCGGTGGTCCACAGCCACCCTCTCCCTTTCTTCACTCTAGCCTCACGCACCAGAAAGCCCCAAGTGTTCACACAATGGAGAACTGTCAGTGTGTGGCCAAACTAAAACCAGCTGTTTTCCTGTGCCATCCACACCAAGGGCCTGGCTGGGAGTTTCAGCGCCTGCTCAGCCTCTCGTGAGCTCCCTACCAATGCCCTGAATTTGCTGTGAGGTCCCCAAAGCTCAAGTCATGATAGACTAGCAGGATAAGCCAAGAGGTAACACCTGCTCACTCATGGTCCACAAGCAAACTGTCTTCTCGTGAGCAGGCTGGCAGGTCTGTGCAGAGCAGGCTGCTTTTCCTCCATCTGAGCATCCCCAGCTCAGGCCAGCCAGATCACAGGCAGCTTACACTAAGTGGCACCTTCCCCTTTCCACAGGCGATGGCGATTTCGTGAAGCCCACCTGGAGGCTCACTGCAGGTGGAACTCAGTCAATTTATGTGCCATGCTGTGAGTCCCCCCTCAGCCCAGTCTGCAGGCCACCTGGAGCCATTGCCATGTTTGATTCTGTTGAGTGAGGGTTCCCCCGGTGTGGTGATTCTCAGCGTGGGCTCCGGGACCAGCAGCATCACCTCCACCTGGGAGCTTGTTTGAGATGCGGCTTCTTAGGCCCTGCCCTAGAATCGGAAGAGACCTGGGTGGCAGCCCAGCACGCTGTGTTTGAAGGAGCCCTCTGCGGGATTCCGATGCCTGGTAGTCTGAGAACCACTGCTCTGTTGCACGATCCAAGGAGATGAAAAATGAGAAAGCCCAGCAGCTGGGTAAAGGTGACCCACCCAGCGAATGATCTGGGAGGATCTACGCGGAGGTGGGGTTGTTCCCCAGAAGTCCTTGCCTGAGTTGAGAAATACCTCCTTCCCTCCCGCCACATTGGCGCTTTGCCCAGCTGGGCCTGTGCAGCGAGAGACAATGCTATCTGGGCCTTGCCTCTCTCTGGGATAGATTCATTGCATGCCATGAATAACTCCAGCCTCGGGTCAGATAGCAGGATGTTTTATAGATGTTATTTAAAAAACATGCCATTTGTCATGTGATGGAGATGAGAAAAAGTAGGGAGTATCTGCTGGGTCCATCAGGGCCTTAGACATACTGTTTATGCGTGGAGTCATTCATTCATTCAATGAATATTTATTGAGCACCTACTTTCCTAGTCTCTTGGGATAGAGTGATAAAATATACAAAAAAGTTTTGCCTCACTAAGTTCACTTTCTAGCAGTGAAGATGGTCATGACATCAGACCACTTATGAAAACACAGCAGGTTAGATCATGGTAAATGCTAAGGAGAAAAATAAAGACGTGAAGCGGATGGCAGCTCTAAAGAAGGTGGCTGGAGAAGATCACAAAAAAGTGATGTTTGAGTAAAGCTGCAAAGGCAGTTGAGGGAGAATGCCCGTGATTAAACAGCAGAAAATATTCCAAGAGGAGGGAATGCTAAATGCAAAGGCCCTGAGGTCAGCTTGAGGTGTTCGAGGACAACAAGCAGGCCATCGTGGCTGCTGTTTAGTGTCCAAGAAGAAGAGTAATAGATGATGAGTTTGGAGAGCCCGTGGGGCCATTGCCGGACTTTGACTTTCACTTTCTGGTGAGTTCAGAAATCATTAGGGGACTTGAGGCAAAGGAGGGATATAGTGTTACTTAGATTTTGCAGGGCCTCTCTGGCTCCTGTGTTGAAGTCTTCCTGAGAAAATGTGGGTGTAGGATGGGAGACATCTGCGTGAGAGTGGGTGAGAGTGGTAGCAAGGGAGGGTGGGAGAGGCAGTCGCATCCTGGGTATAGTTGGAAGGTGGAATTAACGTGCTTTGCTGATGGGTTGGACATATGGCATGAGGAAAAGAGGAAGCGAGGATGGGCCAAGGCTTGGGGAATGTACCCCAAACAAGGTACGGACAAACCATAACTAGGAATCCTCATGAGCATAGAGGCCCCTTTAAGGGCCCCTTTTAAGCATCACCCCAGACACTGGGGACAGGAACTTCTCTCTAATAAACACCAGGTAAAACAAGAGGCTCTTGCCTCCTTGCCTGAGCTCAGTGGATCTTAATTCATTAGCCCAGTGGTTCTCAACCATCGTGATGTGGCCCCCAGAGGCATTTGCCAATGCTCGTGTTTCTGCTGGTCACAGCTGGGAGGTGTTACTGGTGTCTGGTGGGTAGAGGCCGGGGACATCCTGCAGTACACAGGGCAGCGCCCCTGCAGCCCCCACCCCCACCTGTCCAAAGAGTGACCTGGCTCCGAGTGGCACTAGTGTCGAAGTTGACAAATGCTGCAGGAAACCAACGTGTATTTAGTGTTTAATCTGCATCATGGACTGTGTTAGCTTCGATGGAGATGGATTAAGAATTAAGTGAAGCTGGCCGGGTGCAGGTGGCTCACACTTGTAATCCCAGCACTTTGGGAGGCTGAGGTGGGCAGATCACTTGAGGTCAGGAGTTCAAGACCAGCCTGGCCAACATGGTGAAACCCCCATCTCTACAAAAAATACAGAAGTTAGCTGGGCATGGTGGCAGGTGCCTGTAGTCCCAGCTACTCAGGAGGCTGAGACAGGAGAATCACTTGAACCTGGGAGGCAGAGGTTGCAATGAGCTGAGATCACGGCACTGCACTCCAGTGACAGAGCAAGACTCTGTCTCAAAAAAAAAAAAGAGAGAAAGAAAAAAAAAAGGAACTAAGAGGAGCTCATGGTCTACCAAAGGTGAAAAAGATTCTGTGAGATCATAAGACACATTCAGTACAGAGCGATGTTCAGGGCCCAGCAATAACAGATATGAGGGTACCATCAACTCTACCTGGGCAGGAGAAAAAGACCCTGAAAGGGATAATATTAACCCATATTTCTAAAACCCACATGATTTATTAATAGATTTTGGTATACAACATATTGTCCAGTTTTCTCAAACATCTATGAGATGACATTATTATGATTATTCACATTTACGGATGACCACTGAGTTTCCAAAAGTTTTCGTCACTTGCTCAAGTGAAAGTTAGTGAAAGTGAAAGTTGGCCATTTGACCACAGGCCTGGACTCTTCTTCACTCCCTCAGGGCTTCTTAGAAGAAGCTGAACGTCTTTCCTGCATTGAGAGGGATAGCAAGGTTCTCTCCACGTGTCAGACAAGCAGTGACAAGATGCACCAAATCCAAGTGCCAACTGCATTTTGATTTTTTGTATATGTTACACATTTTAGAAACATTTATTACTATCTTACTTTATCACATCAGGTCAGTTCACCTGCACTCACCTTTACATTAACCTCACCAGGTGTTTCCAAAACAATCACATTTTAAAAATAATAGGTGGGTCAGGAGTTCGAGACCAGCCTGGCCAACATGGTGAAACCCCATCTCTACTAAAAATATATATTAAAAAAAAAATTAGCCAGGTGCCTATAATCCCGGAGGCTGAGGCGGGAGAATCGCTTGAACCCAGTGGGGGCGGAGGTTGCAGTGAGCTGAGATCGCGCCATTGCACTCCAGCCTAGGCAACAAGAGCAAAACTCCGTCTCAAAAAAAAAAAAAAAAGAAAAAAAGAAAGTAAAATTGTTTTGGTTACCAGGATTCACCTGGCCTGTTATAAAAACATGAAGCACCATACTGGCTATTGGGCTCAATCCTTTCTTCTCTGAAAAAGGAGTCTTTCAGACAAATTAAAAGACGTGCACAAGATAGAAAAGATGTCACATCTGATCTTTGTCATGTAACTGCTTGTAGAGATCTTATGCTACAGAACATTTTGTTTTCAAATGATGAATCCCAAAATGGTGCATTTCCCTCCAGTTTTCAAGATCTAAAAGCAACACGGTCTTGCTGGCATTCGTTTTTGGCTGTAAAGAGAAATATAAACTTAAATAATGAAACTTTCTCAGGGAAACATCGAGCCCCTTTAAGGGGACAAAGAACTAACTGTTGGTGAGCTGGTGGTGACTTTTTAATTAATTTTGTCTTCAACTGCTTCAGGGAAGGGGGAGGGAACAGGACTGTTGGGAAGAGGCTGAAATTCCAGGTGTAAGAGAGAATATTTAGTAAGGGTAAAAATAACACACAGCTGTGAAGACAAACATCTACGGTTTCAGTTTGAGCCCGGAGTTCTACATGAATCACTGCTGAGCTCCACCCGCTGCTCCAGCCATGGGGTCTGAAACAGCTTTTCCACTGCCTCTGATTCAGAAATAAAACAGACCCACAAATTACCCTGCAGCGCTCCAGACAATCCCCTCCTTGTCTGGGGTCCTAAAAATACCTTTTGTGGTGACTGACCTCGATTCACACTATGAAACTTGATTAGGAGCTTGCTCAGTCGATTAGGACTAAGTATATGCTTTTAGGATCCTTATGAAGAAAACCACCTGAGAAGGGATTTATTTGTATTCAGACTTGAGACAGGCCTGGAATGCTTGTCCCGGGCCAGCCTCCTTGTGGGGGTTCTCTCGCAGAACTGACCCCTTTGCCCTCTTAGGGTAGAGCTGCCAAAGAAAGCCTTTCCATTTCTTCCATGTGGCTTCCTCACCAAGTTCTTCTTAATGTGAACTAACCTAATAAACCAAAAGGAACATTCAGAAAGACAGTGACATTCCAAAAAGCAGTTGCATGCTGAACACTGCACAATAGTAAACCTTAGCTTCCTGACCTACCTAAGAGTTCACCGAGGTACAGTTATGAACAGTTGCCAAGAACAAAAAGCCTCACATTTACACCCACATACACGCATGCACAGCCATGCACATGCAGTATGTTGCTGTGTTAATCTGTATAGTGCTTCACAGTTTGCAGACTTTCTTCACAGGCATCATCTCAGGGATGTCCTCACAGCAACCTCAAGAAAGCATCCATTCATTTTTATGAATGAAGGAGTTGAGCCTCGAAAGGTTAGGTGACCCATCTAAGGTCAACCAAGGTCAGCAATGGTTTTCTGACTGCAACACGAGGGGCTTTCTCTTGCACTGCAGGTATGAGATAAGGAACTCAATATTTAAATGGAAGATTCATTCATAAATGTACTCACTCATCCTGCAGACACTTACTGAGAAAATACAGAGAATGGTGCAATTGGAAGGGAGACATTCCTCTCTGGCGGCCCAGGAAAGGCTTGTAGAGAACCTAGAGGTGAGCATGGACAGGTGAATAGAGCAGGTACCAGGTGGTGAACAGGTGAATAGGGCAGGTATCAGGTGGTCATAGGCCTTGAAGGCAGAGGGAGTAGCAAAAGTGAAGGCCTGAAGGGAAGAGACTAGGGGGTGATGTGGAATGTGGTCTTTGAGCACAGAGCACATGGAGTTGGGGAGAGGGGCTTTGGCTACTCAAATGCCAGCCCCATGTTAATAGAGACACTGATATAACTCCAGTACCTGGGGCAGTGCTTGGCCTAGAAAGATGCTCCACAGATATTTGCTAAACAAATGAGTGAATTGAGGGGCTCCAGAGCCAGATCACTGAGGAGAATCTAGGGAGGGGCTCTGGGCCATGATGGGGGTTAGGTTGGACATGGGCAGCTTGCATTTCTGTTTGGGGGAGAGCACTCTGGTAGCAGGAGGGAGAAAGCTTTGGAAGAGTTCGGGGACATTTCACCAGCATGTGATGGAGAACAAGGGGTTGGAAAGTCGTGTCCAGGTGCAAGAGGAATTCAGAGGATTAGGAAGGAGGATGGCTCTAGAAGAATAGGTAGATTTTCGACAGGATTAGCGGGTTTGCCTCCACTGACTCAAAGAAGAAGACATATTGATTTCCGCAATTACATTCTGACTTGCCTTGGACTTTCTCCAAGGAGTGGGCCCCTGCTAAGTGTTCTGAAGTGAGGGTGAATCAGATTTAATGTGGCCAGCGAGCTTGGGGCTGCCCCTCTGGGATGTATTCAGTGCCGTTCTTGGATAAATGAGGCCCATTCACACTCACAAGGGCTGAGGCTCCATGCTTGTCAAGCTAATGGCCACGGCTGTGCCATTTCATTGCGGGTTCTTTCCATGACGGAAATTGCCTCGCTGTAAGTAGACTCTGATGTGAGAAAACCAAAGTCAGATGCCAAGTTTATTTTGTTTTTCAAAGACTAAAGACCAAATTTTACATTTCTCAGTATGTTTTTTCAGTAATATTAGTCCCCACCACCAACCCCGCTTTTTTTTTGTTTAAGGGGTATTATGTATGGACGACAGCTCAAGGAGGCTTTCATCTTGGACTTATTTTATTTAATCTTAAAAAATTAGATTGACTGCTTCCCCAGTGGTCCAGCTCCTGTCCTGGTCCTCACCTCCATCTTTTTGGGCCTGCAGTCAGAGTCAGATGCACTCCCACTCGGCTGTCTCGTCATGGGGACTTTTTGTCTGGTTTCCTTTTGCACTTAAGAATGTTTGCCCATCATCTGTGTAAAACATGCACCCTGCTGGGCACAGCAATGAAGTTTTGGGGAGAAGCATAGAACGCTTAACTGCAAATTGAGATGACTATTTCTTTTAGACCAAACTTATCAAAACCTATTTATATCTCTACATAAACATTGCCACCTTCCAAGTCTCCCACGGGGCCCTGCCTTGCTCCTTCGTGGCTGCCCTGCTCAGCTCACGTCTGTAACCCTCATCCATGACTGTCTTCAGGGCCACTCTGAAGATGTTCTTTTAGAATACTTAATAGTGATGAAATTAAGTTTTCTGAGGATCCATTCAATGGTGCTTTAGGTCTATGAAAGACTCCTCACACGGATTTACCAAGCAAGGGCATAGAGTGGGGCGGTGAAGTACTTGGAGTCGAGACCATGACTATCTAGGTTCAAATCCCAATTCTTCCACTACTGGCTGTGTGATCTTGGGCAAGTTATCCAACCTCTCTGTGCTTCATCTGTAACAAGGCTCCTGCTTTCGAGTATTTCTGTCATGGAGATGTGCAGATGAAATGAACTAACAGCAATAGCTGACACCTGGCGTGGTCATGTGCCAGGCACCATGTTAAATGCTTTATCCATATGTTTATTATAACATAAACACGTGGAAAGAGTCTGGAGCCATGCTCATCATTAGTCAACAGTGAAATACTGGTTGGAAGATTAACCAACTGAGGCCTGGAAAGAGTTGTTTACCCACAGTGCATTTGGTGCTCTTGGGAGACATAAACATGACCCTATTTAGTGTTGGTAAATTTGAATTTAAAATCTAGAAATTAGGGGTTTCAGTGCAGCAGCTCATGCCTGCAATCCCAGTTCTTGGGGAGGCTGAGGTGGGAGGATTGCTTGAGGACAGGAGTTAGAGGCCAGCCTGGGCAACATAGTGAGACCCCATCTATACAAATAATTAAAAAACAGCTGGGTGTGGTGGCACGTGCCTGTAGTCCCAACTACTTGGGAGGCTGAGGCAAGAGGATCGCTTGAGCCCAGGAGTTTGAGACTGCAGTGAGCTATAATCATACCTCTGTACTCCAGCCTGGGTGACAGAGCAAGACCCTGTCTCTTAAAAAACAATAAAATCAAATCAAATCTAGAAATTTGGGAGTTATGAAACTAGAGGCATGTATAACACTGCATCTCTCAAGGTTTTCTCCTTTTTTAATTACACGTTTTTTTCATGTTTTTGCATTGACTTCTCTGACAGGTCTGATCTTTCCAATGGCAGCCAGTAAGGAGGAGAGGCTGGGGACATGCCGTCTCTCATCCTCTGTGGCTGCAGCATGTGAGCACTGTGTGCAGGGAGCGTCCTGCTCTGCCACCAGCTACGCCTGGCACGGTGCGGGATGGTCTTAGATGTATTATGAGATGTTGGGAACGATATTGTTTACTGCATAATCCAGTTTTCTTCATGAGAAGCCCCGAGAAAAACTCTCAAAGCTTAACCCAGGGAGAGCTTTATTTCTGCTGAATAACTGGTTTGTATGTAGCTTATTAATACCTCAAACCTTGTCATCAGATGCACTTGTGTCTTTGCTTTGGCTAGTAGAAAGCTCAGAGTTGAATTGGTATCCTACCTCAGCAGGATAAATAGTAAGCTTACTCAGTGGGCTGCTTTCATCTCTTAATTCCTTTTTGGCCCTTGTTTCCTCATTTTTATTCTGTTAATTATTTATGTTATCATTTTGTCTTATATGTATTTTTATAAGCCACCCCAAACTTCACATAGCTTGCACACAGGTAGGGGAATAATGGCTATTTAAAACCACTATACATATTTATAAATAGAACTCTGGAGTTGCAGAGGAAAATTACGAAGCCCCTCCCTAAAAAACTGTTAACGAAGCTAAACTCTTGTTCATCCAAGTGGTTTCCAGACAGTCATGTCTGGGGGCTTGAAAATGGGGCTTCTTCCAGCCCTCTGATTCAGTAACCCTATGAGAACCCAACTGGGCTTAGCAACGTGTCTGCCTTCTCTCCTTAACTCAAATTTAACAAAATTTCCAATGTATTTGATATTCTTTGCCGTGTCCTTTTCTCATTAATTCAGAATACTAGTATGTTTTAAGAAGTCAGTGCTCATGATTTTAAATGATTAGAACTTAATTCTCCAACTGCTGTTTAAGGGAGATTATTGTTTGAAGCTCAACAAGCCAGTTTCATTGGGCACGTCTCCAGTTACTAGAAGAAGGACACCAGCATTCTGGTTTTTTTTATTTCCATCATGAATGTTTGGTTGTCTTCCTACACTATTTCTGTGTTCCTGTGAGTGACCACAGTTATGACCAAATGCCATGGAAAAGTGTGAGATTGCTGCAGAGGTTACACTCCTCAAGGAGTGTGGCCTGTAGTCCCAGCTATTCATAGGGAGGCTGAACCAAGGAGGATTGCTTGAGCTCAGGAGTTTGAGGCTGTGTGGCCCCAAGGGTGTTGCTAGGGAGTTGTGAGGTGTTATGGCTGGCTTTTTAATATCCCAGCCATTGGGCTATTGTTCAGTTCTTTCTCAGAATTCTGAACCAGCCCCCCACCTCTTGGGGCCCCCTGGCTAATGTGGAATTTCTGCTGCTGTGAGCAGAGGGAAGTATCTGTCTTCCCAGCTCCTGTTTACTCTTGTTGATGCCACATATTGCATAGGACTGTCAAGACTAATGTCTGTGGGTGACAAATAGAACCTGGAACTGAAAATGTAAATTTGAGAATAACAGTTCATGACCAAGAATCCAAAAGCAAATGCAACAAAAACAAAGATAAATAGATGGGACTTAGTTAAACCAAAAACTTTCTTCACAGCAAAAGAAATAATCAGCAAACAGACAACCCACAGAGTGGAAGAAAATATTTGCAAACTATGCATTTGACAAAGGACTAATATCCAGAATCGACAACTCAAACAAATCAGCAAGAAAAAAATAAATAATTTCATCAAAAAATGGGTTAAGGACATGAATAGACAATTCTCAAAAGAAGAAATACAAATGGCCAACAAACATGAAAAAACACTCAACATCACTTGTTATCAGGGAAATGCAAATCAAGACCACAGGGTGATACCATTTTACTCCTGCAAGAATGGCCATCATTAAAAATAAAAAAAAAATAGATGTTGGCATGGATATGGTGAAAAGGGAACACTTTTACACTGCCAATGGGAATGTAAACTAGTACAACCACTATGGAAAACAGCATGGAAACTAGTACAACCACTATGGAACTAGTACAACCACTGTGGAAAACAGTATGGAAAATTAGAAGTAAAACTACCATTTGATCCAGCAATCCCACCACTGGTTATCTACCCAGAGGAAATGAAAAAGACACTTGCGCATGCATGTTTATAGCAGCACAATTCGCAATTGCAAAAATGTGGAACCAGCCTAAATGCCCATCAACCAATGAGTGGATAAAGAAAATGTGGTGTGTGTGTGTGTGTGTATATATATATACACACATATATATAGACATATATGCACACACATATACATGTATACACACATATATACATATATACACATATATGTATATATGTACATGTGTATACATGTATATATACACATATGTATATATGTACATGTGTATACATGTACATATACACATATGTATATATGTACATGTGTATACATGTACATATACACATATGTATATATGTACATGTGCATACATGTATATACACATATGTATATATGTACATGTGCATACATGTATATACACATATGTGTATATGTACATGTGTACACGTGTATACATGTATACACACATGTTTATATGTGCGTATGTACATGTGTATATGTGTACATATATATGTATATGTGTACATATTATATATGTATATGTGTGCATATGTAGATATACATATATGTGTATATGTACATATATACATATGTATATGTGTGGGTATATGTGTATATATGCGTGTGTGTATATACACACACACACCATGGAATACTATGCACCCATGAAAAGGAAGAAAATGGCATTTGCAGCAACTTGGATGGAGTTGGAGACCATTATTCTAACCGAAGTAACTCAGGAATGGAAAACCAAATATTGTGTGTTCTCACTTATAACTAGAAGCTAAGCTATGAGGACACAAAAGCATAAGAATGATACAGTGGACTTTGGGGACTCTGGGGGAAGCATGGGAGTGGGTGAGGGAGAAAAGATTGCACACTGGGTACAGTGTTTACTGCTTGGGTGATGGGTGCAACAAAATCTCAGAAATCACCACTAAAGAACTTATTCGTGTAACCAGACACCACCTGTTCCCCCAAAACTATTTAAATTAAATAAAAAGACAAAATGATTTTTGTTTGTCCTCAAAGGAGTCTGTGAGAGCAATATCTTGAACCACGCTTATTTGCAATAAAGAAATTTCCACCCCAAACAAAAAGACAGATACATTTAATATTTACTAAATGATTATCTGTTTGACAGGCACCTGCTGAATAGCCTGAGAATATTCTCAGGAACTGCTGCAACACACATATGCAAGTATGTGTATGTTTAAAAGTATGTGTATGTTTAAAAGGTAACTAGTCTTCATTTCAGGAAGGCATCAGGGACTCCCTGACCCATACACTACTCTGGTTTAAAGTGTACATTGCAGCACTCATCCTGACACACTGTCCTACTTCAGGACTGTTCATTCCCTGCACAGCATACTCTTTGTCATGTGCACAATAAAACAATGCATTGAACGTCCAAATCCTTATCATGTGAGAATGGAGAACACGTGGTCCTCTATGCTGGGCAGCGCTTGGTGCAGGTGACATACCAAGCTGTTTGCGGGAACTTTTTCCCGGCGATGTGTGAGCCTCGGAATGCCTGGTGAAGGTGGGGTTGCAGTGGAGTAATCAAGACACACATTTGTGCAGTGTGGATCTTTTCTTGGGCACAGAGCTAGAAATGTATTTATAGTGAGACTTTCAAATGAACACTTTTCAGTTCTCTGAATTGTGATAAAATTTCCTTTTCTTTTTTTCTCTCTTTTGTTTTTTTTTTGAGACACGGTTTTGCTCTGTTGTCCAGGCTGCAGTGCAGTAGCATGATCTCAGCTCACTGCAGTCTCAACCTCCCCAGGCTCAGGTGATCCTCCCACCTGAGCCTCCTGAGTAGCTGGGACTACAGGTGCACACCATGCCCGACTAATTTTTGTATTTTTTGTAAACACATTTTTCATGTTGTCCAGGCTGGTCTTGAACTCCTGAGCTAAAACAATTCACCTATCTTGGCCTCCCAAAATGCTGGGATTATATGCGTGAGCCACTGTGCCTGGCGTCCTTTTCTTAAGTAAAGCAGATATCTCTGAAAATTCTTTTCTTCTCCAGGAATCACTCCTCTTTCTTATTTGCATCTTGTATATGTGCCCTGTTTGTGTCATGCACATGCTTTTCAGGGAATGAACAGTCCCAGGGTAGGAGAGTATGTCAGGATGAGTGCTTTAGTGTACACCTTAAACCAGAGTAGTGTATGGGTCAGGGAGTCCCTGATGCCTTCCTGAAATGAAGATCTAGTTACCTTTGAAAAGACATTGTCTTGCCTTTACTTTGTGGAGTCATTCTGTTCAGGGTTAAGAAGCAGGGATGGAGAGTTCGGGCCACCCGCACTGAAGTCTCATTCTACCTCCTCCTGGCTGTGAGTCCTGGAGCCAGCCCCTTGTGTTTTGAGTACTCAGTTCACACCTCTGGAAAGTGGAGACAATGCCAGCAACACAGTTCGCTGTGGTGAAGACTGATAACTATTAAGCTCCCAAAACAGATCCCAAACATGTTAAGGCTACTCTTTTGCTGTTAAAATTTGCAAGAGAAACCTGGGTGAAGTGGCTCACGCCTGTAATCCCAGCACCTTGGGAAGCCAAGGCAGAAGGATCACCTTAGGTCAGGAGTTCGAGACCAGCCTGGCCAACATGGTGAAACCCCGTCTCTACTAAAAATACAAAAATCAGCCAGGCGTGGTGGCAGGCGCCTGTAATGCCAGCTACTTGGGAGGCCAGGCTGGTCTCGAACACTTAGCCTCAAGTGATCTGCCTGCCTCAGCCTCCCAAAGTGCTGAGATTACAGGCATGAGCTGCCGCAACCAGCCTGAAGGATCTACTTTAATGTCACAGAGAAACTCTTGTGATCTATGCCTAGAGTTCTTGTCCTCGGATATGAAAATTAAACTAGAAAGAACTAAAAGAAAATGAAAAAGGGGTTGGTCTGAAGGGTTCAAAATCCTCAATGTCCCCTGTTTCTATAATTCTTTTTTTTTTTGACATGGAGTCTTGCTCTTGTTGCCCAGGCTGGGGTGCAATGGCGTGGTCTTGGCTCACCGCAACCTCCGCCTCCCTGGTTCAAGCGATTCTCCTGCCTCAGCCTCCCGAGTAGCTGGGATTACGGGCATGCACCACCACGCCCGGCTAATTTTTTTTTTTAAGTAGAGACAGGGTTTTTCCATGTTGGTCAGGCTGGTCTCAAACTCCCGACCTCAGGTGATCCGCCCAGCTCGGCCTCCCAAAGTGCTGGGATTACAGGCGTGAGTCACCACACCTGGCCTGTTTCTATAATTTTATACATCTCTTTGATCTTTTACTTTTCAAATTGTTAACTGCGTTGTTGGAGAAGAAAGAATTGATGGGACCTGGTATACGGCCGGCACTTGATAACAGCTGTCTAAATGGATGAGTGAATGATTGAATCTGAACAAAGGTTGTCTAGATTTTATAGTTGTTACTTGAGTTACTCACATCATCTGGGCAAAGTCTTTTTCCTAAAGAACCTAATCCCTCTAACTTCTCTTCCCTGGTAACTTCTCTCCTTGAGACAAATATACCAAAACATATACACTCTACTCAACTGATGGAATTTTCCAGAGGAATAGGAAACTCAGTCTAAGTGAAGACACTCTGTGTTTTCATATTAGGATGGGTCTTTTAGAGATAAATGTGTGAAGCCAGGAAAAATAGCATCAAGAGGAAATAATGCATGTGTAGGCAGCGGTGGAAATATTCAGGATCTACTTCATGGGAACTCAGACCATTATTATTTTAAAATTTCCTTCATGTTAGCACAGCTGTGAGGATGCCATCAGGCAGGGCTGTGCATTCCAGGCCCATGTTAGGGCCTGAGTCCTGCGTGACCCTGACTGTAACCTCCATCCGCAGATGGCAGTGTACCCTCTTCACTGCCAACACCTAAGATCCCTCCATAGGCTTCAGACACATTTGTAAGTGATGCTGAGAACAAACCTATATTTTCAAGTTCCCACATGCTGAACAAACACTTTCCCTTCCTGTCCACATCCCAGCTATGGCTTTCAGGTGTGGAATGACCTTCTCCATCTCACCCCACTCAGAAAGTGCGCTCCTGCCTCAGATGGTTTTGACCTCCTTAGACTTGAAGTTCACATCCATGCCAAGCCCATAGTTTTTTGATTGTCCAAGTTCTCTGCAGAACTCCAACTAACAAGAAGTGGAGGAGATAAATGAGGCTTCATTGGCGTGGATCCCACAACCAGAAACACTGGGATAGAAATCTAAAATCTAGAGAAAGCGAAGGTTCCCAGATTCCAAGGAATATGAAAAAAATGTATGCATTGGATAGAGCCTGAGAGGCATTTCTGGAAATCCGCCTTAGACAACAGACCCTAAATATTAATACTTCTCAGCTACAGTGACCCTGGGTTTACCATCTACGTGTTAACCATCTAAGAAGGCACTGACATGTATTTTCTGTTTTCTGCTTAAGCTGGATTTTCTCTCTCTTTTCTTTCTCTCTCTTTCTCTCTCTCTTTCTTTCTTTCTTTCCTTTCTTCTTTTTTTGATGGAGTTTCACTCATGTTGCCCAGGCTGGAGTGCAATGGCGCCATCTCAGCTCACCACGACCTCAACCTCCCAGGTTCAAGGGATTCTCCTGCCTCAGCCTCCCGAGTAGCTGAGATTAAAGGCATGCACCACCACTTGCCCAGCTAATTTTGTATTTTTAGTAAAGACTGGGTTTCTCCATGTTGATCAGGCTGGTCTTGAACTCCTGACCTCAGGTGATCTGCCCACCTCGGCCTCCCAAAATGCTGGGATTACAGGTGTGAGCCACCACTCCTGGCCCTAAGCTGGATTTTCTTTTTAGCATTTCCCTATCAGATGCGATTTCACCAATGTCCTGTAGCTTTCACAACTCACTGTTTAAAATGTTTTCCTTTTCTTTTTCCAGAAAGGTAGGTTTGACTTTATCCAAATGACAGTGACTGCCTTACTAACAGCAGCCCTGTGACCTGTTGCCCACGGTCAGTAGTCAGTAGCTGACCCCTCTCTGCATCCACACAGTTCCTTCCCTATCCCTTTCCCAAGGGTCCTCTAGGACTGCTGGAGTCCACTCCCCATGAGGCCTCCCCTAGCGTCAGTCCTCACCCTTCCCTGCCCTTCCTGTCTACACCTAAGCCTGGAACACTGTGAGTCTTCAAAGCTCCATATGTAAAGATTGGCTGCAGGGATTTGAAATTGAGCAGGAGGATTTCATTCTGAGGTTTTGAGAAGGAACGTCGTTCCAGGATAAACCTCACTGAGCAGCGAGTGTCCCTGGTGCCGCCCCACAGCATCTGTCTACTCTGCCTGTTTGCTGTCACACCGCGAGAACAAAGAGCAGTTCACTGTTCCCTGCAAGTGTCCCCAATCAGTTGTCACAGATGGAGTTTTGACATGACAGTTTCAGGAGGAGCTGCTTAAGAAACAGAAGCCAGGTGGTAGTTCCGCCTCCCTTGTGCGTGTTCTGTGCATCTAGCCAGTATGGGCACTGTCCTAGCCTGTGCAGGCTGCCTTCACAGAGCCCCACAGACTGGCTGGCTGAAACAATGGGACTCGAGCTTGCATACTTCTGGAGGTTGGAAGTCTAAAATCAGACACCAGCAGGGCCAGTCTCTGGTGAGGTCTCTGTCCTTGGGTTGCAGATGGCCTGGCCACCTTCTTGCTCTGCCCTTACATGGCAGAGAGAGAGAGAGAGAGAGAGAGAGAGAGAGAGAGAGCTCGAGCTCTGGTCTCTTTCTTTTCTAATAAGGGCACTAATCCCATCGTGGGACTCTACCCTCATGACCTCATCAAACTGAAATTACCTCCCAAAGGCTCTCTCTCCTAATATCATCACATTGGGAGTTAGGGCTTCAAAATATGCATTTCGGGAGGACAGAAGGCAAGGCCTGTTTTCGGCATTTCTTTTCTTTTCTTTTCTTTTTTGTTTTGAGATGGAATCTTACTCTGTCGCCAGTCTGGAGTGCAGTGGCATGATCTCAGCTCACTGCAACCTCCACCTCCCGGATTCAAGCAATTTTCCTGCCTCAGCCTCCTGAGTAGCTGGGACTACAGGCATGCCCAGCTAATTTTTGTATTTTTAGTAGAGACGGGGTTTCACCATGTTGGCCAGGATGGTCTGGATCTCTTGACCTCATGATCCGCCCACCTCGGCATCCCAAAGTGTTGGGACTACAGGCATGAGCCACGGCACCCCGCCTGTATTTGGCTTTTCACACTTGTCCTTTCTCCCCCAGTCTCTTCCGCCTTGCCCTTCTTTGGTTCTCTCTGTGTATTGTGAGAAGTCGATGGAGACATGCTCTTTGATTGCTGTTATAATGGAAGAATATTTCTTCTCCTCCAGGAACTCTCCTGATGAATGCAGTGTGGCCAAAGGCGGGAAGATGGTGGGCAGCCCAGACACCGTTGGGATGAACTACGGCAGCTACATGGAGGAGAAGCACATGCCACCCCCAAACATGACCACGAACGAGCGCAGAGTTATCGTGCCAGCAGGTCAGGTGCCCACAGCTTCACTGCCCTCGGCAGATCGCAACTTCCCCAAGGCTAGGCTGAGCCTCAGGGAGCTCTTCTCCCCCACCTGTGGCATTGATCACATCTCCTTTGTCCAGAGCAGGGCTTGTAAATGGGAGCTGGCAGAGGTCTATGCATGAGGACATGTTCACGGATCGACAGCAAAGCAAGAAAAATACACCTGTATTTAAAAATACAAATATTTAAAAAATATGTGAGACAGCAGTATGTAGCCCCAGCTCTTTATTTTGCCACATAGAGAAAAATACACACACACACACACACACACACACACACACACACACACTACGTATGGAGAGAGACAGAGAGAAAGAGGATGTCCAGGCAAACATGCAGCCTTGCTTGTGTGCACACACATATGCACACGTGTGTATATGTCTATGAAAGGTGACCTTTCTAGGGAGGAATTGCCACTTCTTGGAGATTATTGTTCCAAATATCCTGTCCTTCATGAGGTACTATTTATGATAGATGATAGACTTGTTTGTTTTTAAAATTCTCTTATCTGGAAAAATAAACATGTGGGAGCCATATATTATATGGCTGTCTTACGTGTTCCCTTAAGCATCTAAAATTCCAGCTATCACTGGCCTGTAATACAGATTCTAATAACCAGAGTAACTCTTTACCACAAACATAATTCAAAACCAACCCAAAGGAATAGCTCTTGAACTTGAAAGACGTGACAAGAACTTATTTATTTAGCCAAACTAAAGGTAATAGAAAAAATGACTTAAAGCTCCTCAGAGGATACATGCTACCTAAAGCCAGAAATATAAGAACAACAGCAACAGTCACCAGTCAGTGAACCTTTACCCTACAGGAGGCATTTGGATAAATGCTTTAGAAACGTGATCTCAAGCAATCTTTGCAAATGGACATCTTTCTCATGATTTCCCTGATGAGGAAGATGAAGTTCAGAGAGGTCCACCAACTTTTCCAAGGGCATTAGGCTAATAAGAGGCCAAGTTAGGACTCAGGCAGGTCTGCCTTACTCCTTTAGTCTCTGCCTGTTGGCATTGGATTAAATCTCAGCTGCTTACAGCAATTTCTGTGGGTTCCCTCCTGTTACTTGTTTCAGCCATCTGGTCACCCTGCGGTCCTGCCTCAGGGATTTGAATTTGGCGTCAGCTCAGCCTGAAACCCTTAATTCCAGGTAGTTCCATATCATTTTCCTTCACCAAGTATCCGTGCCAATGTCATGGCCTCAGGGAGGCCAGTCCTGAGCACTTCCGTCTGGAATTGCTCTCGTCTCCACCTGTGACTGCCAGTCTCCTGTTGGCCTGATTTTTCTTGATTTCATTCATTCCCTTCTGCCATTATATTGCATGTTTATGTAAAAGTTTTCTTACTGGCCAGCCATGGTGGCTCACACCTGTAATCCCAGCACTTTGGGAGGCTGAGGCAGGAGAATCGCTTGAACCAGAGAGGCAGAGGTTGCAGTGAGCCAAAATTGTGCCATTGCACTCCAGCCTGGGCGACAAGAGCAAGACTCCGTCTCAAAATAATAAAAATAAAAAAATAAAAAGTTTTCTTATTATCCTCTTCCCTGAATGGAACATAAGCCCCACAAAGGCCCTATCTCCAGGGCCAGTTGCAGTGCCTGGTAAGTGGGAGGTGCTCAGTGAATATTAAGGGAGGTGGAGAATGGATGAACGGACACCTCACCACTGAGCTGCACTGTACAAGTTACTCCTTGTTGGCAAAGTAGCCAAGGGCATGCATGGGTGAAATCTGCACAAACTCAATTCTCCCTTGCTCCTGGGGTCACCTAAATTAATATCTGCGAAGTGTGATGGCAAACAGGTTAGATTCCCTCCATGGTGTGACTTTCCCTTTACCTGAGTTGGATCATGCCCAGTGGGCTTCTGTCACCTTCTAGACAGAAGAGTTCAGGAGTGCAGGGTACTTTGCAAAACATCTGGCCTGGATTTGAATCCCAGGTTTCAGCTTAGATCTGTCACCATGTGACTTTCAGCAAACACGTAAAGCTGGTTCGATGCAGTGGGGTGTGAAAGGGACCATCCTTTGGGGTTGTGCCTGATTTCAAAGCATTTTTTAAGACTTACAGGAGACACTGATGGTAGATTACGAAAGGGAGAAAACCGTCCTTAGTATTTACTGAAAGGCAGTTGACAGGTACAGAGGCCATGCATTTGGTTTGATCTTGACAATGCACCTGAATGCCTGAGACTGCCTCACTTGCTGCTGTGCCTCAGAACAGGGGGCTGTTCCTGTTGGATGGGAAAAATAGAAACACAAATGTCCCAGGTGCCCACTCCAGATGTGTGGCACATAAGAAAAACTCGAAGGCTAGGATGTGCCTGGAGGAGAGGCAGGAGGGCAGTGGTGTGTTGCCCAGACACTCTCTGGGCATGAACAAAGTGAAGTAGACACCCAAAGGAAGCCCCCTAACCCATCTCACCCTTTGCCCTCCTCCTTAAGAATGTAATTTCTTCAAAGGAGACAAAACAAAGTGTTTAGATCTCAAAGATGAGAGAATCCATCTGAGGGGGCCTGCACTGAAGATTCCTTGCTTGGTTCCTCATTGAATCACAGATGTAAGAGGTAATGCCTGGTACCATCTTCTAACTGGTGAGGCTGTATTTCCATGAGGCCATCAATATGCTTTGATGTCATAAATATCCTTTTCAGTAGGGCCAGACTTGAGTCTTTCTACACTAAGGAAAGTATTTAGAAAATAAGAGAGATATTTGTGTGGGGAAGAGAACAGAGAATCAACTGAAGTCAGAGCACCCAGGATTTTTTATACATAGTAGCTGCTCATCAAATATTAGCTGGATGGATGCAAGGATAGCTCTGCAAATTGGCTTATAGTAAGCTTTGATGTGAAGGCTGTTTCCTTTCTTTGGAGCAAAGTACTCTTCTCTTCAGCTCTTCCCTCCTTCAGTTGCTTCACGCCAGTGTAGGCAGTTATTCAGTTAATAGTGTTTGTAAGAGAGCTAGTTGTGGCTGATTTTGCAAGTTGTGAGTCTTTCAGTTATTGGTCAAGCTTCATGTATGTGTGCTCATACACACACAGAGATGAACACACACACACACACACGCACACACACACACAGCTTCATTGCACAATCTGGACAATTTTCCAATGTGGCCATGAGGTTGCAGGACCTCAGGCAGCTGTACCAGCTGCTGTATCCATCCCCATGGTATCCAGGCACCTCACTAAGGCAGATTTGGGGCACGGAGTACCCCATGTGTGCAAAAAGAATTCTCCAGACCTGGTCCTGAGTGGTTCACATAGACCTTACTACTTAGAGACATTGCTTGGCACTAATGCAAATCACACGGATAGCTGAGTGAAAAAAAAAAAAACCATCAGTTATTCCTAAACATTTGTACCATCATCAATACATGCCGATGTTTACACACTAGAGATAGCAGTGGCCCTAATAAACACTGATGAGGAAATTTGTACTGTACGGAGACTGAGAGATAAAACCACAGAGGAGCTGGGGGGCTTTGTCCGTGTTCAGATTGGGTTCTGGTACCTGGAACCCACTTTTGAGAAGCGATTCCCTCAACCCTGGTTTTGATACTCATGATCTTGAGTTAATAAAGAAGCCCATAAAAAAAGTGTCAAAAAAAAGCCCATAAGAAAGTGTCAACTAGAAAATGTCCCTGAAGGATAAATGTAGACTGTCACTTGATATATTTACACTGCCTCCTATTTCAGAACAGATTTAAGAAAGCTCACATAGATACATATGAAAGAGCACGGTAGAATCCACTTTTTAAAAATAAAGGAATGTGGAGAATGGACTAAAGTAAAAATTGAACAGAGAGAGTAAAACCAGGAGTGAGGTTTACACGCACGTGTGTGTGTGTGTATGTGTATTTTTAATTGCAACATTTAAATATTGCAGAATTGCAAAAGGTAGGTGTTATTTGGCTTCGAGGTATCATCAGGCAGTATGAAAGGGATAATTCAGTGCCTACAGGATAAAAAGAAAGCAAATGTGAAAAGATGGTCCAGCTATTAATTCTGAGTCTGGAGGAAGATGTGTTCCTCTGTTTGTCCTAAGGAAGATAAGGGGAGTCATGAGCAAAGCATTCAACCAGTAGCGCCACCAGGCATTCTGGGCAGCCCTGGTTTGTGCCTGTTGTTCTGGCAAGACTGTTGATTGTGCCTTCCCAAAGGGTACTGGTTAGGCCATAATTCCCATCTCTGGTTTTTATCTATGTATTTGGTGCGAGTATCTGTAAATCTAGGAGGATCTCTCATAGGGCAGGGCAGTCTCTTACACTGTCGTAAACCCAAGTGTCATTCAGTGAAACCAGTTGTAATAAGAGGGGCCTGACAAGTGTGACATCCCCCATGCTGGTTACATGGCTCTTTTTTGGCCGAGCTTAATTTGGAGGTTGACTAGAAAGTGTTTTTCTTTTTCTTTCTTTCTTTTTTTTTTTTTTTTTTTTTTTGAGACAAAGTCTCGCTCTTGTTCCCCAGACTGAATTGCAATGGCAGGATCTCAGCTCACTGCAACCTCTGCCTCCCAGGTTCAAGTGATTCTCCTGCCTCAGCCTCCTGAGTAGCTGGGATTACAGGCGCCCGCCACCACGCCAGGCTAATTTTTGTATTTTTAGTAGAGATGGGGTTTCGCCATGTTTGCCAGGCTGGTCTCAAACTCCTGACCTCAGGTGATCCGCCCACCTCGGCCTCCCAAAGTGCTGGGATTACAGGCATGAACCACCACGCCTGGCCTAGAAAGTGTTTTTCAAAGTATGGTCAGAACCACTTGTATCAAGATTACCTGGAAAATTTATGATTAAAAATACACATTTCCTGCCAGTCACAGTGGCTTACACCTGTAATCCCAGCACTTTGGGAGGCCAAGGAGTTCAAGACCAGCCTGGACAACATAGTGGGACCCCATTTCTACAAAAAATTTTAACATTAGCCAGGTGTAGTGGTGGTTCCTGTAGTCCCAGCTACTTGGGAGACTGAGGCGGGAGGATTCTTTGAGCCCAGAAGTTTGAGGCTGCAGTGAACCATGATTGCACCACTTCACTCCCACCAGGAAGCCAGAGTGAGACCCTTTCCCAGACACACACACACACACACACACACACACACACTTCCAAATGTTCCAAACCTGGGTGTGGGGTTGGAAATTTTACATTATTAACATGCTTATTGTGTATGTAATTTTCATGTACAATAAGGTTGAAAAGTTCTAATCTAGATAGAAGATATAAATTTTACTTTAATAGACTTGAATTATTTTTAATAAAGATATGGTTTATCACTTTTAGAAAAGGCAAGTAGACAAAAAGGAAAGATAGAAATGATTAACAGTATCACATTAACATTCCAAAAAAAAATGAAGAATCACTCATTGCAGTAGTTACTGTTACTCTTTAGGTGTTGGCTGTGAACATGGAGATGTGCTAACCAAGTGGCTAACAAAGAGGAAGGCACAGGCTCCATTCACTTCTTAAAAGTTGCAAAATGCTGACCAAAATGCAATAGGACCTCTCGCTTTAGCAGCTTATAGCATTTTGAAAGATTTCTCTTTTTCTGTTTTTTTATTATTATTTTTTATTTATTTATTTATTTTGAGATGGAGCCTCGCTCTGTTGCCCAGGCTGGAGTGCAATGGCGCGGTCACGGCTTACTGCAACCTCTGTCTCCTGGGTTCAAGCAATTCTCCTGCCTCAGCCTCCTGAGTAGCTGGGATCTCAGGCGCCTGCCACCACAGCCAGCTAATTTTTGTATTTGTAGTAGAGACGGGGTTTCACCATGTTGGCAAGGCTGGTCTCAAACTCCTGACCTCAGATGATCCACCCACCTCGGTCACCCAAAGTGCTGGGATTACAGGCGTGAGCCACCGGGCCTGGCCTCTTTTTCTGTTTTAATTCCTTAAAATAGGTGCTAAAGTGTTGAGTTTTTCAAATGCCTCTGCTTCTATTTTTAAAATAATTCACTTTCAGCATAGACCCTTGCAATAATCAGTAATCTCAGAGATAAGAGTAGCCACATTCTTCTCTTCACTGTATCTCTTCACTTTCTTCATTATTAATTCATTCATTAAACTCTTACTGTGTTCCATTCACCGTGAATAAAAGCTCTAATGAGATTTAAAATCACCTTTTCTTGCCCACCAAACATGTGTGGCTGAAGCTACATGACTTGTGTCTTACTCAGACCCCTGTGCTAGGACCTTTCTATTCCGTTAGAAAGTGTTCATGGAGTTCCCATTACTCTTAATCACTGAGGAGATGACCGAAGGCTGTCAGAAGTAGCTAAGACCCACCCATGTGGGGTAAGTAGTTTTTGACAGACAGGAGAAGGTGTGATTGAGAGCTCAAATGAATGACTCAGACCAGTATTTCAGAGCATGTGAGGAATGGAGATTGCTATGACAGGACGAATCAAGAACAGCTTCATTTATACCCACGATGATGTGATTTCGAAAGCCCTTTGCAGCCTCTGCCGTTTTCCTCTGCCACATCCCCAACTCACGCGCTGCATTTTCACCACCCGGTGTCCTTGTCCCTGCGGTTCCCTCTCTGGAATGCTCTTGCTCATTCTTCCAGACATCTTCAAAATCTGCCCTGTCAAGGGAGCCATGCTTGATCCTCTGGCAAATTAATCACTCCTCTTATGACATCTTACCAATTATTTTGTTATCATACTTTATTTTGTTTCATATTGTATTCTCAAATGCATGTATATACTTACTTAAATGTGGATATTCTGCAAAGGATTTGAGGTGCCGTGTGAACTAAACTACTGATGGGCTTATACCCAATTGACTTATCAAATGGAAATTAGGAATCAGTGCTAAGGCAGTTAAAAATACAAATGAGAAGCCAAGAGCATGTGAGGGAAGAATGCAGCCATTTTGACCACAAGCTTGCCCAAGATGCTGTACTTAAGTTTCTAGTATGGCTTTGAGCTTCCTGGCAGCCAAAATGAAAAGAGTTATTTGGGGAAATAATTTTTCCTTTCAAAAAAGAAGTTTCACAGGGAAGGCAATGTTTATCATAGTGTAGAATCCTAAAAGAAGGATCCCTTTTGGGGCCACTGGGGCCATAGACCTGACCATCGACCGTCTTCCTGCCACAGTTGCAGCACTGCATTTCAACAGCTTATTTCTTGTGACATCTTCTGTGAGCGCTGAGTTACATTAGAGAATAGCTCAGCACAGGTAGAGGACAGACACCCAGCATGAGTCTTTGGCAGTCTGATTTCATGTAAAGAAGGGATCTTGAGTTCTCAGAGTGTTAGAGGACTGCATAGTTTCCACATGATCCTCCCTAAATATTGACATTCCCCCACTGGGCTTTGAAAGCCAGTGAATAACAAGTAATAGAACATACCCTCCGACCAAGCCCTGATGGCTGATATATTATGTTTCCAATCCTCTTAGCGTGAGTTATTTATAAGCCTGTCTGTTCTATTAGATTGTAAGTTTAGTGAGGTGATGATCATGTCTTTTGTGTTCTCAATCGCCAGACAACACAGCCAGCACTTGGATTCTGTGTGGAGGAGAGTAAATGTGATTTATCAAGTTAACAGTAATCTAGATCTAACTAGCAGGAATCGCAGACTCGCAGGGGTTGCAGGATTCTTGGTGGTCTAAGTTCAGTCTTCCTTTAAACATGAGAAAACCAAGACTGAGAGAGGTGAAATGACTTTCCCGGGAACACTTGCACAACTGGGTGAGACCAGAGCCTATTCTCAGGCCCAGAACCTGCTGGTGAAATGACTTGTGTCTTCATCTTTCTTTGTTACGTCCCTGAACACACCCGAGGATCTCTTCCACTCTGTCGATATGATGGGACATGCTTCTTTAATCTTCTGTTTAAATTCCTGCTATGCTCAAACAACTAAATAACAAAACCCACTAAAATAGAAATGCTAACATCAAAGTTTATTATGTGTATTTTAAAGTTATCAGCTGAATAGCGGTTGAGGAAACCACCATTGGGTTAAATGTGAGGCTAAAATCAAGTCATTTTTCTAAAAAGCAACGACAGCTACTATCTATTGATATGCACTGTTGTCAGGCACTTGGACATGCACTTTGTAGAAAAGGCATTATCTCATTTAAATCATGCGACCACCCTATGATGTAGGTACTCATTATCATTCTCACTCGACAGTAAAGAAACTAAAACTAGGAACGCTAAGAGAGTTGCCAAATATGTCACAGCCAATCATTTGAAGAGCCAGGATTCGAACCCAGTTCTTTCTGACTCCACAGTCTGGGTTCTTCTTCCTAAGCTGTGCTGACAAAAATACCCAGGGGAGAACACAGGAATGGGATGAGAGAATGTGTTTGTTAAATTGTTGTAGACATTCTGCAACAGCCTTTTCAAATAAGACTTAAGTAAACAAAGGAGGTGGAGAGGGAATTTTGTAAAATAATCTACTGTGTTGCCCAGGGCTAATTTTTACATTTCTACAGTGCTAATGATGTTATCTGTTTTTCTTGAAAGTCAAAGAGAAGAATGGAATTGAAGACAGCTTAGATTTAGCATGAGCAGCTGGGTAGGTGTTAATGAATATACAAAAAAAAAATGTTTAAAATAGGTGATTTCAGTTTGGTTCATCCTGTGTTTAAGATGCTTCTGGGACACCTGTCAGGCAGTGTGGTGGGCCTAGAGCTCAGGATGGAAAGTCCTTGATCGGGAGTCACAGCACTTGAGTTCTAAACTCTGCCATGTACTAACTGTGGGATCTGGGAAGCTACTTAATCTTGCTGTTTCTCAGGTTTTTCATCACCAAAATATGGATGATAATAATTCCTACTTCATGTGGTGCTATATGGATTAAATATAGCAATATGTGTGACATGCTTAAACAGTACCTGGGATAAAAAGTGCAGTTCTTCTGTTTATATTTGGGTCTGGCATCTGTGAGAGTGCCCTGGGGACTCAAGATATAGACTGGCAGAAACAGCTGCCTGTTACAGGTTAAAAAATTGTGCCTCCCTCACAAGATATGCTGAAGTCCTAACCCCCAGTTCCTTAGAATGTGACCTTATGTGGAAATAGAGGTTTTGCAGATTTAATCAAGTTAAGATGAGGTCATTAGGGTGAGCCTAATAAAATGACTGGTGTCCTTACACAAAGGAGAAATTTGGACATAGACACACACAGAGGGAAGATGATATGGAAACACAGAGGGAGAACTCCATGTGAAGACAGGCAGAGGTTGGACTGATGCAACTGCAAGCAATGGAACATTCAATTGCTGGACAGCACCAGAAGCTAGAAGAGCCAAGGACAGATTTTATCCACAGTCTCGGATGGAGCAAGGCCTTGCTGATACCTTGATTTCAGACTTTGATCCTCCAGAACTATGAGACGATGAATTTCTGTTGTTTCTAAGCCACACATTTTGTGGTACTTGGTTACGGCAGCCCTAGGAAAATAATACAGCATGCATGTTATAGTTCAAACATGAGAGCAAATAAGAATGCCCAAAGATACATATGGAGAGAGGAGAGGGGTAGACCAAGGATGAAACTCTGGGGATAGCAACATTTAAAGAGAAGACAAAGAAAGAAAACCCAGGCAGGGAGAAACCTTTATGTGGAACAAGCCATTGCATTTCTAAAACATGATGAGCACACACAATGTTGTCATGGAATAACAGGAGGCAACAACAACAAAAGAAAACAAAGAACAATAACGATCATTATCCAAAAACAAGATGATTACTTGAGAATGGTTTCATCCAGAGAAATAAATCAGTGTGTCAGAATGACAAAGCTATGTTTAGAGCCTAACAAAAATAATTTAGTCATGTATTTTTAAATAAAATACACAGAATTGTAGATTCTCAAACAAGTAGAGGACAGGCACTCTTTCTTGCCATTTTTGAATCTTTCATAGAGGATTATACAATTCATATAAGTAATTTTTGACAATTGATTAATTAATAAATGAATGAAGTAAAGCATAACATGAGTTAGGATGATGGCTGCATTAAAAATGAAAACTATTCAAAGTAAATAGGTAAAAAGTATGCAGAGAGGGCTCTTGGTTCTAGTAAAATAGAGAGGTTACTATAAAAGGACCTGAGAAACATTCCTTTTGCAAAACACCTGGAATTGCTGCATGGAGTTTAACATCCTTTTAAATGCACAGCTGAACTGGGAAGAAAGGCAATGAACTCCTTAGGGACTAAAATAAGGAAAAAAGTGAGAATAGAGCAGAGCAGCACATTCTTATGTTGACACCTGGTTGTCCTAGGTTGCTATAATGCAGAGATTTGGGTTTTAAAGGTCAACTAGGGGCAAGGAATGAAATCTTGAGCTTCCACAAAGCAGAGAATTGGAACTGAGCCTGTCATTACCCGAGTCCCCACCCCATACACACAACAGTGTGTGCCAGGAACTCTAAGGCTGAGAAATTAATACAGAAAAATGGTCATGGGCTAGTGATAATCTGGGAAACCTGGCAGAAGTAAATACGAAATCTTCATGGAGAGACATGTCTTCAACCTACGCTGTACAGAATTCCTGCAGATAGAGACCCGCTAAAGATGACTCTGCCACCCGCAAATTACAAAAAAATAGCTGAAGAGAGATCTCCCCCAACCAAGATTTAACAGAAACAATGAACATGATTAAGCAGAAGGTTAAATAATTAAAGTATTGGATAAAGAGTATAAAATAAATAAACTTTTTAAATATTAAGGAAGAACATAAAAGAAGGAGTTAAAAAGAGAGTTTGTTGCTAATTGAACCTCACTTCAGATAATAACAAAAGATTTAATTTAAAAAATGGATCCTAGAAGAAGGGAGTGAGATACAGGAAGGAAATGGGAGCAATGAAATTGATTAAGGTGAGGGTAGATCTAGAAAGAAATGGCTGTAAAATGACAACCACAGCCTCCCTAAGTAGGGAGTAGAAAATTCAGTGGAGTAAAAATATGAGGGAACATTGTCATGTAAAATCAGAGATGGATGATTCAAGTATAAGCTTTCTAAATTACTGGTAATTAAACTTAGATTTTGTTTAAAGATTAACAGGAAAGAGAACTAGAATGTCAAAGAGCAAAACCAATACAGAAACAAAGAAAAAAAAGTGAATGAAGAAAAGTAGATCAATCTGATTAGACACTTGGCAAGGAGAAATAGAGAATGGACTAAGAAAGTTTAACATAAAGCACAAAATAAGATGGTAAAAATCAGATAGATCAGTGATAATAAGTGTAGATAGACCAAATTTGCCATTAAAGACAGAGAGTGATAGACTAGACTAAAAAATACTCCACAATCAGTTATGGGTTGTTTACAAAAAAATCTTGCACAAACAAAGATTGAGAGTTGACAGAATAAGATACGCTAGTGAAAATTGAATTTTTAAAAAGCTGACAAAAATAGAAATAGAAAGCAGACTAAATATACTTTCAGGCAGAAAGCATAACTGGAGATAATTGAGGGTCATTACATAGTGAAAAAAGGCTAAATTCATGACAAATATATAATAATGATAAACTTACATGTACCTAATAACATAGCCTTGAAATATGTAATGAACTGCAAAAAGAAATAGTCAAGTCCAATTTAGTGAGATATTTTAATTTGCATTTCTCAGTAATTGATAGGTCAGTGACATTAAAATTAAATACACCTTACCAAGAGTTTTTTTTCTAGAACTCTGTACTCCCAAATTAGAGAATATGCATTTCTTAAGCAATCAAGGAACATTTATAAAAACTGACCATGCACTAGGCCGCCAAAAGAGTAACAAACCGGAACTTTTTAAAAAGCTAATTTCAGCTGGGCATGGTGGCTCACGCCTGCAATCCCAGCACTTTGGGAGGCCGAGGTGGGTGGATCACCTAAGGTCAGGAGTTCCAGATCAGCCTGGACAACATGGTGAAACCCCATCTCTATTAAAAATACAAAAATTAGCCACGATGGTGGTGGGTGCCTGTAATCCCACCTATTCGGGAGGCTGAGGCAGTTGAACCTGGGAGGCAGAGGTTGCAGTGAGCCCAGATCATGCCACTGCTCTCCAGCCTAGGTGACAGAGCGAGACACTATCTCAAAAAAATAAAATAAAATAAAATGTTAATTTCATACAGACTCTATTCACTGGCCAACGTGCAATAAAATTAGAAATCAATACCAAAACAATAAATGAACTCTACATATAAGTTAGAAATTTAAAAGGCTCAGAAACAGTCTTGAGGTAGGCTCTTTATTTGAGATCAAATTTCCATTTGTGATGGAGTGAATCATTGCTCAAATTTAAGCCAGTTCTCTCTATTGGGCCTGCTTTATAAATGTAACTTCTGTCCTCCTGAGGATGCAAGATGTTAAATCTTATTTTTGCAGGCTTATGAGTGTCTTGGACAGCAGATTGGCTGACTTGCCCAGGGCCTGGATTTATAAACAAACACCTCACTAGGCTTGTGATATGGCTTAGAGGTACATTTTAGTTTTTATTTTTTGATGTTTTTTTCATAACCAAGAGTAATTTTTTTCTTTTGGGAAGCCAATATTTTACGTTGATATTATTTAAGAAAAATAACATTCAGGACTTTCATTATCACCAGTTTGGCTTTTATTTAATCTTACTTTATTCATTTCTCTAGAGGGGCCTCTGAAAGAAGATGTTTGCCTGTGTGAGGCATTTTGTTTCACAAAGGCACAGTTTGTCTTTGGCGATGCAGTGCCCCTTTGCCTGATTTAAATATCTACTCAATATTTTCCTGGCAACAGGGGAACTCTACTAGGTCAGAATCCTGTTTCATGGAAATATTTTTTTTAAATGTCAGCCTTCCTCCCTCCCTCCCACTGCTTATACCCCCACTCCCACTCCACATACAGAGTACATTAACAGTACAACTCCAGAACTCTGTGTGTAATGGTTTACTTTTATTTGTTTTTTAAATTCCAATTTACCAAAGTAGATTTCATAATAACCATGTAACTTAAGATACAAATAAGAGGCTTCAGAGAGTGATGGCTTCTGTTTAGCCTGTGCCATGACAGTTTACCATTTTGGTGTCCATGACATGTAGAATGATGACACAGATGTTTTCAAAACAATTGGAATGGAAGGCTGAAAATGAACAACTTATCTTCAATGGCTTATGATTCATCTGACAGAAGCATCTCCAAAAGTTTCTTAAAATAAAATTATAAATTGGACTTTTGTGTCTTAAGGAGGAGGCTGCCCCTGTGATAACAGATTTTGTTCTTATTCCATTTTAGCAGAGTTTGCAATGCAAAATCGAGTGTGTGGATGCATTCTTTTTTTGCAGTATGTTATTGTTGGCAAAGTGCTTTCACATCCATTATCTCATTTACTTTTCTATTCCCCTAACATTTCATTTAATTACCCACAGAAAAATATAAAACAAATTCCAGAGAGGTTGACGTTTACGTCCAGTAAATGGTTGAATAAGAATCCCAATGTGGGTATTTGGATTCCCAATAAAGCCTTTTATTTTCATCACCAAGTTTTCTGTGATTGGTGTTATTTAAGATTTTTAAAAATTTCTTAGAAATTTTCAATTACTCTGAAATCTCTAAAAATGAAAATCCAACCTTGTTAGCAAGACTCAAGGACCTTGTTGATCTGAGCCCAGCTTTCATCCCCATCCTCGTATGTTGCTGTGCTCTCTCTGAAATCCTCCACTGCAGCCACACCAAATTTCTCCCTTTTTCTTAAACATGTCAGATATTTCATGCCCATGTCGGATGAGGCTGGGCTAAGTGGTTCCCCTAAACCAAAGAGCTTCTCTCTACTTCTGTCAAAATCCTCGCTGTTAATCCAAGTTCACTCTCCTGGTAAGCCTTTCCCATTTTTCCTGGTTGGTGCTACCTCTCTGCACTTCCACTTCCTCCTTGGATCACGGAGTCTTTTTTTTTTTTTTTTTTTTTTTATGAGACGGAGTTTCGCTCTTGTTGCCCAGGCTTCTGGAGTGCAATGGCGCAATCTCGGCTTATCGCAACCTCTGCCTCCTGGATTCAAGCAATTCTCCTGCCTCAGCCTCCTGAGTAGCTGGCATTACAGGCATGCGCCACCACACCCGGCTAATTTTGTATTTTTAGTAGAGATGAGGTTTCTCCATGTTGGTCAGGCTGGTCTCAAACCCTTCACCTCAGGTGATCCACCCGCCTTGGCCTCCCAAAGTGCTGGGATTACAGGTATGAGCCACCACGCCCAGCCTGATCACAGAGACTTAGTTCTGCTTTGTGGTTGTGGTCATAAGCTGCCTCTCTCAGTGGGTCCTTAGTGTTTCTCTTGGTCTTGGACACTTTGGAATCTCCATAGTACTGGTGCATATAGCCATATGCATAATGCTTAATGACTTTTACTTGAATTAAATCTATCTTAGTTCTTATCCTATTCGAGTCATTTCTCAGGTCCTGAAATTCTCCACATTGTTTTACAGAAGAGAAAAATGAGGTCCAGTTATAAAATTAAATGACAGGTTCCAAACACACTGCTACCTGGAGACAAGAGGTGTTCCTACCTAGGGCAGAAGGTCGCACCTAAACATAGGCAAAGGTGATGCCTCGGCTGGGGCTTATGCTGTAGTCCCCTCCCCTTCCTCCTACACATGTGTGGTTGGGGTCAAGAAAGGAGGAAGACAGGCCTGCTGAATCTCATAGGAACTCATGAGCCCCTTTCTTTGATTCCTGGTGTGACAGAAGCCATAAAGCTTTGCTGAGATACCATGGAGTGTGGAGGAGACTAGAGAGACTACTGGGGCTCTTCATGGAGTTAAAAGGTTAGGACCAAAACCTGACAGCCTGGACCCAGTGCACTGACCTGAACTCTAAAAACCATCATCTACAGCTGCAGCATCATTGCCTGGCCAAAGTAGTGGAGGTGGAGTTCAGTGTGAGCAGAGACTAGGTCTTCAGTCTTGTTATCACTTCACTGCCCAGAGATTTGTTAAGTGTTTCCTCTGTGAGAACATCTAGGACAGATGCCCAAAGGAGGTCGTGAGTGTAGGTGAGGGCACAAGAAGGTGCTAGTCCTTCACGCTGTGGGTGGCATGTGGCACAGGCATGGAGGCATTGGCTCAGGAAATGTAGGGTGGAGGGGGAATGGTTGGGAATGACACCCATGGAACAAAGGACTGTGTGCTTCATGCTGGGGAATCTGGGTTTTTCCCCTGCAAACTGTCCTCTATTGCAACACCTCCGGAGTGGGTCTGGGAGAGTGGTGCGAGTGCTCAGGAGAAAAGGAATGCCCTCATTTCTTCTACCGAGTGGCCATGTTTTGTTTTCACCATTGTTTGCTTAGAAATTTATAGGGCAGAGGTGTGGAGATCAAATGCTAAAAGGATGTGGGAGTGTTCTGACTTCATGTAATTTTACTCTTTTCAGATGAAGCAGTCTATATTAACAAAATATAAAAGAAACTGAAACTTAACTTTTTATACTCTTGACAGCAATTTTATAAAAATACTTTCACATATATACTATATATAGGTAGTATATATAGCATATATGTAAGTATATATTCTATATATATTATATATTTTATTATTTTATAAAAATATTTTTATAAAGTATTTTAGTAGTTTTATTTTTTATACTTTTTATAAAATGCTTTGCATAGTTTCATTTTTTTAACTTTTCTTTTTGTTTTTTTACTTTTATTTTTTATACTTTTAAAAAATACTTTTTATAAAGTATTTAAAGTATTTTATAAAAATACTTTCACATATATTATATATAGGTGATATATAGTATACATATAATATACATTAAATATATATATACCTTTTGTAAGACCATGTTTTGGCTTTGAAAAATAGAGAATACATTTTGTATAAATAATTTGTAACCCAAGTATTCCATATTTATTATAGAAAAATGAGAAAATATAGTTTAGTGAAAATGACAAATCTAAAATTCCCCATCTCCTTTCCCTCAGTGACAACAGTTCACGTTTTGCTGTATCTCCCTCTGAATTTCTTTCTGTGCAGATATTTATATATCTTTGCAAAATACAATGATATCATAATAATATTTTGAAACTTTAAAATGCAATCTACTTTGAACATTTTATCATATCAATAAATATATTTCAACAGTGTAATTTTTAGTCTCTAAATATCACAGGAACATTCCTAAATGCATTACAAAACTGCTTCTCTTTTGCTGGACATTTAGGGTGTTTCCAATGTTTTGCTATTATAAACAACACTACAAAGAACATCCTTGACAATAAATCATTGCGCACATCCTCTATTATTTCCTTAGGATAAATTTCTAGAAATGGAATTTTTAAGCCAGGGAATCTGCACATATTTAAAGACGTTTGATTGTATTGTTGTGTTGTATTGTTGTATTATTGTGTTGTTCATCAGAAAGGCTGTAGTAATTTATACTCATATTGGCAGAACTCCGGAACTCCAGAACAGCCTTTTACCAACTCAAAGTGAGACTTGTAGAGATAAGTACAATACAGGTTGAGGACTTTGTCTCTGGGGTCTTGCACCTGATTCCCTTAAAGGAAAACTGAATGGGCCAGGATAACCCTTGTCTTGATGAGCGAAACCAATTAAGGGGCACACCAAGGGATAATAGAGAGATTAAACTTCTCCTTTCACCATTTTAACACGAACCTAGTGGCTTTCAGACAATATGTTTATGTGTCATTTTGAGAATATCCGGTTCCACCATTTAGAGAAGAAAGTCTGTTCCCAGAATGAACTTATTTCTAGGAAGTACAGTTGTTACATTAAAAAAAAAATAGTCCTCCCATTTTGTTAAAAGCAAAGCAAAACAAAACAAAAAGGTGGGTTTCGCTAACATCAAAGGATGGAACTTACAGGGAATGACTTGGGTAGGATGGGGGGTCTTCTCTCTGTGAGGGCTGAACAAACTATCCTCTGCACAGAACCAAAGGTAAAGAGAACTTGCCCTAAGACCTCAGTATGATCCATTTTTGTAGAAAGAGGAATTCTGACATGTCATGAAAAAAGAAACATTTTATCTCTGAAAGCCAAATTCTCAGCCAATGACGAAGAGTCATCTGAACTTCAGTGAACTGGATAACATTAACCTTCCATATCTACATTCAGTTTTCACAGACTAACAACATGTTTCCAAGTGTTTGGATGACAAATAAATATGTACACTTTTCTGTCATCACTGCCGTTGGAGTTTTTGTTGATATTCTCTCTGTAGCAAAACCAGAGTTCCCTTTAGTTTTCAGGTTCTGCGCACTGATGATTTTTTTTTTTTTTTTTTTTTGAGATGGAGTCTCGCTCTGTCGCTCAGGCTGGAGTGCAGTGGCCTGATCTTGGCTCACTGCAAGCTCCACCTCCCGGGTTCATGCCATTTTCCTGCCTCAGCCTCCCAAGTAGCTGAGACTACAGGCACCCGCCACCATGCCCGACTAATTTTTTTTTGTATTTTTAGTAGAGACAAGGTTTCACTGTGTTAGCCAGGATGGTCTCGATCTCCTGACCTCGTGATCCACCCGCCTCGGCCTCCCAAAGTGCTGGGATTACAGGCGTGAGCCACCGCGCCTGGCCTGTGCACTGATTTTTAAGTGAGAATGTGGGTGTTTAAATATTGGTAGACATCCAATGCTAGCTGGTCAAGTTGAAGATGGATGTGCCCTGTAACTCAGAAATCCCGTATCTAGGTACTCAGCCAAGGCCAGCGTGTCCCCAGGTTTCATGTGAAAATGTAGATTCTGGTTCAGCAGGTCTGGGTGGGGCCTGAGACTCAGCATTTCTAATTAGCTCCCAGGTGATGCTGATGCTTCCGCGGTTGGAGGACCACGCTTGGAATAGTGAGGCCCAGGGAAGATGATCTGAACCTTGGCTGCTCATTAGAGTCACCTGGGGGAGCTGTTATCAACTGTGATGCCCAACTGCCCTCCAGCCTAATTGAAGCAGACTCTCCCAGGGGAGACCAGGCATCACTAGTTTTTCAGTCTCCCCAGATGATTCCAGAAAGGACCCCAGGCCCTGGACCAATGCGGACTCATTCACGCGTATGCATGGAGATGGACAGGGGACATTCACTAAATAAATTGAGATTATTCACATGGGGGAGGCCTAAGAGCTGCTTAATGATTGAGTATATCTTTGTGAATTCATTTGGCTACATCTTGAAATTATAACATTGAGTGCCAATAGCAAATCATATATCGTTTATGTTAACTTTAAAAACACAAAACAATATATGTAGTTTAAATGGTAAAAATATTAAAATATGTATAGGAGTGATACACGTACTAACTTCAGGATAGTGGTTACTTCTAACCACTAGCTACTAACTTCAGGATAGGTGTTTGCAGTAGGAGAATGGAATGGGAAAGGTAGATTCTACTGGACCTGCAATAATTTCTTTCTTCTATGTAGCTGAAGGGAAGAAAGGGAGGGAGAAGCGAAGGAAGGAAGAGGGAAGGAGGGAGAGGAAGAGAACTCTGGGTGTATGACTGGCTGGCTGTTTCTCACTATTATTACGGTTTACCTCTGCAAACCTAAAAATGTATTGCAGCAGCATACTACATGCTCCATTCTTGAGTAGCCTAAAATATTAGTGGGACCAAACAAACAAGGATCTGAAAGTATTAGCTAAAATGTGACTCCCACACCTGACTTTCATTCAAGAGGACTGGAACATCCTGGCATGCCTGACCCCTAAGGGCTTGTCCCGGGAACTGAGATCAGTGCTCTTAGTTTACAGGTGGGACAGACACAGAAAGGAGAAATAGCTGCCCACAGCAAGGTCCAGAAAGTGGAGAAATGGTGAGATTAGAACTCAGGGCTCCAACTCCCTGCCCATGTGTCTCTCAGGGCTCGGGGCCCAAGGGAGCAGCCGCCCCATTTACCACACTCTGAAGACCCTACCACTGAGGGTGTTTACCACAGGACATCCCGGCTGGCGTTTCTGTTGGAGATCACCTGCTCCTTCTCCCCCGGGCCCTGCTCTCCCTGTCCCATAGGTAGCACTGGAGTGTGACGACGTGGCCTGCATCCTGTGGGGTGTTTGTGCTCGCCATGGCCAGCTGTGGAATGCAAAAACCACTCACCAACCCCACTCCTGCAGGTGCTGGTTAATTGCAAAACCAAACACCCTGCAGGAAAAGTCTGGAACTGACAGCTCTCTATGAGGAACGCTGGCTCATAGGAGGGGCTAGAGTCTTGGTGTATCTATATTTCATTTCCGATTCTGTGGTCAGTATTTTTCAGTATTTTGCATAAATACTGTTATTATTATTTTTGTTGTTGTTGTGATCTGTAATTAGCACCTTCCTGATATGTGTGGCTTACTCTTATTTCCATATAAATATATATAAATATACCAGTAGTTTTCTAAGGAAAAGAAGTTTCCTCTTATTCTTACTCATTTTAAAATAAATAAATAAAATTGAACATAAATGAGAAAAAAGAATTTTTAAAATCTTATGCCTACAGGAAACTTTAGATTGAGCAAAAACAAGGGCATGTGATGTGAATAATCCCAAGATTCCAGAACTATTCACTTTAAAGACAATGATCTATGGATGTGAGGCAGCTTTTGTCTTTCCCCCAAAATGTTCTCCTGGGTAGCCAGGGAGGCTGGCTGGAGGCTGTGCTTGTGGAAGGCAGCTGGTCAGAAATCCCACGTGGATGGGGATCTACCCCAAGATGAAGATCCCTGGCTTCAGGAATTGACTGAATGTGTTCCCACCCCTTTCAGATCCTACGCTATGGAGTACAGACCATGTGCGGCAGTGGCTGGAGTGGGCGGTGAAAGAATATGGCCTTCCAGACGTCAACATCTTGTTATTCCAGAACATCGATGGGAAGGAACTGTGCAAGATGACCAAGGACGACTTCCAGAGGCTCACCCCCAGCTACAACGCCGACATCCTTCTCTCACATCTCCACTACCTCAGAGAGAGTAAGCTCCCCCTTCCTCCAAGGATAGATGGCTGTGGCTATGGTTCTTATGACCTGAGCTTCAGAGGGTTCAACCAGGTGTGTCGACAGCATCCTCCTGCCCTCGCCCAGTTCCCACTGGGGATCCGAGGGAGCCACATGCTTGGTATGTGATGACTTAGGGGAGCAACACCCTGGCCACATCACCTGATGAGAAGTAGTCAGCGCTCTCAGGAGAAGCCAAAATTCACTTCAACACTCAGCTGCCTCCTCCAGGGTCCTGCGACCAAGAAGATGGAATGTCAAAGGGGAAAGGAAGCGTTAACTGGTCACACATTAGTTAAGTCTCCATGATACCCCGAATCGAAATAGAATCATTAAGGCTTCTCTTTCGTAGGAATTAGGGGGATTATTCTCCCTAAAGCTACATGAAGCCCCACTTTATATTCTAACCTGAGCACAGAACAAGGGAAGTTTTCACTTTGTATCATGTGATTCGGCTTAACCTGACAGAAAGGGATGGCATGTTGGCATGAATCCAGAATGTTTGCTGCATGCTTTAATTTCTACAACGTCCAGCATGGTGAGAAGGAAGTAGTGTGACAGACAGTGAGGTGGATAAATTCTCCTCCATTGCTTTGCCTGGCATCCCAACCACTTCTTCCCTGAATTAAAGACGGGCCCCCATGTAGGTTTTAACATGCTAACAAGTAGCAGGTTGCTGGAAATAGTTATAAGCTTCCCATGATGTTAGTGTGGGAGTGGGGGAACGGTTTTCTTTCTTTCTTTTTCTTTCTTTTTTTTTTTTTTTTTTTGTAAGAAAGGTAATTCTCTTTCTCTCTCTCTCTTTTTTTTTTCATTTTGATGTCGCTTTTTGTTTTGTTTTGTAGCTCCTCTTCCACATTTGACTTCAGATGATGTTGATAAAGCCTTACAAAACTCTCCACGGTTAATGCATGCTAGAAACACAGGTAATGCTGGCCCCGCCCCTGCCTCCCAGCAAGAGCGTAGGGTCTTACGTACAGGTTGCATGCTTTCATGGGAAACCAGTCAGCGCGTGCCAGGAAGACAGAACGCAGGTAGATGATTCAGAATACTTTCGGATACTTAGGAATGTACCACAGCCTAAAGGAAGGTGAAGCCCTTTGGTTTTCTGAGCGCTTCCCAAGCACCCCACTTTGATTATCAAAGGGTTCCTTTTTAACCAGGAGACGTGCAGAATTTGCCTTTAGCCATAACTTAGCTCACATTTGCCGGATTACAGTCTTCTTCTGTTGGTCCCAATATATTCGCTGTGCTGACTCTGTAGACACTAAAAGCATGTTCGATATAAAAGGGCCCTTAGCAACCTCCTTTAATTTTTTCCATTTTTATTCTTAAAGAAATATTTGCTAGGATAAGTTGGAATTTTCTTTTTCCTTTCCAATAAACTTTTAGGCTATTTGATTTGTTTTCCTACAGACTTTGTATGTTTGCAAAAGGCAGGAGGGAATTTCTGTAACATTTTGAGAGCTTTTGTTCAGAGGGAACCTCTGCTATAATTTTGGAGAATATGAAATTAGTCACTAACCAAATGCCTGTTTTCTATCTCTAACCGTTGCCTCTACATTTGACTTAGTTATGTATTTATTTTGCCTGAGCCTAAGTAGGGTTTAACACCGTGCCTCATCCTGGCTAACCTTCCTCCCTCGCCCCCCGCTCACAGCAGAGGCTGGGTTTTCTGTGGATGAATGTGTTCCTGGTTCACATCCATCTGCTCCTTCCTGATGGAGAGAGTTCCGGAAGCATGGCCACCGGCTGCTCACCCCACTCTGTTAGCTGCAGGGACCCTCCACAATCACTCGGGCTAGGGAGGGAGACGGGAAGTGCCAGAAAGCCTTGCAAGTCAGCCAGTTAACTCACGATCAGCCCTCACATAGAAATACGCAATTTTCCCAATATTTACCATTTTATTTTAAAATATAAAATGTGAGTGAGTCCCGGTTTGAGTATTACAATGAAATTGCTCATTTATCATGGTCTTCTATATTCAACACATTGTCTTTTTAATCTGAAGTTTTAAAAAACCTGCTTCGAGTTGGTAGTACACTTTTTCAATAATTTTGGTTGCACACATCAGCCTATTAGTGACCTTGTGGCCAGAAATAACAGATAACTTAGAGGAAGTTACTTCCCCTTCTTAGGAAACACCTTTGAGCTATGCACATTTTCTGATAATTTCACATTTATTTATGAGTTCTTTAACCATTGAGTGAAAGTTTCAAAAAAGCTCCAAATATATTAAATTTTGCTATTGTTAAACACGGAAGAAACCAATGAACAAGACAACAAATTCCAAATGGACTGAACTATGAAAAGGGAATTTTCTCAGCTAACAGCATGAGTTTTGGTCAAAAGAGAGAGAGGGAAAATGCATTTGAATAGAGATGTGGATTAATTATTAATAAAATCCATATACTCTTAGGCTAAATACTTATAATTGCTTGATACTACTTTCCAAAAGCTCTGTAAAATATATTATGGGTTTTTATACAAGTTGAAAAATAAAACATGTACCATATAATTTTTTAATAAAACGAGATTGCCCAGTGGGAAGTGGGATTGAGGGGGACACAGATAGGGCTTCATCAAGAAGTTATAAAATCAAAACACAAAACGCTTTATAGCAAACGGGGCACAGGAGTACACCAAGGCTCCAAGTTTCACTTCCATCTTGAGAATCTGACAGGTGCACCTGTCTGTTTCTCCGGAGCTCTGTTAAGGCAGGTTTGAGGAGGTCTCTTCCCTTTGTTGTCATAGGGAAAAGTAGATTTGGCGCTGATGTTGAGATCGACAACCACAACAAAAGACCTTCACATGTTTGTCTTTCCTTTTGTCTGCAGGGGGTGCAGCTTTTATTTTCCCAAATACTTCAGTATATCCTGAAGCTACGCAAAGAATTACAACTAGGCCAGGTACGAAAACACCCCTGTGTGATCTCTTCATTGAGAGACATCCCAGATGTCCTGCTGAGATCCGTGCCCTAAGTCACGTGATACAAAGAGAGCTGATCCCGGAGCTGAAGCCAGTCCCAGACAGTCTTATTCTGCCTCTGTTGATTTGGAGACTAAATCCACTCAAACCATTTCATTCAAAGACCACACTAAAGGAATTAAGAGCAGATTAGCCCTTTAACTAGCTTTTCAGAAAGACAGATGGGCAAAGAAGGCATCCTGGATGCCTGGCAGTTAGGAATAGGCCGACTTTTGAACTAACAGAAGGATCTGTCCCTCCTCGGGGGAAGAGCACAAAACAAGGACACTCCCCAGATTCACAGTGACCGATTATCAGTATGTCACAAGAAGCCAGTCTTGCAGAGCAGAAGCATGCAACCAGTAGTATTTACATCTGAATCTTACTGCCTGTCCTCCAAATGATTTAATTAGGTAATAAATTTACATGCCATTCATGCAAAAATAAACATCTATCAAGTGCCCATTAGTGCCAAGCGTGGTGTTAGACTCTGGGAATATATAGATGAACCAGGCTTCAGTAAGCTTCCTGTCTTCAGAAAGTTTACTTCTTCATTCAGCTTGGTTTGTTCATTTGCTGAGTGCCTCCTCTGTGCCAGCCACGGATGGTATGATGGTGAACAAACCGAAATGTTTTGCCTCCAGTTCTAGATGTTTCAGTAGAGTGACCTAGAGCCAGAGAGACACATATGTACACATAAATGTTTTCCCTAATGTGATAGATTTTATGGTAGAGGAACCACTTCTAGCAATACAGGGCGTAGGAGCAGGGGTGGGGAGGAACTCAATCCCCCATGAAAGGCATAAAGATGCTTTCCAGAGGAATGGCCACATGGCAAAGGGGAATTAGATGTTTGCCAGACGAATAATGAGCAGGGAGAGAGGGCATTTCCCAGAAGGGTATAGCTTGCCTTTAGCATTTGTCCTCTCCCTGGGACTTACATCAGCCCGATAAGCTAGGTATCATTGTACCAGCCTCACAGCTGATGACATTGTGTTCAGGGTGGTGGGATGGTTTCTCCATATTCATACATGCTTCCAGAATTCATGTTAAACTCTATCACATATCCGGAATACACAAGTCTCAGTTCGAACTGGTTCAAGATCTAGGCTTGGCAACTACTCTTTCTTTCTAATGAGAAAGACTGGGGGCCCAGGGAGCTAAAGAGAATGAATGAGGAAGCTTCTCAGGCTGTTCAAATACTGACACTGCCCTGGTTACTGCCTAGTGACTTCAGGCTGGCAATTTTCTCTTCTCTAACGTCAGAGAAAAAGTTTACTGTCTTGCTCCTGGGAAGCATGATGGAAAGGCTTAGCAGCTAAGGGGTACTAAGAGGTAGTAAGTCATCTCTGTCATGTAAAAGATTTCACAGGCCATTGAAACATGGGCAAGACCCAGTGCCTAGAGTCTGCAAGATTGGTCCTAAAGACATCCACCACGTGTATTGCGAGTGGAAAATAGAAATTCATGTTTGACTCAAGCTTTAGAGATTTTGTAATTCTGTGAGCATTTAAAAAATATTTCCATATAAACTAAAAAAATAAAAACTATTTCCAAAACATTTGGCTAGGGTTTTAAAAATTTTTTTACTTTTTAATTTTGTATTTGTTTGTTTATGTTAAGACATCTCATAGGTGCCTCTGACTGAGTTGCAAAGCCAGGGGTTGTGAGCTAGTATTATAAACTGTGTTAAAAGATCACAACACTGGCCAAATTCATTGGCACAATCTCTCTGTCAGACAAGCCAGCTGACTGATGCTACCTGGTTAAGACAGTGGGTCCTGGAGCTGCTTTGTTTTCACATTTTAGGATATGGTGGATTTGGAAGGTATGGCCCATCCAGGTGGATGGAGAAGAGGGTGACTGTGAGGATGTTGGTTGGGACTCCCTCTCTGCCCAACCCAGGGAAGGCAAGGGTGGCAAACTCAGACACCTCCCATGCCGCTCTGATGGTGGTCTTCCATGGGCCCATAATTTGAGCGTGACCTGGGAGAGAGCACACTTCCACAGCTCCACTACTAGTCAAGTATGTTTTCGCGACTCAGTTTGTACCTGAAATAACCTGTTTTGACCACTGCTACTGTGATTATGAGAACCAATACAAATATTGGTATCTGACCTGTAAAGAATTTAAAGCAGACTGAACAAGCCAGAGGACTATTTACTGTAGGCCCTATTCAGGGACTTGAACTTGGAGATAAGAACTAGTTATACACCTCGGGTCATCCATTGCTAAGCGATCAACCTTAAAGGACTGCTCCTGTGGAGATAAAAGCTGTGAACCTGCAACTGGAGAATGAACGTCGTGATGGCTGAGGGGGAAGAGCTTTTGCATCACTAACTTTCAGAGCTGAACGAGCTCCAGAGGGAGGTCACTGGGAATCTGACGATATCCCTGTGGTCAGTGGGTACCTGACTACTTTCAGAAAGGTGATTGTTGACTGTTTCTTTGAAGGTCCTTGGGGATACAGACCCAAATCCCTGTCTCCTCCACTCTTGGTTTGCTGTGCCATGATCTTCATTTCCATACCCTTTGTCTAATCCCACATCCGAGGGAACCGAACTCTGGTCAGCGTTATTGTGCTGACCATGAAGCAAGCCAGGCTCCTAGGTAACAACTCTACTTAGACCAGAATCTGTCTCTTCTCTGCATGGTGGCCGTTTCATTATAGAGTCCCTGATAGAGGAGACAGTGGTGTTCAGGGTTTACTGGTTAAATTAGACAGCATTCCGCACCCTTTCTGCAGAGACTCCTACACATGTGTGTTGTCCTGCTGCATCCACCTTCCCAGCACTTCCTCACCACCCTTCCCTCCTTCCCTTCCCACTGTGAGTCACCCATCCCTGGGTTACTGCCCCAACCTACCTTTTCTTTTCTTTTATCTTCTTTTCTCTTCTTTTTTTTTTTTTTTTTTTTTTGAGATGGAGTCTCACTCTGTTGCCAGGCTGAAGTGCAGTGGTGCAATCTCGGCTCACCACAACCTCTGCCTCCCGAGTTCAAGTGATTCTTCTGCCTCAGCCTCCCGAGTAGCTGGGGCTACAGGCGCATGCCATCATGCCCAGCTAATTTTTGTATTTTTAGTAGAGATAGGGTTTCACCATATTGGTCAGGATGGTCTTGATCTCTTGACCTCGTGATCCGCCCACCTCTGCCTCCCAAAGTGCTGGGATTACAGGCGTGAACCACCATGCCCAGCCCCCAATCTACCTTTTCTTCTGTTCATGGCCCACCTTCCCAAGTGGATCATTTATTCCAGAGCCCCCTGACTGCTTCCCTGTCAGGTCAGTCTCGCTGCTGCTGTGTCAGTTCAGTCTCCCTGCACAATTGGCCGAGGCCGTTCACTGACCTCACAGGGGACCACATGTGAACATGCCCTGCCACCACCACTACCTGCCATTTGTCCAAACCTCATCCCTTTTCCTTGCATGCCCGTACCTAGTATTTTCCCACGTTTTCCTGATTCAAGATTTACCTTCTTTCACAACCCCTTTGTTGAATTAGCATTGAGACAGTCTTCTCTACTCTCATAAAGTATCAACCCATAGGCATATCATTTTACATTCTGTGGTTTTATGATTTTTTAAATATATATATATTTTATTATACTTTATTTTATGATGTTTCACGTGTTTCTCACGTTGTTGCAGTTACTACGACCAGAATCCCTTTCTGTACCTCCTCTACAAACACCCTTCTTTTTTGCTGAATCCACTTCTTTTGGAGCCATAGCCCTTTGAGGTCTCAGGGGAAAAAGTGGCAAAAACAGATCCACAGAATCTTGCAAGCCCCTATTAACTACACAGTGCACCACCCTGCCTGTCCTCTTAGGAGCAGGTCATGCAAAAGCTCAGTTCTATCCCAAGGATGATGTTCTGCAACCCCATCCTTTCCTCTTCCATCCCCATGACAACCCATATATTATGATATGCCTCTGGGGTGTTATCAAAAGAGATTAGAGAGTTAAGCCTGCAAATGCAGCCTTTGCTTCTACTTTGAAGCTGCTGCTCTTCAGGGGTTTCTTGGAATCTTAAATTATTCCTCCATTGGAGCTCACAGCCTAGTGCTTTTCAGCACAGCTAGGCATAGTGAGACAATACAACTACTGCATAGCATCTCTCAGTTAGGTGTTATGTAAAGCCTGTATCTTAGCAAATGGCTAAAATTGCATTCTTTGCTTCCGCTTAGTTCTTATATAACCACAGGGATATGCAAACCTAGGCAAGAAGGGAATGCAAAATGTTTCCAAAACTCCATGCTCAAACTTTGATGTAGAATTTTAAGAAGATCTGGAGGAAAATAGAGAGCAACTTAATTATGTTAAGGTTGACTCAAACTTTTTTTTTCATTTCACAGACACTTCTAGATTGGTTCTTAGCAGCAGCTCTTGCTCTTCCTAATTTGTGTTCCCCATTAGCATCTAATTTCAAGAGCAGGCAAATCTCATCTGTTCCCATCCAGCCCAGCCAGGGAACCTCCAGAGTTGCTTTGCAGATATGGTGTGGATCCTGCAGAATGAGGATGAGCTCTTCCACGATCCACATTCTTGCCCTTTAAAAAATAAAGCGGGTAGGCAGCGGGGTGGCGGTGTGGGGTGTGTGGGGCAAGAGCTAGAGCGTTCCTCCTCAGTGAGTTTGATGAAGGGAGAATGTAAAACTTGGCTGAACTTAGCCCTCCAGGAAAGGGTAGCCAGAATGTTGTATTAATTTAGTGATGTCTTCAAAAGGGTGTGGTGGAGGAGGAGTCTCATTCAGAATGAGAAGCTGATCCCAGCTCCCAGGAAATCGACACAGTTGCTGGTGTGTAGTGGTCAGCACTAGCCGAGTCCCTATTTGTAGCTTCATGCTGTTTTTTATACTGTTGTGATGTAATGTACATCTGTGTTCACCCAAGCTGCCTATGCAATGACTTCTATAAAGCTCAGTTTTTAAACACAGTCTCTTACAGATAAAACAACAGAACCAGTGCCAGAAAGCAGCCTTCCCTTACATGGGCACTTCTGCCAAGCATATGAGTTCATTGCCTTGAAGATCAAAGTCAAAGAGAAATGGAGAGGGTGTTGAAATGATCAGCGAAAATTAAATGTAAAATATATTCTTATTGGAAGTCTGATGCTCTATTATCAATAAAGGACACATAGCAAAGATACATAGAGGAGTGATTTTTCAAGCAGTCAAGAGCAGAACTACGAAGGTTTTGAGATGGTGTAGCTGCCAAAGAAGTCACCCCTGGCTGTCCCCCATCTCAGTGAGCCTGAGTTGAATGTTTCCCAATGTCATATCCCACAGGGGGATACTTAGTGCCCACAGCATGTGATCGGTAGCCGATAAGGAAGCATTGGACCAGAATGTCATGGAAGAAAACAAAAGCCCACTTATCTTCCGCGGCAATATGTTTATGAACATGTGAATCATTGTTCATATAACTGTCTCAAATACTTGGCTGAAAAGTAGACTGTTTGGTGTTAAGTTTCGACTTATTTTCGAGGGAGGATGGGATATGGTTATACACCATATGAAGGATTTTGTGAATAAAGAGTTTCAAAATATTTTGGGAATAGTAGTTCGGCATTTATTTTTTTTCCCAGTCACATTTCATGAGCAACAATTTTATGTTTAAGGTAGTATCTGACTAACCTACTGATGCTGTCTATTCATTCCATTAGCATACTTATGCCATGGGTAAAAGCAATCCATCTAGAACTCTTTCAACCATTTTTTAGTTTGTCTTTGCACACTCTAGATAGCATTTCTGAAATCATCTGCAGGAACAGAGTTCCTGAAAAGAGCAATGGTCTAGAGCAGGCTTTCTCAGACTTCAGTGTGCACCAGAGTCACCCAGGATCTTGTTAAAATGCTGATTCTGAGGCCAGGCGCGGTGGCTCACGCCTGTAATCCCAGCACTTTAGGAGGCTGAGGCGGGCGGATCACGGGGTCAGGAGAGCGAGACCATCCTGGCTAACAGCATGAGACCCTGTCTCTACTAAAAATACGAAAAATTAGCCAGGCATGGTGGCAGGCACCTGTAGTCCCAGCTACTCAGGAGGCTGAGGCAGGAGAATGGTGTGAACCTGGGAGGTGGAGCTTGCAGTGAGCCGAGATCGCGCCACTGCACTCCAGCCTGGGGGACAGAGCGAGACTCCACCTCCAAAAAAAAAAAAAGATAATAAACAAAATGCTGATTTTGATGCAGTAGGTCTGGGGTAAGATTCTGCATTTCTAGCAAGCTACCAGGTATTGTTGATGTTGCTGGTCCACAGACCACCCTTTGAGAAACAGAGATCTAGAACATATTTCTGTATTTCTGTATTATCTTGCTTTTTTTCATTTGGTAAATAGAAGGCCTTAGTTAATGTGCTTTTCTGCTCCTAAATTAGGTTAGATGTGGCTAGGATTGCCTTGTGAGTAGGTTTTTCTTTCTGAGACAATTTGCAAATTGAAACTCTGGCTGTCCAGTTTATTTTAGACAAAATGCAACTGACTGAGAACCCATGTGCAGAGTGTTCCCAGAGACTTAAGTTGAAGTTCAGTTGTAAATTGTTAGGGGCTGCAGATATAATTCCTATGTGTAACCCCAACACAAGAGATGTGAAAATCTGAGGATCTGGGTGGGAAAAGATTTACGTCCAAAAATGCAAAAATGCCAGCTGAGAGAGAGGAGTAACATCAGTTTAAAAAGAAAAATTATCTAATTCTCCAAAGCTCTGAAGGGTAGGATTTCATAGACCACACTAGTAGCAAAGATGCTTGCAGCCAAACAGACCAAATACATTAAGGAGATTCTGTGTTGACTTTCACGTTGCGCATCATTTCTATTCTCTTTGGGATATGAAAATAGGAAGAGACACATCTTCTGCAACACAGTCAAGCTCTTTGAAGATTGACCCATCAAATTGCTGGTTTTAAACAAAATTAAAATATTTGTTTAAAGAGAAGCTTAAAAACAATTGCATTGTCCTACCCTCCAAGTGAAATTTTGTACACATCTCCTGGTGTCTGGCAGCAAAGTACCTGCTGAGATATTTGGCCATGGCCTTCACTTGGCCCAGAATGACACATGACATTGAACTGAGACCAAGCAATCCAAGAAGACATAATTTTGAAACAGTTATGTAATAAGATTGCATGTAGAAATAGCCTTAGCTATGCACTCTTAGCAAGAGTATTATAATAAGGTTTCTGTAATATATTTTTGAAACAAACTTGAAATGACATAGAGCTTTGATAATCATTAATAGAACTCACACTGAGGATGCAGAAGTATAGTTATTAAATTTGCATATGAAAAGTAAATGAAGGTTTATAGGACAAGTGATACGACTTTATAAATACAAAGAAATGTTTGGCATATGCTTAAGCTCAGAAGGTCATCATTAATGGGCTGTGGGAGCAATACTATTTCAGTCCTGTAATTCATTTCATGCAGGTCATTTTAGAGAAATTCTAAATTTATTTAGAACATTAGAAATGGGAGACATTTGCCTATGAAAATCACTAGATCAGATAAGACTGATTTAATATAAATTGATGAGATTATAAAGGGAAAATGGGAGTTGGCTAAGAGAGGCAGCTGGCAAATAAAAAGATAAGGCAGCGATCACTTCCCAGGAGATGCAAGAAGAAAAAGAAGCTGAATGTCATTTGATTGATTTAGGAACAGACCTCAAACAAAAATGGGCTGGTTCATCCAAGTTGTAGACTCTGCTTTGGATGAGTCATGAAGATAATAAAGAGACAGATGTAGATCAGTCCCAGTGGAAGCAGGATGAACTAGATTGTAAGAAACTTTTATTGGGGTCTTGACTTATGGTTGTAGGAAATTAGAAGAGTTGGAAAGCTCTGGGAGAATCTGCCAATGGAAGTTTTCAGACAAACGGGTGAGAATTTTAGACCACTATAATATATGAAATTTTAATTTGTAAATAAAACTCAAATCTAGTGGGATATTTCTTTGGATTACCAGATTTTTTTGCACAAAGTTTATTCTAATAAATACAAAATCAAATAAAAAACCAAAGCATCTCTTATAAAAATTACATGATTGATCTTTTAGTCAATTTATTTGTCTTTACAGATTTACCATATGAGCCCCCCAGGAGATCAGCCTGGACCGGTCACGGCCACCCCACGCCCCAGTCGAAAGGTACAGTGTTGGCTCCCATGACCCTGAGTTTCATGTCACAGGCAGTGGATGACTGTTGATGGAGTATATAATAATTTCTGTGGTTAATCTGTGATTTTGCAACATGTGATGGGTTTGTTCCATTGACGACAAGAGTACAATTGATCTTTCACTGCAGTGATTCTTTCTCCATTTGGGTCATCAGGACTTTCATAACAAAAATAAAGGAATGATGTAGTGTATGTCAACCTTCACAAATGCATGTTTCATGGGATGTTTGAGTACACATTAAATAATCGGTGTTTTCCTGAATCTTGGCCATGCTTAAAAGTATCCCTGGCTTTACTTTATTTGACTGGTGGTTTCCCTTTATGTGTTTATCTTAGACTATGATTTATTGTAATCTGTTTGGTAAGCCATTCCAAATTCTTTTTTTTTTTTACTTTTGGAAAAAGTGGGAGGTATCCATTTTTTAAATAATTGGAAATGTCCTCTTTTTTTGTTACAGTGTTTACATTTGATTTCATCAGAAAGGAAAATTTTTCCTTACCGTGAGATGCTTCTGAGTTAGACTATTATGTTAATAACTAAATTAACTGATAGAATGATTATGCAACAACATCAAAGACTAGTGACCAAATCTGTTATAGCTAATTGCCTTTTGTATTTCTGGATTTTCAGCTGCTCAACCATCTCCTTCCACAGTGCCCAAAACTGAAGACCAGCGTCCTCAGTTAGGTATGTTTCAGGGGCCGTCTGGATAACCATAAGAGAAGATTCAGGCTCAGCAGCACATTTCTAAAATGCTTCACTTTTTAATGGAAATTAACATGATTGTTTGCCTCTTTTCGACAGCTCCATACATAAGATAGGGCCCAAGTCATCAGCCTACTCATGCGAGGTGACTTGAGATGGTGCTAAAACACGTCCCCAACTATGCAATAAATAGGGAAAAAAATTCTACGTGCACACAGGCTGCTTCTTTGTGATCCATTAATTTTTTAGATTTTACTTTCCATGCCTAAACAACACAGCCTGCACGGCCCTGGATTGATGGGGCTTGGCACATGTTTGCCCTCTTTATATCATTGGTTGGTGTGAGCCTTGAGCTATATGTCAGGATCCTGGGGTTGAATCCAAGCCCTGCCACCAATTAGGAGTCCCCTAGCAAGACATCTGAGATGCCGTGTGACATCTTCTCTCATAGAGGAGGTGGAGGCAGTTGATTTGGAGTTGGAGGACATTTTCGGCTCTGAAATCTGAAAAAACAATTAAGTCAGGCATTATGTCTGAAGTCACATCATACTATGTTACAACTATGTCTAGGATTTGACTTTGTTTCTTTTTGCTGTAGATCCTTATCAGATTCTTGGACCAACAAGTAGCCGCCTTGCAAATCCAGGTGAGAAACTGCTGATGATTTTCTTCTTACAAAATTACTTTTTGGCAGTGGTTATTTTGAAAAGTAAATTGGTATTGGTGAGAAATTCCTTCAACTGAACAGATTTTAGTTTTAGGTCTCACTGAATTATTTGCCTTAATGGAAAGATGGGTTGGGTTATAAATTAAGATTTCAGCTTCAGCAAAGAACATTATAACCTAATCCAAGCTGTAATAGTTTTCTAGGGCTGCTGTAACAAAGTACCACGGATTAGGTGGCTTAAACAACAACAGTTTATTGTCTCGCAGTTCTGGAGGCTGGAAGTCTGAAATCAGAGTGTCATGGTGGCAGGTTTCGTTCCTTCTCAGGGCTGTGAGGGAGGGATCTGTCCTGGGGGCTCTCCCTGGCTTACAGATAGCCATCATCTCCTCGTGTCTCTTCTCATCATCATCTCTCTGTGTGTGTCAGTCTCTGTGTCCAAATGCCTCTTTTGCATAAGGACATTGGTCAGGTTGGAATACCTACCCCATAACCTTACTATAACTTGATTACCTCATTTAGGATCTTATCTCCAAAAAAGGTCACATTCTTAGATACTGCGGGTTAAGATTTCAACATAGGGAATTGAGGGAACACAATTCAACCCATTATACAAGCAGATAAAATAACTAGTATTTTTTAAAAGAGAGCCTTGATACAACCACAAGACTTCAAATTCAGGCTCATCTTCGATGGTCTGTTTCTGAACTTCGATGCTAGAAGAAAGTGCAGATTCTTAATTAGCCCATTTGTAACCAGTGCATTGCCAAGGTTTGTCACCTGTCCTAGTGTTTCAGTGCCAACCACATAGTTTTATTTGTTTGTATTCAGATCAGAACCAGCTGTGCTGGCACCAGCTTCAGAAATTCATAGCCTATGCTGCATATTCCCAACTGCAAATTCAAATGCCAAGATGTTACAGGCATATTGCAAGCACAAGATGGAATGTGTATTTCCTAAACGTTGAGGCCAAAATAAGGTTCGAAATGGAATAATTAAGATTTAATCAGTGTACATCCCTGCAAGAGAATCTACACATTGAAAACACGAAATGTTATCATTATTGAACATCTGTATTTTTGAAGTTAAATTTTGGTTAATGTTAATGAATTCAATGAATTTTTTTTACACAGCTGAAAATCTAAAGAAAACTAGTTAGCCTGGGGCCTAGACTAGGTGCTCAATAATTATTTGTTGCATACATGAATGCCAAGGATAATGAGATATAGTCCTTTAGCTCAGGGTGCTTTTGGTCCGTGGAGAGATGGACACAGGTAGTTACAACATTGTCCCAAACACAGAGCCACAGGCCCTTTTTGCTCATGCTGGCTTTCATCTAGTAGCCCAGGCTCCTGAGGCTGTGGTCTCTTCTCAGCCTTCTGCTCAGCTTTTCATTTGCAACTCTGCCATATAACCATTCAAATAAAAATAATGACTATGTTTTGAGATGATTATTATCAGTCATGCTTCAGGAAGACTGATCTGGCAGCAATGTTCAGGATAGATTAGAAAAAAGAAAATGACGGAAGCTGAAACACTCTGGGAATGTTAATACAATCATGTGAAATAACAATCAAACAGCTCCCATCCCGCAGAATGCCCCCCATAGAATGTCTGTGGTCCCTTCTGTGTCTCATAACAGCCCTGGGAGGTTACTATCTCCATCCTACAGAAAAGGAATTAGAAGTCCAGAGAAGTTAAGTAACTTTTCCTGTGTCACACAGCCAATGATAAGGGAGGTCAGGTTAGAAACCTGACTCTGTCTGCAAAGTCTACTTTTGTTTTCTTGCCCTACTCTGCCACTGACTAAGTATGAAGGGAAGAGGAGGTCTTACAAAATGCGGACTGTGAGAATAGAAAGCAAGGATTTCCTTTCAGGGTCATAACTGCTTAGGTGCAGGCGATGAATCTGAGGTCAGGAAGGAAGAGGAGGAAAGAGTCAAGCTGCACCAAAGAAGACCAAACTGGCCTTTGCACTCACACATTGGCCAAATGAAACATATATGTCCATGACCACGTTGTCACAGCCCAAAGGTACTGCTTGGCTTGTTTGTAGAATAGGGCCTGAGTCACTTGCTCCTAAGCAAAGTGCCAGCTTTCACAAGGGAACACTGCATATGCCCTGGGCCCAGCAGCCCGGGGATGCCCTTTGTAGATAGAGGGACCTGAGCTCAGAGCAAGGAGACCGGAAACTCATCACAGGCCTGGGGAAGGAGGACTGTGCTTCATACCATTAAGACTGTTCTTAATGGGCCTGGAGAAAATGGCAACATCCCATCTTTGATTTGCAGGCAAGTGACTTTAAGATAAAGATTTATTTCATTTAGTTTCTGATGAATTTGACTTTCTCTCCATCTATCTTTAGGTTTGTGTCTGTTGTGCTCATGTGAACTTTTCCCCTGAAACCAGAATGTCTTTTATCTTTGTATTAATGACAATGCTTCTTCCTGTTTGATTCTATTTTTCTATTCTCTGATAAATAAATCTTTCATCACTTAAAAATTGCTGTCTTTGCTCTTCATACAATACAAATTCCTTTTCATCATTTTAAGTGGAAAGATTGCATCATATAGTATGAATGCACAGGATGATGTCAGCATCCCAACATCTCTATCCCAAATATTCACTTGATGTGTACTTTGGACATCACTTTTCCTGCTGAGAACAGTGTGTCCCTGCATTCTGATATCATGGATCGGTTATAAGCAACACAGCTCCTTTACATCCCATCAGAGCAGCTGAGAATCTATCTAACATGGTTCCTCTAATGAAAGAGCTTTGGTGGGTTATGTTCAGAGGCTTCCTTGATGCTAACTGGATACTCTTCAATGGTGCACATGAAAATACATCCTGCCTCTTGCAGAACGACAGACCAGGCTAGGGATGTTTTCCCATTTGTTAGGAGGTGGCAGTGTGCAGTCTTCCAGTGGGAGTCCCCCAGGGAGGGGACAACATGGAAAGGACCTGAGGAGGCTACAGAGGTGTGCATAAACCAGGCCTGAAAGCAAGTTTGCGCAGTGATTAAGCATGGCAGCCTAGAGTCTGGATTTCAACCCTTGCCAACGCTAAGCAAAATAAGTCAGTCTACCTCTCTAAGCTCCAATTTCGTCACTTCTCCAATGGACTAATCACATGATTCCTGTGGGGATTAAATAAACCAATACATGTAAAGCGTTTAGAATGGTGCATGGCACACAGTAAGCTTTCAGAGGATATCAGTCAGCCCAAGAATAGCACCGTTTCAAGCTTCTTCATGGTTCAATAGGCCAATTGAACAGTATTTCTCTTTCTTTAGGCATTTCCTGGCTATAGGAGAGGAGTGTTATCTTTCCTTAAACTCTGATTTTCAGCCCAAAGAAATTCTGACAAGACCATTCAAGTACTGAGTTCATCCTTACCATGATCTTGCAAGATAGTACTATTACCATCACCCCCACTTTACAGATGACGATACTGAGGCAGAGAGAGCTGCGAGAGTTGCCAAACGTCCCACAAAGGGCAGAGGCAGGATTCAGCTGAAGCAGTGGCAACTCCAAAGTTGGTGCTCCCTACCACCATGCTTTCCTGCCCCTCCAGTAAGTGGTGCCTGAGCCTCACTGAGCCTCGGGGCAGAGACTTCCATTCAGGACACACCTGCTGGACACACCTGCTGCCTTGCAGAGGGTCCAGGCCATGCACACGGGATCTTCTGCACCACCCCTGGCTTCTAGAGAAAGTGGCCCCAAACCACTGCCACATGGTACTGGTGGGGCCCCTCACGGCTGTATTTACTGCCCTTGTTCATCAGCTGACGGCTGCAGGGCTTTGCACCAGGATGCTGTTTCCACCAGACACAGCTGCTGACTCACTCTGCAGCTCTCTGCTTTGCTCTGTGGTTTGTAAACCGTTTAGTTTTTTTTTCCCCCTTTTTTGCTCAGTCTGTACCCCTTTGCTACCCTGTTTCTCTCCCTTTCTTTTAACAATATTAGGAGATTACTTTCCTCTGTAAAATTAAAGGAGTGCCTCTGTCTTCTTAAAAGCCACAGCCGCTCCCTTTCACCCACAGGGTTCTCTGTAGGTGGACAATGCTGCTTGCCACTGTTTTTTACCTCCAAATATGTTTTATTTTGGTAATTACCCTAAGAAAAAATTAGTTCCTCCTTACTGACATCGCAAGGATGTTATTAAGAGAGAGTAAAAAAAAAAAATAGATCTGAAGGGTTTACCCAAGAAAGGTGAGTCCTAAGGTAGAGGTGGTGATGCTACTCAATGAAAGCTCTTGTCTTTCAAGAACTTCTCTTTGTAAATCCTGGTTTGGCCCATGAGTGACCCAAGCCACTTTTAGGCTTTCCTAAACCCTAAGCATTCTTGTTTGGAAATCTCTATTCTATATTCTAAAATGCACCTCGTCACACATTAAATGTTATTGTTTTGGAAGTAAAATAAGAATTTAAAAATTGCTCTTAAAATTTTATGACTGAGAATAATTCCTTTACCACTGACAATTTTTTAACAACCATTGTTCATTTTTGAGAATTCTTGCAGTGAGAAATTTTGTTCTACACACTGCAAAATGCAGCGAATTTTGTTACAAATATTAAATTTAACAATTAATGAGTTTGACATGATGTTACTCTTTCTACCATTTACTTAAACATTCATTGATTTTGCATTTCCAGGTTTCTTTCAAGGTTTGAAAGCTGATGAATTTTGCTTACAGTTCTCTTATTTCTATAGACCCTCCCTTGAAATTCTCACAGTCCTGAGCCCTATGTCTTTATGGCTACTGGGTAAAATAGTCAAGTGAGAAATTAGCTCATCCATCCTTTGGGCATAGAGTTTGCTGCCACAAATTTAGGTCCCCTGCTTTCTAACTCTTCAGAAATAGGAGAGACATGAGATCACTTTTGTCCACTGATTCTGTCCTACACACGTTTATAAGAGAAATGGGTGAGGGACAAATTGCTAAGAGGCAATGCCAAGGTTTGAGTAGATTCCAAGTGTGATTTCGGCAGGTCTGTGGAGTTGCTTTCTCTATGGGAGAAAGTTGACGCTGAATATTTATTTTCAAACAACCGTATGTGTTTATATTGAAGCATCTGTTAGACTGTTAAATCAAAAATCCATGCCTTTTCCTATTCCCAGGTCATATACGGAATTTTTTCAAGTTGTAATTTTTTGGTTACAATATATATACTAAGACCATATGGTTTTCTCATACCATTCTTTGTATTTTCTAAATGCATATTAATAAAATGTTGGAGGCAACAAAACTTGATTGGGAACAGTTTGTATATGTGGTTCTGAAAAAGCAAAGGCTTCCACTTCAATGAGCTACAAGCTGTTAATACATTTCAAATGTGTTGCTAGACTGAAAATGAGCACTTTCCAGCATAGATTCAGAAAAAGCTGACCTTTCTCACAGTGCTATTGTATGGATAAATTCACAAAAATATCCATGTCCATGTAGCCAACATGCAAAGCAGAGTTTATAAGTTGGGTGATATGTACAGGAGGCTAGCGAGGATTTAGAAGAAAATGAACGTAAAATTGATTTTTACAGTATATTACTTCCCTGAGTAGATGTCAGTTAAAGTTACTTTAATCATTTTATCACATCGATTGATATTACTTACACTATAATAAAAGGTAATCTTTTGGTAATAAGTCTAAGGCAGTGCTGTAACTGGAATTTGGGAGGAAAGACCCACCTCCCATCTGTTCTTAAGCTTCTGAAATATGTTCAGCACAGCTTAGCTTCTCTTGGTACGGATACTGCTGTCAATATTTACATGCTGCTGTCTTCTAGGGAGCCATAAACTATCTTCAAGTATTGTAACATAGCAGCTAGAATGATGTGCCTAGATTTTTCTTTGAATTTCATAAAACAAAGCTGTATCTGTATGATTTCAATGAAATCAAGAAAATTCTGACTTTGTCCACCCAGCTAAATGTGATCTCTTTGACAAAGGAAGAGTCTCATTCAGCTTCCCAAGGGGACTTGCAATCACTCATTGTTGGGGTTTTTCTTCTGGAAATGCTGCTTAACACAATTGGCGTTGCAGCACACAGGCAAGGCACTGGTTTCCGTTACGATGCGCTTGCCCAAATACTGGAACTGGGTGATCTGGTTTGAAAAAGAGCCAGCTTTTTTTTTTTTTTTCCTAAACTTCCTCATTTTGAGTGGGTTAATTCTGTTCTAGGAAAAGTTTTCACAGAATTGCTTTCTGAGCGCCAGCAAAATGTTATGTTAGAAATAATGGTGTTTACTTCCATTCTCGATTTTTTTCCATAAACTTTTAGAAGTTCATTTCCTAAATCTAACTTTTATTATCTTACTTGACCTAGCCAATATAAATGGCATTAAGTCATTATTGCCATCCACATAACAGTACTTTGTGCTTCACAAAATAGGAAAAAAAAATATATAGCTCTTTCATCCCCTAAACACCAGGTTGATCTGGCTGTTCTTTTAAGGACGTCAGAAATGGATGGAAGCAGCCTGAACTTTGCCCCATATGAATTCGCTGCATTCCATCTAGGTCTTGAATCTGTTAGATCATCGTCCTAGGTCGGGTTCCCTTGATGCAGAGCTTGGGGTAAGCCTGCTTGTGCAGGTGACTGATTAACGGCATGTTCTCAGGAGAGAGAGAATGGGAAGTGCTGCAGGGGCAGCGCTAAGGAAGTTTCTGGCCTCCTCCAAGCCTCCTTGCAGCTGGACGCTGTTTCAGCCCAATCCCACGGGAGCCCTGAAGCCTGAATAGCGTCATGGAGTTGGTCTTTCCTTGAGGCAAGGGGGCCGGCCCGTGGTACCCCGTTCAGTCCACCCAGCTGTGGGATACCTGGGGGTGGGCGAGGCGGCGGCTCTGTTCAGGCAAGGGCAGTTCTCTGGAGAAGTGGGTGGCCATGGAACGAGAGCAGTCCGCACCCCTGCAGCTGAGGGATGGACGGACAGGCCTGGTGAAGGGAATGTGGGCGGCACACCAATAGCACCTCCTTCCGTCATCACAGAGAGCCTCTTTCCCCTGGAACCTGTGCTCACTGGAGTTTTCCTTCCTCTCCTGACCTCATTAGGCAGTGGCCAGATCCAGCTTTGGCAGTTCCTCCTGGAGCTCCTGTCGGACAGCTCCAACTCCAGCTGCATCACCTGGGAAGGCACCAACGGGGAGTTCAAGATGACGGATCCCGACGAGGTGGCCCGGCGCTGGGGAGAGCGGAAGAGCAAACCCAACATGAACTACGATAAGCTCAGCCGCGCCCTCCGTTACTACTATGACAAGAACATCATGACCAAGGTCCATGGGAAGCGCTACGCCTACAAGTTCGACTTCCACGGGATCGCCCAGGCCCTCCAGCCCCACCCCCCGGAGTCATCTCTGTACAAGTACCCCTCAGACCTCCCGTACATGGGCTCCTATCACGCCCACCCACAGAAGATGAACTTTGTGGCGCCCCACCCTCCAGCCCTCCCCGTGACATCTTCCAGTTTTTTTGCTGCCCCAAACCCATACTGGAATTCACCAACTGGGGGTATATACCCCAACACTAGGCTCCCCACCAGCCATATGCCTTCTCATCTGGGCACTTACTACTAAAGACCTGGCGGAGGCTTTTCCCATCAGCGTGCATTCACCAGCCCATCGCCACAAACTCTATCGGAGAACATGAATCAAAAGTGCCTCAAGAGGAATGAAAAAAGCTTTACTGGGGCTGGGGAAGGAAGCCGGGGAAGAGATCCAAAGACTCTTGGGAGGGAGTTACTGAAGTCTTACTACAGAAATGAGGAGGATGCTAAAAATGTCACGAATATGGACATATCATCTGTGGACTGACCTTGTAAAAGACAGTGTATGTAGAAGCATGAAGTCTTAAGGACAAAGTGCCAAAGAAAGTGGTCTTAAGAAATGTATAAACTTTAGAGTAGAGTTTGGAATCCCACTAATGCAAACTGGGATGAAACTAAAGCAATAGAAACAACACAGTTTTGACCTAACATACCGTTTATAATGCCATTTTAAGGAAAACTACCTGTATTTAAAAATAGAAACATATCAAAAACAAGAGAAAAGACACGAGAGAGACTGTGGCCCATCAACAGACGTTGATATGCAACTGCATGGCATGTGCTGTTTTGGTTGAAATCAAATACATTCCGTTTGATGGACAGCTGTCAGCTTTCTCAAACTGTGAAGATGACCCAAAGTTTCCAACTCCTTTACAGTATTACCGGGACTATGAACTAAAAGGTGGGACTGAGGATGTGTATAGAGTGAGCGTGTGATTGTAGACAGAGGGGTGAAGAAGGAGGAGGAAGAGGCAGAGAAGGAGGAGACCAGGGCTGGGAAAGAAACTTCTCAAGCAATGAAGACTGGACTCAGGACATTTGGGGACTGTGTACAATGAGTTATGGAGACTCGAGGGTTCATGCAGTCAGTGTTATACCAAACCCAGTGTTAGGAGAAAGGACACAGCGTAATGGAGAAAGGGGAAGTAGTAGAATTCAGAAACAAAAATGCGCATCTCTTTCTTTGTTTGTCAAATGAAAATTTTAACTGGAATTGTCTGATATTTAAGAGAAACATTCAGGACCTCATCATTATGTGGGGGCTTTGTTCTCCACAGGGTCAGGTAAGAGATGGCCTTCTTGGCTGCCACAATCAGAAATCACGCAGGCATTTTGGGTAGGCGGCCTCCAGTTTTCCTTTGAGTCGCGAACGCTGTGCGTTTGTCAGAATGAAGTATACAAGTCAATGTTTTTCCCCCTTTTTATATAATAATTATATAACTTATGCATTTATACACTACGAGTTGATCTCGGCCAGCCAAAGACACACGACAAAAGAGACAATCGATATAATGTGGCCTTGAATTTTAACTCTGTATGCTTAATGTTTACAATATGAAGTTATTAGTTCTTAGAATGCAGAATGTATGTAATAAAATAAGCTTGGCCTAGCATGGCAAATCAGATTTATACAGGAGTCTGCATTTGCACTTTTTTTAGTGACTAAAGTTGCTTAATGAAAACATGTGCTGAATGTTGTGGATTTTGTGTTATAATTTACTTTGTCCAGGAACTTGTGCAAGGGAGAGCCAAGGAAATAGGATGTTTGGCACCCAAATGGCGTCAGCCTCTCCAGGTCCTTCTTGCCTCCCCTCCTGTCTTTTATTTCTAGCCCCTTTTGGAACAGAAGGACCCCGGGTTTCACATTGGAGCCTCCATATTTATGCCTGGAATGGAAAGAGGCCTATGAAGCTGGGGTTGTCATTGAGAAATTCTAGTTCAGCACCTGGTCACAAATCACCCTTAATTCCTGCTATGATTAAAATACATTTGTTGAACAGTGAACAAGCTACCACTCGTAAGGCAAACTGTATTATTACTGGCAAATAAAGCGTCATGGATAGCTGCAATTTCTCACTTTACAGAAACAAGGGATAACGTCTAGATTTGCTGCGGGGTTTCTCTTTCAGGAGCTCTCACTAGGTAGACAGCTTTAGTCCTGCTACATCAGAGTTACCTGGGCACTGTGGCTTGGGATTCACTAGCCCTGAGCCTGATGTTGCTGGCTATCCCTTGAAGACAATGTTTATTTCCATAATCTAGAGTCAGTTTCCCTGGGCATCTTTTCTTTGAATCACAAATGCTGCCAACCTTGGTCCAGGTGAAGGCAACTCAAAAGGTGAAAATACAAGGTGACCGTGCGAAGGCGCTAGCCGAAACATCTTAGCTGAATAGGTTTCTGAACTGGCCCTTTTCATAGCTGTTTCAGGGCCTGTTTTTTTCACGTTGCAGTCCTTTTGCTATGATTATGTGAAGTTGCCAAACCTCTGTGCTGTGGATGTTTTGGCAGTGGGCTTTGAAGTCGGCAGGACACGATTACCAATGCTCCTGACACCCCGTGTCATTTGGATTAGACGGAGCCCAACCATCCATCATTTTGCAGCAGCCTGGGAAGGCCCACAAAGTGCCCGTATCTCCTTAGGGAAAATAAATAAATACAATCATGAAAGCTGGCAGTTAGGCTGACCCAAACTGTGCTAATGGAAAAGATCAGTCATTTTTATTTTGGAATGCAAAGTCAAGACACACCTACATTCTTCATAGAAATACACATTTACTTGGATAATCACTCAGTTCTCTCTTCAAGACTGTCTCATGAGCAAGATCATAAAAACAAGACATGATTATCATATTCAATTTTAACAGATGTTTTCCATTAGATCCCTCAACCCTCCACCCCCAGTCCAGGTTATTAGCAAGTCTTATGAGCAACTGGGATAATTTTGGATAACATGATAATACTGAGTTCCTTCAAATACATAATTCTTAAATTGTTTCAAAATGGCATTAACTCTCTGTTACTGTTGTAATCTAATTCCAAAGCCCCCTCCAGGTCATATTCATAATTGCATGAACCTTTTCTCTCTGTTTGTCCCTGTCTCTTGGCTTGCCCTGATGTATACTCAGACTCCTGTACAATCTTACTCCTGCTGGCAAGAGATTTGTCTTCTTTTCTTGTCTTCAATTGGCTTTCGGGCCTTGTATGTGGTAAAATCACCAAATCACAGTCAAGACTGTGTTTTTGTTCCTAGTTTGATGCCCTTATGTCCCGGAGGGGTTCACAAAGTGCTTTGTCAGGACTGCTGCAGTTAGAAGGCTCACTGCTTCTCCTAAGCCTTCTGCACAGATGTGGCACCTGCAACCCAGGAGCAGGAGCCGGAGGAGCTGCCCTCTGACAGCAGGTGCAGCAGAGATGGCTACAGCTCAGGAGCTGGGAAGGTGATGGGGCACAGGGAAAGCACAGATGTTCTGCAGCGCCCCAAAGTGACCCATTGCCTGGAGAAAGAGAAGAAAATATTTTTTAAAAAGCTAGTTTATTTAGCTTCTCATTAATTCATTCAAATAAAGTCGTGAGGTGACTAATTAGAGAATAAAAATTACTTTGGACTACTCAAAAATACACCAAATTCTGTGCCTTCTTTTTATCTTTTAACCTTGGTTTAAAGAAATCTTGTTGACTCACACCTGTAATCCCAACACTTTGAAGGACAGAGGCGGGTGGATCGCTTGAGCCCGGGACCAGCCTGGGCAACATGAGAGTACCCAGTCTCTACAAAAAAATAAATAAATACAAAAAGCCGGGCATGGTGGTGCACAACTGCAGTCCCAGGAGTTCAAGGCTGCAGTGAGCTGTGATCACGCCACTAGCCTGGGTGACAGAGTGACACCCTGATTCAAAAATAAAATAAATTTTTGACAAAGCAGCCCAGATTAATGCTATATAGAAACAACTAGATAAACTTTTCTAACTTGTAATTTTAAACTCATTTTACTGAGTAAAACATCATTATCTTCTCACAAAAAAATGTTAAACTATTATTCTGTTGGAGAAAGTCATAATATTACCTGATTATAATTAGTGCTAGAATATGTGAATTACAAACTTCTGCAGGAAGCATGTTATATGTAGAAACTTTATGGAAAAAAAAAATGGTTTTTTCATGTTCTGTAGCCACATGGCATGTTTCCTAAAGAAGATAATACAGAAATAGTAGGTAGGCAGAATTTCATCCTGATATGACTTCATAAAACAATCTGGAGATGTTACAAGTTTATGACTCATGACTCATTGAATAAGCACAGCCAAACAGTACTAATTAAAAAATGGATGCTCGTCTAGAAGGGAGGTCGCAGGATTAAACCCCAGGCTGCGGCCCTTGAACTTACTTGGTCATACTTTACTCAGATGAGGATACAGAAGCTATCCTGATCTCAGCTCCAAATGCCATGGGGCTGAGATGACAATAGGTTATGTGACACATCCAGGATGCCAAAGAACAGGCTGAGGTGACGGGTTAGATCTTGAAGGTGTTAGGACCTCCATCCAGTCCTCCCCAAAACATCTGGGAGTTTGATGGAGCAGCAGCACATGTGAAAAGACTTCAGCGTTTTGGAGATGACAGCAATGAGATGTAGAATAGCAGCTTTTAATGAGCCATGACTAGGTCAGGTGCTGTATACACACTGCCTCATTACTCCTTCCAACTGCCCCTACGGTACACTTAAAAAAATGTCTTGACAGATTGAACAATTTGCCCAGCTCTGCAGCGTAAGAGGTGCAACAAATGCTTGTTCCAGGGCTAGTTAATTCCAAAAGCTTTTTCTTAATCTTAAGCTATTTTGCCTCATATGGACAGAAAATTAAACGGGAAGGTGACATGACTGCCCAATCTTAGGTTGCATTTTCTGAAACAGGTCACAAACGAGGACTTATTTGTTATACATTAGACTGCAACATCAATTCTGGGCCTACACTTAAAGAGGGACATAGGACAGTTAGTGCAGGTTCAGTGGGGAGAGACAAGGGGAATGAGAGAACCCAGGACCATGTCAAGTAGGGGCTGTCAGTGTCTCTGCTGAAAGTGGGATTACCCTTATCACCCATTGATTCAGGACCCAGCACAGTGCCTAGCAATATCAAGCTGTTGGAAAACGTTTGCAGCTATATGCATGAATGAACATCCAGAAAGGTAACATCTGGACTAAAGGTGGGCTCAGCAGGGATGCCCATTGGCCAAATTCAAGAGAAAGCTTTTTAGAAGTTGGAGGAGGTCCAGATGGAATGGTCAGCCTTTGTCCAGGAGTTCCTGGATATGAGGTGTGCTTATTTAACAACCATGCAACTATTTGCCAGGTGTTTGGCAGCACATGGACTACATGGCTATTTAGGTCTTCTTCGGTCCAGTGCAACTTGGGTTCTGTGAAATATTAAGTGTTGTCCATACATAGAAAGTCAGGGGTGAGAGTCTGAAATCAGTGATGGCTTAGTGGCCTCACTCTTGATCAGTGCCAGTTTGTCCTAAGAGTCAGCAGTACATTAGGGCTTTAGACATTACAGAGACAGTGGAATCACCCCAAATTGAATTATGTTGTGGCTCTGTGTCTCTAAATTGATTGGAGTCCAGTCTGCTTGGAGATTAAAATACATCCTATTTTCTCAGCACTGCAGGGCCCAGGTGAATGGTGAGAAGCAGCCAACTGATGGGATAAATGAACTTTGCTTTCATGTTTTCTCACTTATGAGGAAGACCACCCCCTACAGCACACTTGCATAAAAACATGTCCTGAGGGTGGTTGGTCACAGCCTGCTCAGCATTAGACATGCATCAGCTGAAAGAGTGTCAGTCTGCCTCAGGGGCCCTCAATCCCACTCCAGACTAACAATTTCCACCTCCAAGTCGTCGTGGGATGCCAGGAGCCAGGGCTGATCTCCATTTGCACTCATGAGGTTGAGGCTAAGGAAGGGGTGGGGTGTAGACAAAATATACAAGAAAGAATTTGGTGTAGAAGTCACGAACCATTCTGTAAAGTCTCTTAACTGGAAAGCCAGGATGTATCAAGATGTTAACAACTTTTTATTTTAAGTAAGTTCTCTTATTAATTTTTGGTTTTTCTACTCGGCAAGAATATAACTGAAACTTGTTTGAAAGGTTTGGAGGTGGGTGGATGTGTAACTTGCCCAACCTTTTTAAATTAAGGGTGAAGAGAAAGGAAAAGGCTAGCTGTCCTCTTCTTTTCTATGGCATCAGGGCAATGGTTTCTAAGCTGTCTCATCAGAATTGGCAGCAGGCTGCTGGCAGGAGGCGGAGGCTGGCATTCCAGTTCTAAGTAATTCCAGATATTAAGCTTTCAGGTCCAAAGAGGAGCCTCCCAATGGATATCATTTTCTCCTTTAAACAATAATACTAATTGCTACTACTTTTGATAATAATAATAGCTTAGTGCCAAACAATGTGCATACACTATCTTTTTCATTTAACTTGCACAATACCGCTTTGAGATAGTTTTATCCATATTTTACAGATGTGAAGCTTTGAGAGGTTAAACTATGTTATAAATCACTCTAAGTCACAGAAAAATCTTACAGCTTTCAGGACTTGAAATTGGAATGGCCTTCCTAAGCCATCGCTTGGACAGTCTTCAGGGCATGTCAAATGGAGTGCCCTCCCCTTATCTAGCTATGCTGGGCAGAAGCCCGGTTGTTGGTAGTTATCAGACAGGAAGCAAAGCGCAGCCCTCCCATTTCCTTGCTGCGCCCTTTGGTTTTAGGGCGGGAGTGCTGCTTGCTGGGGACGCAGGCGGACTCCAGGCCGCTTTGATGGAGAACACAGGATACGTGCTGCAGGTGCTCTTCTGGACGGAGTCCCAGCTGCTGGGCCATAACCTGGTGGAGGCGAGTGGGGCTGGGCCCCATGGCTGTGAAGAGACCCACCATACAGCGGCCTCAGGATTTTCTGTCTCCATCCGCTCTGATGCTTAGGGTCAGAGGAAAGGCCCTCTCAAGTCCGGCAGGGCCTGCCTCCAGGAGAATAAATGGCTGTTCCTTTCTTCCATCTTTGCAACCAACTCGGGAGTCAGGTGGATGAAAATGGAAACGTCCCTTTCCTAGTAGGAAGAACATGGGTTAAGCCTGCAGTGGGCAGACCAGCACTTCCACCCTTTCACTGATGTGGTTGGGAAGGTGCAGGACAGGAAGCGACTCCCATTGGACAGAGACCAGAACCGGTTTCCATCAGGGTAGGACCCGCCTCTTCCTGTGAAAGAGAGCGGAAGTGGTGGGAGAGAGCGAGAGTAACAACTGAGTGTCCGTCCCATGGAAACATGCATAGCGAGAAACGAACAACAGGCCCAGATTCACATCCGACAATTCCACAGTTCTCTTTAGAAGAAACCCCTCCCCTCATCATATTTTCTAACCTGAGACCCTGGGCCTGTCTGTGCCTCTGTGCATTCACACTAATGTGACATAGGGCATTTTAAAGTGGAACTATGCAATGGTCACTGGATTTTAAACCAACACTGTCAGGTCCATGTTCACTAAGCCACCCTACCCCAATTAAAAAGAAAATACTAACAGAGGGTCTATAGCTTTCATTCAAGGAAGGCTGAGTACTTGTTAAGATCATAGGATGGGCAACCACAATAGGATGAGCAAACAAACAAATGATTATTCATATGATGCTAGGAAGTTAATTAAGGCAGGAAGAAACTAGATAGAAGGGGTAAGACAGTTGGAAGGAGGCTGAATTGTTAAGTTAGTGTGTGATGTCCAGTTGTGTTGGGGGTGCAGGAGGATAATGAGCAAGACAGTGGGACTATGACTACCCGGGGCCCACAACAGACCAGAGATGCCTATAAAAGGACCCTGTGACTCCTGTGGAGTGTTATACACACCAAGTAAACAAGTGATGCGCAATCAAGCCAAATGAACCCAGGCTATAGAACGTTCAGCTTCAGTTGAGTGAACACTATGTTTTGAGGTCTGTTTACAGGTTGTGATTTCACCAAAGTGTTTCCTTTTCTCAATCCAGTTCTTCAATCCAATTCTCAGTTTTTGTTCCACGGTGTGTCGGGCTCTGTGGGAATGGTTTTTGGAAATAAGGTTACTGTATTATTAGCATCCAAGATAAAATCAGTGGGGAGCAAGAATGTCTGCTCTCATTTACTTAACAAGCATTTGCTAAGAATCTTTGATGTCACAATGATGTAAGAGGTACAGAAAGGTGTTAGGGAGTTCTTGCCCTTGGAGAGATTATAATCTAGAAAGGGAAAATGTACATAAAAATCTCTAATGCAAGACAAGACATGCATGCACCTATCGTGGTTCCCCATCCTAGGAGCCTGACTCTCATAACATAGAGGTCGGGTTTTAAGTCAGGTCTTTCTCAGAGGTAAAACAGCACAGTGGCTCCTCATGGTGGGTTTGGAACCAAACAGAACCTGATCCAAATCCTGCCCTTGCTGCTTTAACAGCTAAGTGAACTTAGAAAAAATGATCTTAACAAGTACTCAGCCTTCCTTGAATGAAAGCTATAGATGCTGTGTTAGTATTTTCTTCTTAATTGGAGTAGGGCAGCTTAGCATGTGTGAGCTGCTTCTGAGTATGAGGATACTCATACTCATATAGTGGGCTGAGCAGGAAAGGCTTATTGAAGGAGGTGATATTTCAGAAAGGGAAGGGTTTTGATGAATAGAATGCATTCCAGGCAGGGAATTTTTTCTTTTCTTGAGCAAAGGCATGGGGTCAGAAAACAATCTTCAGGAGCAAAACATACTAGTGATGGAAACAAAACAAAACAAAACCCAAGCAGTCTGTGGTTTAAAAAACAATATAAGGCCAAGTACAACGTTCATTTTTTGTATTTAATGAACCAAAAAATACTGAGGAGTGGGGCTTGGGGCATCTTGCTACACCTGTGGACCATGTCTGAAAAGTCTTGGCACTTCTGGGTCTGACCTACCATAGTCTGTTGTAGGGGTTCAATCAGGCTGGTGGGAAAAATATTAAAGATGGTTATAGTAACAGCCACAGACTCTCTTGGAAGGCCTGAGAGTTTGCATAACTTCGGTAATAGATCTGGCTGAAGGTGGCCTGGTCCCTTTACCTTTAGTTAAATATATTAAAGTAGTAACAAAGGAATGTGGAGAGTTTTTCTAGCTAGCTTGTTTACTCATGTGGTCTTAAGACTAACCTTTGATTTACCACAGGTGCTTAATTGCTTTCTACTCGGGAAGTCCACATTGTCAATTACCCTGTAGTGGTGTTGACTCGAGCCTTTGTCAATTAATCTTTACCAAATAAATGTAAGTCTCACTAGCTGGTCGACAACTGTTTACAGTACTCTCCAGGGAGTCTGTAAGCAGCTGAGACACTTAGCTGGACTGGCAAAGCAGAATATCTGTGTGTCAGTGTACATTATTCATCTGTCATTGGGTCAGGGTCTGTGGGGCAGACGCCCACAGCCTGTGGTATGAAGAAGGGTTGGAGCACAAGAGAGCGAAAAATTGGCTGCACACATTTTAAAATATAAGCCATTCAAATAATAAGCAGTTTTGGGAGATGTCCCTAAGACTTTTTTTCAAGTGGCTTCTATCTCTTCCTTGGGTAGAGATTATATTAAACAATTGCTGAAAAATATGTAAATATTGGGGGATGATCTAAACATTTGAGGATGAGGGATGTAAAAGCATATTTGAGGATATCTCACATTGCTGTGAAATATAATAGAAAGGTGACAATAACAATATACATTTTTCATGTGCTTAAAAAAAAATAGTTTACAAAGAGCTTACTCATGTGCTGTCTCAGTTCATCATAGCAAAAAATCTTGAAGACAGAAATTTATTTATTCTTTCATTCACAACAAAGATTTGATCTACAATAGTAGATGTGGAATTAGGCCCAAGGAATACAAAAAGAAATAGAACACAGGCCCTGACTTTGTAGACCTCAGAGTCTTGCAGAATTCCTGTCCCCATTTGAAGATGAGAAGTAGAGACTCCAAGATGGTAATATACATCTTAAAACATGTAGCTAGTGAAAAGCAGAGCTTGAACTCAGACCCAGGACTTGGATGCTAGCCAGGTACATTTTCAACCTCCCAGTGCTACTTTCTCAATGGTACTACAAGAACGTGATACAGAAAAAAACAGGAAGCCAGGCAGTTGGTTTGTATATTTACAGAGGTACTGACCTTTCTGTGGAGGGAAATATGCCTATTGTAGGCATTATTACCAGATCTTACGTCTCAGCATCTCATTCCTCCACCCTCAAGCCCAAGGTAGAGTAGTTTAAATTGAACTTCTCAAAGTTCTTGGGGAAATTTTTGAAAACAAAATGTAAAAGGAAACAATAAGAAGAGTAGCAAAACGAGAGAGATGTTGGGAGAAGTTATCCCATTAATGGGAAAAGATTAGAGTCTATAGGATTCACAAGCAATGGGGACCTAGACCATTATGAATGTTTAAGTCCTGGATACTTACAGGAATTCAGAGTGTGGCTCTGCCAGGGAGCTGAAGCCTTGGTTATGCAGATTCTAGCCCCATCAGGGATCCCTGTACCTTTACTTGACACTGAAACCACAACCTATAGGGTTTGGAGCAAAGAGTGTGCACTGAGGACCAGAAGACTTTTGCTTCCAGGATCTATGGATAGAGCAGAACTCACAATGATGATGACATTAAAATATTCAAAATTCTCACCAATTCTTGGTGGAGTCAATTTCATTTTGATTTTATAACAAGAAGAAAATAATTTCTTGCACTACATTCATACCTACTTTTTAATATAGTTGTGTGAGCTATTGATAAAACAGGTGAAAAAAAAAACAAGAAATGGAAGATTAACAAACTTGACTTAATGGGGTTAGAGTACTGCTCCCAACAACTAAAAAATACAAATTCTTACACATGAATCATTTTTACAAATTTACCATGAATAGGTTTATAAAGAAAATCACAACACATTTAAATGACTAAAATAATATAATACCTACTCAGACCTAAAGTAATTATGCTAGATGTCAATTAAAAGTTAAGTAGAAAAATTTACTTAGGAAATATACTAACGTTTCAAAAAAGAAATTACAATGTAATTTAGACAATATGATTTAATATAATAAAATACATATAAAATTTGTGGTATACAGCTAAAACAGCAAATAGAAATTTATAGTCCTAAATATTTATATTGAAATAGAAAAAAAAGGATGATAATTAGTAAACTAAGCATCCATTTTAAAAAGTTGGCAAAAAGGCAGCAAAACAAACAAAAAACAAATAAAAACAATTAGGAAGTGGGATATTATAAAGATAACAGAAATTAACAAATTGAACAACTGAAAATACAGAGAATCAACAAAGATAAAAATTGGAGTTTTTTAAAAGATTAATAAAATGGACAAATCTTGTCTTTAGTGAGAGTACTTTAAAAAAGAAAAGACAGATAATATTAAGAATAAAAATGGGGATAAGTCTATGGTTGCTAAAGACTTTCAAATGATTAGAAGATGTTGTGAACTACTTTATGCCTATTTGTTTGAAAAGTATATTAAATGAATAAATTTGTGTAGAAAACAAACCTAGCAAAACTGACACAAGAAGAAACAGAAAACCTGAATGATCTTACAGCCATTAAAGAAACTGAATTCATAGTCATAGCTTTTCCCACAAAGAAAGCTAAAGTCAGATGGCTTCATCAGTTAGGTCAATCAAATATTTAAGGTCCAAAATTTCCCAAAATATGGTGGAGAATATAAAAAAGAATAATACTCCCCAATAAAATTTTTAAAATTTGTAGGCTAACATAACTTTGATGCCAAAAACAATAACAGTACAAAAAAAGGCCAATTATTCTTATGAATGCAAGATGCAAAAATTTTAACCAAATATTCATAAGGAGAATTCAGCCATGTATAAAAAAGAAATTATATCATGATCAAGGTGGGTTGATCAAAATAGTGCAAAGTTGGGTTAATATCGGGAAATCAATTAATGTATCCCCCACATGAAAACATTATAGGAAAAAAGTATGATTATCTGAATACATATAGAAAGTAAAATTAAGCATCTATATCTTATTAACTACTAGCAAACTAAGAAAAGAATATGACTTCTTTAACTTGATAATAGTGTCTATAGAAAATGTATAGCAAATATTTCACATAAAGCTATATAATTAAAAGCATTTTCTTTGCTGTCAAGAACAAGAAAAAGATGCTTACTATTCAACATAGGTTTGGAGGCTCACCAGAATACTATGGTAAGGAAAAAAGAAATAAAAATGGTAAGTATTGGAATGAAACAAATCTATTATTATTCATAGAAAATATGGCTGTGCATGTATAAAATTCTAATTAATCATTAGGTTAATTTTTGAATTTTATTTAAGAGTTTTAGCAAAATTGTTGGAATCAAAATTCAATTGCATTTTTACATACTAACATATACATTGAGAAGGTTAAATTTAAAAATATATCATTTTCAATAGCATAAAAATGTAATACCTAAGAATAATTCTATAAAGATATGCAAGAGCTTTATGGGAAAACAATAAACCTTCATTTAAAAACATTAAAGACAACGTAAGCAAATGAAGTGATGGATCATGTACATGGATTTAATAATTCCATATTATAAAGATGTCTATTGTTTGCAAGATAATCTAGAAACCCACTGCAATTCCTCTGAAAAAAAAAATCCGGCAGTACATTTTTTTTTTTACAAGCTGTTTTTAAAATTACACAGAGGGCCAGATTGCACAGGCCCAGCTATGCTTGAAAGCACAGCACATGTGTTGTGTTTTTTGTTCCCCTAGGAACTAAATCTTATTATAAAGTTATTGTAATTAAGAATAACAGTATGGATGGCTCAAAAGAGACACAACAATGGAATAGGAAAGTCCATAAACTAATCTAACAGATATGCATACTTGATATAATCAGAAATAGTACTAAACATCAACTCAGAAAGAGTGGATTTTTCAATAAATGAGGCCAAACAACTAGAAATCTTTATAATGGGGAAAATTAATTGGACCCCTACATAATACCACATGTAAAAATCAGTCACACATATATGATTAAGGATTTAAATGTAAAATTTAAACTTATAAAGCATTTTAGAAGGTATTACAGGAGAATATGACCTTGAGGTGCAAAACGGTTTTATAAAACAAGACATAAAAACTACAACCTGTAAAAGAAATATTGATAGATATTACTATATTAACATTAAGGGTGTTTAAATTAAAATATATCATTAAAGAGAGTGAAAAGATAAACTACCTGCTGGGAGAAAGTTTTGTAACTCATATCACCTGCAAAACACTAGTAACCAAAATGTTTAACTATTGTAAATCAACAAGTAAAAACGGTGGGAAATATGCAAAAGAATTGAATAGATCACTTTTCAAGAGTGGAAACATGATGAACAATTAATTATAAACAATGCTCAAGCTCATGGTAACTAAGGGTATATAAATTAAAATCAAAATAATATCTATTTTGCACCCACCATATTGTCAAACATTAAAAAGTCTGATATGAAAAAGCCCGAATAGCCAAGACAGTCCTAAGCAAAAAGAACAAAGCTGAAGGCATCACACTACCCAACTTTAAACTATAATACAGGGCTACAGTAACCAAAACAGCATGGTACTGGTACAAAAAACAGACACATAGACCAATGGAACAGAATAGAGAACCCAGAAATAAGACTGCACACTTACAACCATCTGATCTTGGACAAAAGTGACAAAAACAAGCAATGGGGAAAGGATTCCCTGTTCAATAAATGGTGCTAGGATAAGTGGTAAGTCATATGCAGAATATTGAAACTAGACCCCCTCTTTACACCATATACAAAAATTAAAGCAAGATGGATTAAAGACTTAAATGTAAAACCCAAAACTATAAAAATCATGGAAGACAACCTAGGCAATATCATTCAGGACATAGGCACAGGCAAAGGTTTCATGATGAAGATGCCAAAAGCAACTGAACAAAAGCAAAAATTGACAAATAGGATCTAATTAACAAGCTTCTGCACAGCAAAATAAACTATCAACAGAGTAAACAGACAATCTACAGAATGGGAGAAAAATTTTGCAAACTATACATCTAACAAAGGTCTAATATCCAGCATCTATAAGGAACTTAAATTTATTAATTTCTTTACAAAGAAAAGAAACAACCCTTGTAAAAAGTGAGCAAAGGTCATGAACAGACACTTTTCAGAAGAAAACATACATGTGGCCAACAATTATTTGAAAAAACAGCTCAACATGACTGATCATTAGAGAAATGCAAATCAAAACCACAATAAGATACCATCTAACACCAGTCAGAATGGCTATTATTAAAAAGTCAAAAAATAACAGATGCTGGCAAGGTTGTGAATAAAAAGGAATGCTTATACACTGTTGGTGGGAGTGTGAATTAGTTCAGCCATTGTGGAAGACAGGGTGGTGATTCCTCAAAGACCTAAAGACAGAAATACCATTCGATTTAGCAATCCCATTACTGGGTATATACACAAAGGAGTATAAAACATTCTATTATAAAGACATGTTCACCTCAGTGTTCTCTGCAGCACTATTCACAATAGCAAAGGCATGAAATCAGCCTAAATGCCCATCAATGATAGACTGGATAAAGAAAATATGGTACATGTACACCAAGAAATTCTATGTAACCATAAAAAGAATGAGATCATGTCCTTTGCAGGGACATGGATGGAGCTGGAGGTCATTATCCTTCACAGACTCACACAGGAACAGAAAACCAAATACCGTATGTTCTCACTTATAAGTGGGAGCTAAATGATGAGAATACATGGACGCATAGAGGGGAACAACACACACTGGGGCCTTTCAGAGCGGGGAGGGTGGGAGGAGGGAGAAGATCTGGAAAAATAACTTATGGGTACTAGGCTTAATACCTGAGTGATGAAATAGTCTGGACAACAAACACCCATGACACAAGTTTATCTATGTAATAAACCTGCACTTGTACCCCTGAACTCAAAATTAAAGTTAATAAAAAAAAGTCTGATACAGTTTGGATCTATGTCCCTGCTCAAATCTCATGTTCAGTTGTAATCCCCAGTGTTGGAGTTGGGGCCTGGTGGGAGGTGATTGGGTCATGCATATAGAAAAAAGAAATTTTTTCATGAGCATTCATCAACCAAGAATCCATCAACATTAGATTGGATTAGCCAATGCAGGTATATCCACATAATGGAGTTTATACAGCAATTAATGAAACTAACAAACTCACTGTCGCACCAAAGGGGCATGTAGCAGGACAACATATATGATATGGTTCCATTTATTTACATTTTGAAAGCAGAGAAAGATAATATATTATTTAGGGGTCATGCAATGGTAGTGAAAAAAGCAAAACAAACAAACAAAAAAACGAGGAAAAGCAAGGGAATGATTATTCCAAAGCCAAGATAGTGATTACCTCTCAACGGGAAGAAGAGGGATGGGGTTAAGAAGGGAGAATCAGATCTTTTAAGAGCCTGGCAATGTTCTAATTCTCTTTGTGGTAGTGTTTTCTTTATTGGTTATACATGTTCATTTCAAACACTGTTCTGTATATACAATGTCCCTTTGACTTTAGTTATTTTTTAAATAATATGGAAAAAGAACCCTTCCCATCACGGGTCCAGAGGCCTAGGATGGAAGCTGAGCCCCAGTTTTGCTTCCACCAGGAGCATGCCCCTGTTGGAGCAGTGTTCAGCAATGTTGTGAAATGTGCTGCACTCTAATTGTTCTCTGCAGAGGATGTTTCATGTCCTCCTGGGAGGTGGCTGAGAGTTCACTCTCTGTACCGTAGGTTTCGTTATTCCACAGAAGGTTTGCTTCCTCTGCCAAATGCCCTCTGTTGGTTAGTTATTGTTGATGAAAGTCTGTGCAGAATTCTGTCTTGTTCTAATATGGGTCGCCTATGATTTTCCTCTTTTCAAGAGTGGAGCTTAATTTCCCCACCCTTTTTGTATAGGTTGGACCCAATGATCTGCTTTTAATGAATAGAATATAGCAGATGTGACAGTGTGTGACTTCTGGGACTGGGTCATAGAAGGCAGCGTGGCCTTCTCTTTGCATCACTTATTCTGGGGGAAGAGACTGCCATGTCATGAAGACTTGCAGCCCTACAGAGAAGTGTATGGGATGAGGAAATGAAGCCTCCTGTCAAAAGCCAATTCTCCAGCCCCAGTCAAGCCTTCGTGTAACCTCAGTCTTGGTCAACATCTTAACTGAAACCTCATGAGAGACCCTGAGCCACCAGCCACCCACGTGAGCTGCTTCTGAATGCCTGATCCACCAAAACTGTGAGATAATAAATGTTTATGGAGAAATTTGTTACACAGCAATAAATAGTTACACAGTGACTGATGCATCTTGTTTTCTCTGGACTTCGGCCTGTGACTTCTGTCTAACCTAGTACATCGCGTTAGACCTGAAGAATGGCTAAGCTGAGATAGCCTTGGTAGACCTTAGATCTGCAAAGTGCTCTCTCTGCTTCTGAAATACCTTTGGCTGGCTCTTCTCTCATTCCATTGTGAAAGTATATGACGACGCTCAGATTTTCTGAAGCCAAAGACTATTGCTTAAGGAAATATTCCCCCCACGCCTAGATGTAAAAGGGCTGTTGTAGAAGCATAAGTGGGACCCTGAAATTCTGGATTTTGTAGTTCAAATAGTGTGGGCTTTCAAACCCCACAGGCGTGCATTTATTCCTACCACTTGCTGGTTGCGTGATCTTGGGTATGTCATTTAGTTCCTCAGAAGTTCTCTTTCCTTATCTGTTGAGCAAATAATAGTCACCCAATAAATATACATTACTTAGGATTAAGTTTGCTATGAGAGAAGAAAAACAATGGCTTCATTGAGGTAGAAGTTTGCATCTTTTCTGTGTAAAAATCCAGAGGTGTATGGCCAAGGGCTATTGTGGATCCGCAGGGTAAGAAGATCCAGGATCTTTGTTATCTTGTTGCTCCCCTGTGCATAGTTATGCTGGTCAAACATAGATGCTCTAATTCCAACATATTCATGGAAAAGCAAGTCCAAGTTGGACTTGCACTAGGTATCAGAGTTCTACCAGAAAAACAGAACCAGTAAGATATATATTTATTTATTTCAAGGAATTGGGGGTCTGGCTGGGAAAGCCTGAAATCCTTAGGCTAGCAGGCTGGAAACTGTGGTGGGAGCTGACATTGTCATCTACAAGCAGCATTTCTTCTTTCTCAGTGTGGCTCTTAATGTCTTTCAACATGGCCCACCCACCCAGGCTAAAAAGGATAATCTTCTTTACTCAAAGCAAACTGATTGTTGATGCTAACCACATCTACAGAATACCTTCACAGAGCAACTCTGAGACTTGTGTTGGAACAACTGACCAACACAGGCTACAAGTCTTTTTCAAGACTGATTTCCCACAAGTTGGTGTCTGAGTTGGTACAGCTGAGTGCTCGAGGTGGCAAATCAGGTCCCATCTGCCATGTCATGGAAACTGAGACTGCAAGGTTTGGACTTCAAACCCTGGTTCACCAAGGGATGGAATGAGTGTTCCTCAGCCATGAATCTGAGCTGATGGAATTAAACCAGAGACAGGTCCCGCTGCCTCTTACTGCTGTTGGATCCAAACTCCTAGTCTTTCTAGGAGACATAAGTTTAAAACCCTCCTAAGGGTTAAGTCCCTCTCCCACAGTCAGATGCCAGGCCCTGTAAGCCCTCTGTGCACTGCTGCAGAACCATTATGTCCAACAGGTGATCCACATGCTCACTTCTGCTCCTGACTCCTGGAGTTTTCTCCAACAAGTGCTTCCCCAGCAGGCCCCGTGTGCGTTTCATCAGGGCATGTGTCTTTGGTTGAATAACATCTGCAGTCCAGCTAGCACTAATGAGGAAAGGATAAAGAACAGGGACAAAAAGCATGTGACAGATGTCCCTTAGGGAAGTCCCTATAAGCTGCTGCATGGCATGTGTGATTACTCCCCATTGATCAGATGGTAGGCAGTGCCTGCATCTGACAGCAAGGGGCCAGAAGAATGCTGTCATTGCTCTGTGACTATGGAGAAGGCATGAGAAGAGAGATTGGGGCACACTACAGCTTCCACCAGTGGGGCTACCACCCAGCACAGAGGACCCCTTTGTGTAAATAAGTAAAGGCACTTGCTCAGGGCAGACAAACCCTCTGGGCAAATAATTCATAACAATGTGCCCCTCCCTGGGGTTACACACACTCAAGGCAAGTGCAAGACTGGGTGATGGGAGCTTGGGCTCCATGTGAGCCTTCATTTGCCCCTCAGCTCTGCACCTCTCTGTAGTGCCTGGTCTGCACAGAACCATTTGTTCTCTTTCAGGACTCAGCAATTTCGTGGTGTCAAAATCGTTTTATTTTTATTTTATTTTATTTTTTAATTTTTTTAAATTTTACTTTAAGTTCTGAGATACGTGTGCAGAACGTGCAGGTTTGTTACCTAGGTATACATGTGCCATGGTGCTTTGCTGCACCTATCAACCCGTCATCTAGGTTTTAAGCCTTGCATGCATTAGGTATTTGTCCTAATGCTCTCCCTCCCATTGCCCCCCACCTCCCGACAGGCCCTGGTGTATGATGTTCCCCTCCATGTGTCCATGTGTTCTCATTGTTCAATTGTCACTTATGAGTGAGAACATGCAGTGTTTGGTTTTCTGTTCCTGTGTTAGTTTGCTGAGAATGATGGCTTCCATCTTCACCCATGTCCCTGCAAAGGACATGAACTCATTCCTTTTTATGGCTGCATAGTATTCCATGGTGTATATGTGCCACATTTTCTTTATCCAGTCTATTATTGATGGGTATTTGCGTTGGTTCCAAGTCTTTACTATTATAAATAGTGTGGCAATAAACATATGTGTGCATGCATCTTTATAACAGAATGATTTATAATCTTTTGGGTATATATCCAGTAATGGGACTGCTTGGTCAAATGGTATTTCTGGCTCTAGATCCTTGAGAAATTGCCACACTGCCTTCCACAGTGGTTGAATTAACTTACATTCCCAGCAACAGTGTAAAAGCGTTTCTATTTCTCCACAGCCTTGCCAGCATCTAGGAGTCAAAGTCCTTCAATACCAAAAGTCTGTCTCATGCCCCCAGCCAGGAAATAAAATGCCATCTGAAGGCAGAATCCTGCATGTTTTCTCTTTACAGATCAGAAATGCTCTCTTCTATACTAGTACCTACATAGCAATCCTAGAGGGGTTCTGAACTTGAGATTTTGTGAAGACACTGCAAGGATTTGATGACTGTGACTGCAGCCACACTCTTTCAGGAGCACCAAATATCATGTACTTTACATTTTCATACATCATAGACCACAATATATGCACACGGAGGATGTTCTGTTGTTGATTTCCAGTTTCCTCCTCATCTGAATTAGCCTCTGTATGCAATCCGCCATTCCCAGTTCTATTTTCTTTATTTATCTGTGTTATTTGTTTCTCATTAACATCGTTGCTGGTATAACTCAATGAAAGTAAGAGTCCTGGCACCTGGCAGCCACCTAACGAACATGTGTTGTTGAATCAACAGAAGGCTGAATCAGGAAGCAATTACTTGTAAATGATACAGTTTTGTAAAGTCCAGGGCTCAACTTCAGACAGAGATGCATCCCAGATCTCAAAGGACATCTTCATGACTTGCCCTTCCTCCATCTCTCAGCTTTATCTCCTTTCAGTTGGCCTCAGTCTTGGGCAGGCTCATTTTATGCAACACCAAAATAGTTGCTCAAACTCTAAGCTTACAGAAGCGTTTCTCAACCTCTGCATTATTGGCATTTGTGGCAGAATAATTCTTTGTTGGGGATGGTTGTCCCATGCATTTGTAGGAGGTTCAACTGCATCCCTGGTTTCTACCCAATACATGTCAGTAGCACATCCCTAGAAGTGACAACCAAAAATGTCTCCAGGTGTTCCCAAATGTCCCATGGGAGGTGAAATCACCACTGGTTGAGAATCCCTGGCTTACATCATGGCCTCTCAACCACTCCAACAGAAATAGCATTGTTTTTCCCAGTAGTCTCAAGAGAGTCCTGGAATTGAGTCTCACTCACTGACTTTGGTCACATATCCATCCCCAAACCCATCACTGTAGCCAAATAAATGGGAGGTTTCAACTGACCAGACCTAAGTTTTTGGAGTTAGGGTTTGGTTCAACACATGCAAACTGCAGATGGTTAGAGAGGAGTTGTTACACAAAGAGGAAAAAGGCACTTGTGACCATAGGGAAGAAGTGTCGTGCTGGCCTGAAGGAAGTCTCTTCTCACACATGTAGTCTGCACTGGGCCCATTTCATGCCCATGTCATCGTAGCTTTCAGGCACTAAGAAAATGCATATTGGGGCCGGGTATGGTGGCTCATGCCTGTAATCCCAGAACTTTGGGAGGCCGAAGTGGGTGGATCACTTGAGGCCAGGAGTTCAAGACCAGCCTGGCCAATATGGTGAAACCCTGTCTCTACTAAAAATACAAAAATTAGCTGGGCGTGTTGGCACGTGCTTGTAATCCCAGCTACACGGGAGGCTGAGCCATGAGAATCACTTGAACCCAAGATGCAGAGGCTGCAGTGAGCCAAGATCGTGCCATTGCACTCCAGCCTGTGCAACAGAGCAAGACTCCATCTCAAAATAAATAAATAAATAAATAAATGCATATTATTTTAGTTATTTTAGAATTTTAATCAATAGATCAGAGATTCTTAGCTAGGGCTGGGTACCCTCTAAATTGCATAGAAAAAAATGTTTGTATGTGTGAATTTTTATGATGAGATGGCCCATCGTTTTCATCAAATCCCCAAAGTTTACCATTACTCCAAAATAATAAATGCAACTTCTCTAGAGATTTGCTTCCTAGTTTCAAATTTTTCAGTGGTGAATCAAATACCGACCTAGGAAGAGCCGTTTGTGCTTATTGAATAATATCCTAATTAAATACCCTAAAACTGTTGGTTTGGGCCCACAATTCTTTTACATTAAACTATGTATTTATACATGAAGGATATACTAGTTTATGTAAACCCAAATGTTCTCTGTGGGTATGTCATTCCAAGTTCTCAGATTTTTCTAATGAAGCCAAGAAATTAAGACCAGGTGACACCCACCTTGATGTTTATGGCTCTCTTCCTCCCAGGAGATGTAATTTCATGCAGGAAGGTAATGAGCGCTTGTGGTCTTGCTCCTATTCCAAATGGCTAAAGAAATCCAGGTAGTGAGTGGTCATATTCAGTATAGGAACCAGGTCAACAAAACTTCCTTTCAAGAAACAGCCTCGTGGCACCTTTCTCGAGATGAAGGTCATGGTGGGATCAGATACCAGCATGCCATTGGTTTGCATTAAGGTTTCAGAACCCATGTCCCACTTGGACCTGCTCTGTGATACCTTTGGTGTCTCCTGGTGTGCTTTACACAAGGACATGGCTGGGTCTGTAGGGCATGGGGGTGGCAGCGTGAGTGGACTGGGGTAAAGTCAAAGTCAACACTTGTCCTTTAACTGGTCACTGGCTAACTGGTCACTGGCTAGGCTAATTCTATGCCTCCTCTGAGGAAAACCTCTGGCATTCTCTTTCCTGGGAAGGCTAGCTTTGCTATGATGATCACCACAATATCTGTGTATGTCTGAGGACTTGAATTCAAGGGCATTAAGTCATCTTCCCAATACTTTTGTGACTTTGCAGTTATTCCAAAATCCCTGTCTCTGGATGGTGTGGCTTTGTTTCTTCTTGCCCAGCTGCCCAAGGTATTCCCTTCTCTTGTTTCTCCCCTCTTTCCTCAATCCCCAACTCCATTCCCTTTCTGGTTCCTCTCCAGTCCCAGAAAAAATTGTCAGGGATAGAGTAGAGATATGTGAACTTACAGAGTTTCTTCCCTGCTCAATAAATCCAAGAGCAGGCAGATAAACTGTCCAAAATATTTCTTGAGAGTTCCAGACATCATGGCATGGATGGAAGTATCCAGGGACTTGAGGTCCCTGTGAGGCTGAAAGCAGCCATGGTGGAATTACCAGGCGGGAGTGTGGCAGGGGAGGGAGTGAAGGGCCACCTTCCTGTTTTCCAGGGATTGCTCTGATGGGTTGAGGGAGAATGATCTGGGTGGGAGGAGTGACTTGCTGTAGGGTGACCTGAGCAGCTCATAATTCTGCAGGCTGATAACTCTTAGAGTGCTGGAGGGAAGTGGAGCCAACAGCCATTAGGGAAGACTGGAGATCATGCTGGGGGAGCATGGTGAACTTGAGGGCAGGGAAGGTGGACATAGAGAGAGAAGAGCCCCAAACAAATCTTATGCCTTTCACAGTAAAATAAAACCTATGGTGACAAAAATCATCTCCTAAAAATTGGTACTGGGGCAAGGCTGGGCCACAAGAAATTGTAATTGGGGAAGATGGGTTACCTTTACGTCAGAAGTGGGGGAAAGTGACAAAGGGGTTGAGTTAGGAGAGGGAAAGGTTGTGTGTCATGGGTGCTAGAAATTTAAGTCGTGGGATTAATGAGAACAAACTGGTCCACAAACCGTGAGTCCAGAGAGGTGCTGCCAAGCAGAGGACAGTGACTGAGGGTGTGCATAATGACAGGGAAGGCTCCTGGATAGAGAAGGGCCACAGTGCTGGGCATGAGCCCAGGCAGGCTGGAGAGTTTGTCCTCTGCCCCCTTCTTGAAGGTGTCATGCTCTCTCACTGTATTAGTCCGTTTTCATGCTGCTGATAAAGACACCCAAGACTGGGTAATTTATAAAAGGAAAAGAGGTTTAATGGATTCACAGTTCCAAGTGGCTGGGGAGGCTTCACAATTATGATGGAAGGCAAAAGGCACATCTTACCTGGCAGCCAGCAAAGACAGAACGAGAGCCAAGCAAAAGGAGTTTCCCCTTATAAAACCAGTAGATCTCGCGAGACTTATTCACCACCACGAGAACTGCCCCCATGATTCAAGTATGTCCCACCTGCCCTCTCCCACAACATGTGGGAATTATGGGAGCTACAATTCAAGATGAGATTTTGGTGGGGACACAGCCAAACCATGTCACTCACCTTCCTTGTATTTGCACACAGGTTCTCTCTCCCTGACATGCACCTGCCTATGCCACCACCAGGTCAGTGCTCACTCGCCCTTTGAGATCTCCATTCTGCACATGCTGGAGTGCCCCAGGTCCTAAGAAGACACCTCTTTCTACACCCTCTCTCTGGTTGATCACGTATAGCCTCATGACTTTTCATACCATTTGCATATATTGAGTTTGCAAATGTGAGACGATGACTCCAAGTTGTACCTGTAGTTGACATTTTCCAGGAACTCCAGCCTCTACCTAGATGTCTAATGAGTATCTCGAACTTAACATATCCCTAAACCAAATCAAACTCTCCCTAATGCCATACATCAAACTCCAATTTGGGTAGCTCTGCTGTTCAGAAAACATTACAAAGTCAACTCACCTCACACCGTTCCAGCAGTGCCTCTGTAGTCTGGTACCCCAAGGGCCCCTGTGTCGGTCAGCACTCTCCACATCTCCAAGGCTTACGACGACAGCCATCTCATTCTCACTCCCACCTCTGTCATGGCTGTGTGCCACGGTGGCAGCCCTGCTCCATAGGCTTTCCCATTCTAGGACCTGGACTGGAGGGTACCCCCTGTTGGAAATGCCTCTTCTCAGAGCAGAGGGAAAAAAGCAAGAGCCAACCAGGCAATGGCCCTCAAAACTTCTGCTCAGATGTGGCCTTTGCTCATGTCCCTCGAGGCAAAGCAAGTCACATGGCCAAATGCGCAGTCAATAAGGTTGGAGGGGTACACTCTGTCCCTGGGAGAGGCAGGCAAGGCCCATGGTAAAGGCAGAGGATGCAGAATCCTGTGACGGCCAAGGAGCAACTCAATCTCCCATCAGTCCTAACTTGTCCCCCTACTTCTACTCTCTCCTCCCTCACCAATTCCATTCTCTACACATCAACTAGAATAATTAAATACATGATTTAAAAACTTCATCTGACCATATCACTCTTCCCTCAGACCCTCCAATGGTTTCAAGTCCACTTGGGGTAAGAGAAAAAGTTGTAATCCTCCTAGTGGCCAACAATGCCCTGCAGAACCTGACTGCACACCAGCCTCTGACGGGTTCTGAGACTCTGTAGCCTCCATGTCCTACCTCATCCACTCCACTCCCAGTACACCGACTGCCCTGCAGACCCGCAAAATCCACTCCTGTCCCAGCACCTTTGCACTTGCTGCTTTCCCTGTCTGGATACTCCACAGCTCACTCCCTCACCCATCACCACCTCAGCCCCACCCTGCTGAGACCTGCAACCCCACCTGGCCCCCAGTGTATCTCCTGCTTCCTCATTTCCTCCATGGCACCCAACCCACCACCACCTTCCCGTGCTTGCAGGTTCACTGCCTCACCAGAAGGAGAGTTCGTCTACAGGTCTGGTGGGGCAGCACTCAGTCTTGATTACATCTGCACCCTCAGAGCTCAGAGCAGGTCTTGCCGCACATCCCTCCCTTGGGTCTTCACTCTCCCATCCCCATGTGATTTGGGTTTCTCCAGGTCTTTGGATATCCCTTCATGCTGATTTCCAGTACACAATTCTCCTCTCACATTATGGTCCCCATCCATCACCTGTGGCTGTTGGCAGTGGCAGACGGAAGGTGTGGATGGCACTGGAGACCTCAGGGTAGCAAAGCCAGGGCAGAGAACAGCTCGAAGTGAGTTGTGGCTCAGCTCACAAAGGTTCTACAGGCCAGAGGCCTCTGCCAATGCCCTCCACACAAGAAGAGCAAACAGGGCAGCCTCAGGGTTATGCAAGAAGCAGGGACCTGGCTCTGCTACTCCAGTACCAGGACCATCCCCTCAAAACAGAGCACAGAGAAATTCCCCTGGGAGGACGTGGGCTGTGTAGATGCTGGCTGGACCCAGGCTCTGCTCAGGCCACAGCAATTTCTGTCCCCCTGCCTAGCACCAGGTGTGATCCACTTCTGAGAGGGCCATGGGAAGACAGTGGAGATGTGTCCCGGCCCTTGCTTTATTCTCTTTCTTAACCCTTTTTACATTCAATTTTTGAATGAATGACATGTTCTCATAATTCAAAAATTTGAAAATATGATATATTATCTCTTGCCTTCCCAGACCCCCTATAATGACTACTAGACCATTCTTTGTGTATCTTTTTAGAGTTTTTTAAATGTATATCCAAGAAAACATGAATATAAACTGCCTTTATTCACATTTTTTGTAATATAGAACGTGCACACTACCATTATGTCTTGCTTTTTCCACTTAATGCTATACATTGGAGACTTTCCACATCTGTTCATAGAAAGCTTCCTGATTCATTTTTCAGAGCTGCATAGTATTCCATTGCTGAATGAACTACATTTTATTTAATTTTCCCCCCATTGATGGACTTTCTGGTTGGCTCCAATCTTTTTATTATACAAATGATACTGCAACAAGGTACCATGGGCATATGTAAGAGAATTAGCAGAAGCCATAAGTGGTCCATTGGTCCATTGGTTCATATTTTTTAACAGGGAACAGTTAAAAAAATTTACTTACAAGTGATTTCCACCCTAAATGCATGTAAATCCTCCTCAGAGCTTCTAAAATCTACAGATGCTCAGACACACCTGAGATAGGGCCCAGGGATTGGTCCTTTTCAAAAGCTCTTCAGGGCATCTAATGCATGGCCGGGGCCAGGCACTGAGAGTGTGAGGAGGAACTGAATTTTAGGAGGAGAGGTGAGGCTGGAGAGAGAGGAAGGGGTTGGGGCTGTCTCTGCTGTGAGGCACTTTCGAAAGATAAGTGGGCAAAGAGTTTCTTTTTTAGTAAATTTAGCTGTGATGTGACAGGGTGCTTTCTCCCCACCTCCCTTCAAGTGGCAATTAATCAAGGCCTGCATTACTTGGTAAGGGGTGTGGACCTACTCTGAGGTCTTTCAGCTGTATAACTCTGTGGGACAGGCCTAAAGGGGCACCCATATTTATTTCCTCGGGTAAACACATGTTGTCGACTTATGGGGTCTCCACACAGGTGTGTGAGGCCTATGCTGTTAGAAGCTTTATTCTGTAGATGGAGATGCCAGGGCACAGAGGGTTTAAGTAGCCTGCCTAGGGTCACACAGCTCAGCAGTGCAAGACTGACATGCAGGCCTAAAAGGTGAGGTTTCCCGCCAGCTGATGTCCTTCCCTGTGACTATCAGGACTTGCAGACTTTGGGCACTTTGTAAGTGTCGTTTGTCTGTTGCCTTCATCTTTCTAAATCCTTTTCTATCCCTGGCCCCCTGGAACTTCTTTCACATCAGCTTTCCCGAGGGTAAACCATGTCTAGGGTGAAGTGTTTTCATGGCATCCTTTTCTTTTTCTGGGAAAGGTGCAGGGAGCACTTCAGGATGCACCGTCAAAACCCTCCCCCCGCCGCCATTCCACCAACCCCCACCAGGAAGGCCTCAGAAGCCTGGTGTGCAGCAGCCCCCGCTAGGAACACAGGAGGGTGCAACCCGAACCAGCGCCTCCCAGATAAGGGCCTGGCAGGCAGGGACTGGGCAAGTAACCATCCTACCTCATATAGAGGCATCCTGGGGGCTTCCATTGTTCGCTCTCCTGGGAACGCCCAGGGCTGCAGCCTTATCTGCTGCTGGCACAAGAGGCATCTTTTCTTATTGAATCGGGAACAGGATCTTGATAAGGCAGCCTTGGCCATCAGGGATCATCAGTTTTAACGTTCCTTTCTCACTCTGGAATAGAGCAAGATTTGTGGAGGCTGTGTGCTATGAGCAGGCAGGGAGGCTCAGCTTCCCCAACCCACCCAGGAGCCTGGAGAGAGGTCTCAAGACTGAGCCTGTGGGTGCACCCTTCCCTTGTTGAATATCACTGTATGTATGTGTGTGTGTGTGTGACCATGTGTCTGCCTGTCCGTGTGTGTGTGTATCTCTGGTGTGAGTCCCTGTGTGTAAATGTTTCTATGTGCATCTCTGTGTATGTGTTTGTGGCCCTGTGTCTGCCTGTCCGTGTGTGTCTGTGTATGTATCTCTGGTGTGTGTCCCTGTGTGTATATGTTTCTGTGTGTATCTCTGTGTATGTGTTTGTGGCCCTGTGTCTGCCTGTCCGTGTGTGTGTGTGTGTGTATCTCTGGTGTGTGTCCCTGTGTGTCTATGTTTCTATGTGCATCTCTGTGTATATGCTATTGTGTGTTTTGTGGGTTGCAGTCTCAGAGCTCTAATTCCTTTGAAACAGCCTTTCAATCCCTTTAGGTGGGGAAAAGTTTGGAGTTGTTAACCCCGTTTTACCGGAGAAGGTCCACTAAAGAAGAACCAACGTCAGAAGCTTTTCTAAAAAGACACCCTGAGCCCAAAGAGTTCCTGGCTCCAGAGGAACTCCCGCCCAGGAGGAGATGGGCACGAATCCCACGGCCCACGAGGTGGCGCTAGAGCCTCACGCACCTGCCCCTGCGGAGGGAGCACGGAGTCCGCACTCATTACCTCTCTGGTATTTTACTGCCAAGGCTGCGTTTATCACTCTAGAGTAACTCAGAGGCCAATTGTGGCACCGCACGGAACTCCCCAAGGGCCATAGCCTCGTTTTGTGGACGCTGAGACTCAGGACCTGCTAGGGTCTGGGCAAAGGGGGCTCAGTACATTGGTTGCGATGACCAAAAATAAGCAGAACCGTGATCACTTTGATGACAATATATTCTAGAGTTTCTTAAAAAGTATTTTTAATATTGTTTTGCTTTCCACAAGTTGGGTGCAGTACAATTGAAGAAGGGGATTCTGAGGCCTTTCATCTGTCAGAGTTAGCGTAGGGCTGGCTGTGGAGCTGGAAGTGGGGCATCTGTCACAGAACCCCCCGAAAGCTGTTGAGACTTGGGAAGAAGATTGGGACAAATGAGTTTCATGGGCTCCTGCTGCTGGCTGGAGCCTGTGTCCCCAGGTCCAGGCCTAAGGAGGAGAGGACTTCAGAACTGACCACCTTCAAGTCTCCTGCTGGCGGGAGCTTCCATGTCTCTCTCGGGGACCCAGTGTCCCCACAGGCTGGCCTGGCACAGGCCTCATGGCTGTGGGCTGGTGCTGGCACCCACTCCTGCCTGCCTCGCTCCTGCTTTTCACCTGTCCCCATGCCCATGAAAGGGTCAGCATCCACAGCTGCAGCCACCAAGCCCAACCTCTGGGACAAAGACGTGTCTTGGTTTTGGCCTTTGGGGCTGGGCAGCCCAGGTGTTGTCACTCAGACTGTTCAAGGACCTCTAGGGCTCCCCTTTCCCACTGTGGCCAAGAAGACCTACATTTCAGGGCCCAGCACAGCAGACACTTTCACCTTCTAAGCCTCTCATAACCAGCTTCAGCCAAAATGACCCCTGTCCACCCCAGCCTCCTCTTCTGCATTTTCCAACTTGCCTGGCATCTCCAGGACCCGGGAACCTTAGCACATCTCTACCTGCCTGCCTACAACGTCCCCAAGATGCGGGACAGTGGCCCCTTGCCACCCCTTAAATTCTCTCTTGCCCCCAAGGCACCTGGGACAAACCTTGTTCTTAAGAAGAGTAGAACAAATATTCATAAAATGAATTAATGTCCAAGCTCTTTCTTTCCCTATAGAGTCCTTGCTTCTCTGCCTCTCTCCCTTCTTCTCTCTCTCTTTCTGTCTCTGTCTGTTTCTCTCACCCTCCATCCTTATCTAAAGCTGGCAGAAAAAGAGACTTTATTTAAACCCAGGGGCAGGAACTTGATAAGGCAGCTTTAACCATCAAGGATCATTACTTTTAATATTTCTCCCACACTCCGCAGTAGATCTGAGCCAAAAGATGGAGAAAGGATTCCCCTGCTCTGGAATATGGGAAGATTTGGGGAAGCCAGTGTGCAGAGGACAGGCTTCCACCACGAACCTGGACAGGGCCTGGAAAGAGATCTTGGGACTAAATGTGTAGGTACACACTTCTCCTGTTAAATGCTTCTGGGAGAGTGTGTGTGTGTGTGTGTGTTTTGTTTGCTGCAATATCATATTGCAGTTCATATTGATGGGAGAAGTTTGCAGTTGGTCCCCCACTTAACTGGAGAGTGACCTCCAAAGAAGAGCCACTGTGAGAGACTTTGGAGCAGCAGATCTACAGATGGCCCTTGGGGTGTGGGGACACCACAGTTATTGAAACACAGAGCCTCCTGCAGACTGCACCGGCTGCGCCCTCCAGGGCCCAGGCTTGGTCCCTCTTCCCATGGTGCATGGGAATCTCTCCACACACAGGGCTGTGCTGCTCTACTGAGTCAGCGTAGAGTGCTTGATGGCACGAGGAGAGCGGGGCCGGCCAACGTCATTGGATGAAGGCTTCAGTCGTGTTTCCACAAAACATAGACGTGTTCTCCTTTGTCGATCCTCAGTAAGGGCACACCAATGTGATTTCTGTTATTAATATATGCTCTTCAGTTATTCACAAAAGGTGATGTGTCCCAGCACTATTACCATCTGTGAAGGCTTGTTTTGCTTTCTATCTCTTAATCAGATGTCCTCAAGTTCAAAGAAGCAGTTTATTATACATGTTTGGTCATTGATGCAACCACCGAAGACATCATTGCTTTCTAGTGAAGGGAAGCGTCATTCCTTTTTAGTGAAAAATCATTAAATTTGGAGTCAGAGTCCCCACCGCTCTCACTAAGAACCTGTTTCCATGTGTTTGTGTGTGAGACACTCATTGATTACTTCAGCTCCTTCTCAGATAGAGTTCAGAAAAGCACCTCAGATTTAATGAGGAAAATGCAGGCATATGAACTCCTAATGGAGTAAGGAGAAGATGAGAGACCATTGTGCTTCTCAGGTGACCAGAAACTCCTGTTATTTTAGTGTAATACTGTCAGCCTCCCATTTGTTCACTCCAAGATCATTTATTAAAGAAGATGGAGAAGGAAAGCAACTTGAGCTGAGCACTTTCAAGGGGGCGGGTGCTTGCTGCATGCAGGCTGGGGTCTGAGATGGATGGAGCTAGTCCCTGCCCCCTAGGAGCACAAAACTGAGTGCAGCAGCTCTAAAAATCAGGCCCCCAGACCACCTGCATCTGAATCACGGGGTTTGTGTGCTAACAATGTGCATTTGTGAGTGTGGCCTAGATTTATGCTGCCTTTACTGCCCATGCTACAGAAACACCGCCTGGTGGGTAACCTGGACAAGTCAAGTGAAATCCTAGCCCAGCGTCGTAAGTGGTGTGTAAGGGAACAGCCACTGAAAACCAAGATGATGGCAAACACTTGCTCATGATCTGTCACAGGCCTGCACCGAGTGCTGCAGGTGTGAACTCCTGTAATGCTGCAACAACCATTCTAGGTGGTGTCTGCTGTCAGCCTCATTTTGTGGGTGGGGAAACTGAGGCACAGAGAGGTCAAGTAACTTTCCAAGGTCACACAGTTGGAAGGCTGAGGGGATGCTAAACACAGTGGTCTAGCTTCAGAGTCCAGGATCTTGAGTGCTAGGCTACCCGGCCTCTGCTGGGGTGTTAGAAGGAAGACCCTCTGTGTTAGAAGGATAACTAACCACTTAGAAAATTCAGTCTTTGAAGGTTTGGCTTGAGTTGTAGATTTACAAACTGGGACTGAAATTTGGAAATACTGGACCCGATGAAATTAGAGAGAAAGAATGGTTTGATTGGAAGAGAGACAAACAAAGGTATGCAGGACCTTTATAAGGAAATAAGTAAGAATGTTTCCCTTGGAAGAAGCCCTGGGGTTCCAGTCTGAAACTACAGTTGAAAGAAGGAGAGGACCAGCTGAACCTACCTGGGGCCCCATGGATGCTTCTTCAGCCCAAGGAAACAATTTCATGCTCCTCCAAGAGATGGCGCTGGCGTTTCTGAAACCAGAATGGGCATCTCTCATTCCAAAGCTCCGCAGAAGTCTTTGGGCTCCTATTTTGTTTGTATGATTGCTTCAAACTTGGAAAACCTTTACCTCTGTTCCACCATAGTAGGGAAAATACACTCCTCTGCTGGTATTAGGTTGACCAGGCAACTGGCCATAATCAAAGCTTTTAAAGCTAAGTGTCTATAGATCTGTAGGCAGGAACTGAGAAAGAGAACTCATTCCGGTTGAGTATCCACCAGGTGAGGAGTTGCACAAACCCCTAATCTTCTCGACCATGATTCTGTTGAATAGGTTATTATTTTTTTAATCCTGAAATCAAGGCTCTGAGTGGTGAGACTGCTTGCCAAGCGACATGGCCCATGCATGCTGGAGCTGGGATGGAAACCCGGGCAGATCTGATGCCTCTGCCAACTCCGTTTCCACCACACCACTCTGCCTTAGAGGATTGTAAAGATGTCTGTGCCTATGAGACGAGCCATCAGTTATCATGTACTCTGAATATAATGCGCCCCCACACCAAAAAAGGGAAGTTGTTAAATTCCAGGTGCTAATTTGTTTTCTTAGTATTTGCTTTTCTCCTGAAGGTGGAAGCCAATCCGATTAATTGAGGGCTTCAATTAGTTGCGTGCAGGCTAGCTCTAGGGTTTCGTGTGCTTCCTGCTCCAAATTGCTGTGTGACGAATCACTCACAATCCACACAGCTTAATATCCCTTACAGGAACAGTCAGTGAGGACTTCCTTTTTAGGAAATGAAAAGCAAACAGAAAGGTCTTTTATTTCAAGGTTCTTGAATTTCTCACCCTCTGGTCCTACTTTACATCTTCAAAGCTTAAGTGTGAAACAAAGGAAAAGTAGAAGAAAAGATGTGTAACAGGAGGACCAGAGTTAAGAGACTCACAGAATCATTCTCTCTCCCTCCCTCTGTCCCTCTCCCATTCTCTTTCTTTCATTCCTCTCTCCTAACCTCCTGTTCTTCCTTCCTTTCTCTTTCTCCTTCCCTCCCTTCCTCCCTTCCTTCCTTCCTTCTTTCCTTTCCTGCCTTCCTTCCTTCCCTTTCTCTCTCTCTCTCTCCCCCTGTCCTTCCTTCTCCTTTCTCTTCCCTTCCTTTCCCTCCCTTCCCTTCTTTCTTTTCCCTCAGTATGGGGTGAGGAAGGATTAGTTACAGCCAGCAGAGGCTATGGAAGCCAAAGCTTCTCCGATTTATACGTGCACATGCGATCACTCCAGGATCTGGAAAAGATACAGACTCTGAGTCGTGGGTCTGAGGTGAGCCTGAGCTTCAGCATTTCCAGCAAGCCTGGGACATGCTGGGCAGCAAGCCTCATGGAGGCGTCAAGGAATACAGCGCCGAGCATCAGCCGAGCCTGGTCTTGCTCTGATGAGGCCCAACGGGGGCTGGTGACGGCAATGAGGAGGCCCGGCCCTTGCGAGCAGCCAGCAGCGCCAGGACCAGCTGTCCTGAAATCTGCAGGCTTGCATCTTGGCTCTTGGGGATCTTTTGAGCTCAACAGGCTCCCATGAAGTCCAGGGAAAGGGACTGAGGAGGTGGAGAGGGAGAGATGAAGACACGGAGGGCATCGTGTTGGGCGTCCCTGTGAATGGTGGAGGAGAGAGAGGTGATGGGATGTGCCCCTTTCAGGCTGGACCCACCCAGCCCCTCTGAGCTTCAGAATCCTCCAAACAGAGAATCAGAAAACACCCCAGATGTGAGATTAGGGTTTTCCAAAGTGTGGTGCAGCTACAAAGGCAGCCCAGTCTGAGTTTCCAGGGATGGGACCGCTTGCTATGCTGCCCAGGCAATTCTGACCCACAGCAAAGTTAGATAACCACATCACCACAGCGCTCTCCAGCCTTGAAGGCTTCTCCTTCCCAGTGAGCTGAACTCTCTTCCCTACAGATGTCTCAATAGGCTTGGGGGAGGGGCTGCTGTACCCAGTCCTTCTCTCTCTCCAGAGGAACTGGAGGCCACTTAAACCTGGTCCCATAGCTGCCAAGAGTGGGGCCAGGACAGAGTCCAGATGGGTGGCCTGCCCCCTCTGCACAGCCACCTCCTTCTCCTCTTGCCCTCGGCAATGCCCTGCTCAGCAACCTACTGCTTCCCTCTCAGGCATTTGCTCAAGTCTGTATCTCTTGCCTCCTATCCCAGTATTTCCAACCCACCTGTGTAATGCATTCCTCACCTGACAGCACACTGAACTTTCCGATCAGATCCCTGACTGCCTCTGCCTCCACGCACACATTTTCTTTGGTTCCCAGCTACTACAGAGAAAAGCCCCACTCGTTACTTCTGAAGAAACTCGGCAATTTGTCAGTGGCTTACTTGCCACCACTCCGCTCCGCATTTCCCAAGCTTCAGCCATGCTGACCACCCCATTTTCCTCATTTCCAGCTTCCTCAGTTTGCTTATACTTGGAAACTCATCTTTCTAGAGCTCCTTAGCCCTCTGCTTCTCCCTGCCAAAATCTTTCCCATCCTTGTAGGCCCTGCATAAATACTCTTTTTCTCTAGTGACTTCTGTGAAGTAACCACTCCCTCCTTGGACTGCCTGTGACATTACAAATGCCACTGTGTAGCTGGAAAGCTCTTTGCGTCATTCAGAAGTGGGGTCTTATTCATCTTGAAATGCCCAGAGCCTAGCCCAGTGCCGGGCACTTTGCAGATGTGCAACACTTATTGACTGGCTGAGAGAGTGAATGAATTATTGAATGAATGACTGTGTACACATGGCCCACCCTAACCATTTGAGCTCCATGATCCCCAGGAATTTAGGATCTTCTACTGATTGATGAAGGCAATTAAGCAGAATTTTTGTGTCTTTAGCCCAAAAGGTATAAACAAATATTGTTTGCCCTCTGTTTATCTTTCCCTGAATAGATAGTTGGTAGCAGAAACGTGACATCATAAAGGCTAACCACAAAGATACACCGGAGAAAAACTGATTCTGTTGGTCAAACAACTAAAATTGTCTGTGTCTTAGAATTTGTGAATATTATTTATTGGATTTATTCAAAGATAATGGAAACTGTTTGTGCTCTTATACTATGAACTGTGATTCTAAAACCATTTTCAAAGTCAAGTCAAGTAGTTTAGATTTTGGTTGACTGACCTTATTAAAAGAGTATGAAAATAAATCTTTTGAGATTCACTAGGATAGACGTCAGAGAGACCTGAGATGCGTTAGTCTCTAGGGAGTGTGGGCAACAAATTAGATGAAGTAGGTTATCTTATTTCATCTTGGAGTCTAGCCAGGCTCCCGAAATAAGATCGTCCCCACCTTCCACTTAAGTAACTAAACACATGCTCCAGCCATGGAATTACCCAGATCACTGATGCAGTGATGTTTTCTTGGCTCCAGCCTTTTAGATCAGTTGTCCACTCTGCCCGTGTTCCCCAGGTAATTCGCAAACACTGTTCCACTTTGCTTCCTGTAACTATAGCCAGAGACATGTGGAACAGTCAAGAGAGTCACTATTTCCATCACTGTTCATGAGCAATTTTCTTACTTAAACCACATCGCTCCAACCCTCCCCTCAGAAAACAACCCAAACCGAGAATATGTTTTCTTAAGAAACCTCAGTCAAATATCTCGGCTAGTTTTCCATTTTCTTTTAGCAGATTCCAGGAAACGGGGGTGTAGGGGTGCCTTAGGAAGCCCCAACTTCTGAGATTCCAGACAGGACCCTCCCATCCCCATCCTGAGAAAGGTTAGCTAGGGGTCAGGTGTGTGTGTTTTGTTGCGTTTTCTCTTTCTCCTAGTACAAGCAAAAGGATAAGTTCAGGTTTTTCTGCTTTATTCTCTCAAGAAATGATTGCTTAAAAAAAAAGATGGTCACACGTGAGGTTTTCCTTTCTCTTAGGTACAGATGGTGACAATTACTGGGACACTTAGCTACTTGTTTCTATGCAGTGCTGGAACCTCAGTGAATCTTAGCAAAGACCCTGCACTCTTTCCTGTGAGCAGCTGCTGCCAGGGACTAGAGAGAAATGAGGCGAGACCTGTCTGTTTCACAGAGTCTCCATTCCCCAGGAAATCCTTCCCCAAATCACTCATGATTGTGCTCGCCAAGGCTTCATAAACAAAGACATTTTCCCTACCAAGACCTGCAGTATGTAGGAATCCCTCTTTCCTTCAAACCGTCAGACCTCTCCCACCCTCAAGGTGAGAAGTCTCCAGTGTCCTGGGAAGCAACGAAATGTGTGACTCAGTTGCCTGCCTTGTAACCATCCCGTGAGGGGCCACAACCCATGGGACCTGCACCTTCTGAGGCAGGTTGACTTTCTGGAGGTCTCAGCAGAGAAAACGAAATGGAGGCAAGCCACAACTGCCACCTCTTTTGCCAGAGGAGACTCCAAGAATCACAGTAGGCCAGGTGATAGGCTTTCCCCCTTGGAACAAGCTTTAAGGAAAGATAAGGGCTTATTGCAAAAGGAGTCGCTTCATCCATCATCTGTGTAAAACAGTTACCTTTCACTTTCTGAGACTCTCTTCAAACAAACTTCTTTCCTTATTCTCTAAACTGCTGCTCTCACTAACCAAATGCCATAGACGAGCCTTCCTTTACAAGCAACGGAGCAAATGACAACCATTCTTGTGGCTGAACAGTGGCAAAACATCTTCCAGATCATAAGCCAAGCCATCCTGTCTAGGAAGATGTGTAGAAACTGCCCTCATGGCTCATGACCGCTGTTCTGGCAAGAGAGGCCCCCGGCATCCGAAAAGCAAGAACAGGAGGTAACTGGAAGGGATTCCTCCAGTTCCAGAGACTCGAGCTGTGAAACAAACAACAATCCAAGAGTGTTCATGTGCTGCGATTTCCACTAGGGATAATAACTGCTACCATCGCTTGGCTATTGCCTGCCAGGCTCTGGGCTTTCTCTTAGGTATATCATCTCATTGCAGCCTCTCAAGAACCATATTTTACAGATAGAAAAACTGAGGTTTAGACAGATTAATAAATTGGGCAAAGACATAATCTCACAACTCATAAATCGTAGGGCTTGGAGTCGGGCTCAGAAATCTCTTCTCTTAACCAGCCCTCATGCTCAACTGCCCTCTCCTTGCATAGCAGGGACTGTCCTGCTTCCCGTGATGATTTCGCATGAGGATGTGCTGGGCTGAGGAGGGGTGAGGACACTCTTGCTTCTGGAAGGGGACTTTAAGGGAGACAGTGGCTCCTTTCCTGTGTGCACAGGAGCCAGATTATATTAAACAGGTGACTATTCCAGATGGATCGTAGTCAAACAGAAAGAGCCAGAATATTGTAGGAGGATAAAACCAGGTATCCTTAAAAGAATACAACACTACGAAATATGTCACCGGGACATCTCAAATCTCTGCAAGTCCCAGTGGACTCATGCTGTCCCCGACCTCCTGTCCGTCCTGATACTGCAACCCTGGTTTTCTTCTGGACCCCTATATCTCAGTGTCTCTCACTGCCACCCCATCACTCTCCCAAAAACCATCTCCCCACATCCCTGTGGCCAAAGTGTAACTGAGTTCTGACTTTTCTTTTGATCTCCTACACGCTTGAAAATCCATCCACTTCTTTCCAATTCCACTGCTGTCACTCAAATTTGGATTACTAAAATAGCTGTCCATCTGGTCTACCCACCATGTAGTATTGTGTAGTTACCTGTATGGCTTTGCAGCCAGACAGCTTGGTTGGCATCATGTTTGTTTGTTCTCTGTGTATTTTCATGTCTTCATCTTTAAAATGGGGATCTTAATAGTACCTTTTTTTTTTTGAGACAGACTCCCACTCTGTCACCCAGGCTGGAGTTCAATGGCACTATCTCGACTCACTGCAACCTCTGCCTCCCAGGTTCAAGTGATTCTCCTTCCTACGCCTCCTGAGTAGCTGGGATTACAGGCGCCAGCCACCATGCCTGGCTAATTTTTGTATTTTAGTAGAGACAGGGTTTCACCATATTGGCCAGGCTGGTCTTGAACTCCTGACCTCAGGCAATCCACCCACCTTGGCCTCCCAAAGTGCTGGGATTACAAGCGTGAGCCACTGCACCCGGCCAATAGTACCTATTTTATTGGGTGCCTGTGCTTCATTTAAACACTTAGAACTGTGTCAAGCACGTAGTAAATCAACCAATGCTCATGGTTGTTAATGCTACCCACTCTGACCTCCCTGCCATCCATCCTTCCCTCTGCAGCTGGTATAACCATCTGCCTGCTGCTTAAGGCCCTTCCACAACTCCCCGTTGTATTCAGGATAAAGCTAATAGTCTTTGACCTGCCAGGACTTGCTCAACTTGGCCCTCATCCTCTCCCCAGCCCGTTTTCAGCTCTTGCCTCCCAACTTCTCCCAGCTTCACCCTCGTGTTCCAGGCCTTCTGCTCTCTGCTCCCCTGACCATGAGGACTTCTTGGGACTCATATTCATCTCAGATTGCAATCACCTTCCCTTCCTCCTTTGTCGACATACCTCCTTCTCGTCATTCAGTTCTCATTTCAAGTGTGACTTCCTCAGGGAGGCCTTCTGTAACTCCTGTTACTTGGCTTATTCCCTGTGGGAGGTTTTTATTTGTTTGCAGGTTTAGTTAATTTCCATCTCCCTATGTGTGTGGACTGGCCTGGAGTTTAACACATAGGTAGCAGGTGTTCAATATGATCTATGGGTGAGAGTTTAATGAGATAGTACCCTCCCCTCTCCCATGACTTCTAGCAGCTAACTCCTCCCTGCAAGGACTTCCTCAGCCTGGGGATTGAAGCTCAGGGTGGAAATGGCTGCCTTTCTGGCTGCCATTTTCAAGGTCCTGCTGTCTTTCCAAGCTTTGGCTGGAGAAGGGGGAAATGTCACTAGCAGATGGGGTGTTACCATCTCCCGTGCACACTGGCATCCACGGTCGTAGGAGATCCTCATGATGACTCAAATGTCAGGTAGGATCATTATTGTCCTTGTTTCTTAACTTGCAAAAAGAGGCCCTGAGACATTGACTTATCCATGACCACACAGCTCGTGAGTGACAAAACTAAGGTGAGAAAGAGGTCCCAGGAACCTAACACATGTTTCTTTGTCACTGTGCTCCAGTGCCTTGCTGAAGCAGACACCCAGACAAGGAATGGCAATGACAGCACAAAGAAGATGAGTGTGTCCCCTGCCTTCTTCATTCTCCTCTTAGTCTTTGAGAATTTCCATTGGCTACATTTCCTAGTGGTCACAGTCGTGTTCTCTGGAGGCAGATTCTGAGATGCATTTTAAGGGATAGGATATTTGTTAATGGATTTTAAGGGATAGGATATTTGGTGCCCTTGAGATCGACACCAGTGGAAGTGAGGACAAGAAAAGTTTGAGTGGACAGAGGTGGGAGCTGAGCAGTGATGCAGAGGAGACAGCCTCAGCGGATGCCAGGGAAGCTCAGGAGCTAAAATGGCTTAGCAGCATTGTTCAGCATTGGGTTAAAATGACCCAGTGGTACCTTTATACACCTGCCTGGATCTGTCAGTTGTGGGATGCCCTAGTCAGGCATCTCTCTGCAACTGCAGCCACTTCTGAAGGGTATAATGGCCCTCCTGGCAGCTGCGGCCATCTGTCCATAGAGAGGGGATCTGGGCAGGTGCCATTGTACCTGCCACGCTAATTTTGTCTTCCTGCGTTCGCTTCTCATTTTCTGATTCTGCCCTTTCCCCTATTCCTTCCCTCACTTATTCAATCACCAATTAATCAATCTGGAAAGAGTTTTTCTGAATGAATTTCTAGTATTATGTGGCCTGGTGGTGCAGGGGTGGCGATGTGCCTGGGTATATAGGATTCTTGGCCTGGGATACCTGACACTGAGGGGATTATGTGGCTTAAGTAGTTAACAATAAAGAATGAAGATAAAAGGAATTTAGCCTTTTCCATTGGAGTTTTTATTTTCCAGCCCCTCCAGTTCCAATTCTTGTGAGCAAACTTCCTACCAAACTGAGTGACTATGTAATATTTATCCTTGCAAAATGCCCAGCAGCAATAGGACCCATGTCCTGCAGACCTTGCTTCTGTTCAGCAATTTTTTCTTTGTCAAGGGCTTCAATGCATGCTTGATTTCTCCTATCAAGGGAGGCACAGTGGATAGCACCTCCCTCCTCAAACTGAGAGGATATGGAGAGGTTGGTCCCATGCCTGAGGCCATGGTGCCCACTCATGGTAGAGCAGGAGGAAATGGGGGTCGTTCAACACTCAAGTCTGTTCACTCTCCAGGCTTTTAGGAAGAAGGAGGCCAGGCAGGGGTATAACACCCTTCTGTGTGACGGTTTAATTTTTGTGCAAATATCTGGACTCCTCTTAGTATCCAATTAGATTATTTATGCTGTAAAACTTGAGATAATTGGCTATCCTTTTGGTCTCAGAAGGGTTTCCTTTTAGAGTCAGAAGGTTTGTTGGAACCTCTAGGGAGGCAGAAAGTGCAGGCACCAGCAGAAGAAGTCAGCAAAAAGCTCCAAGGAGGTTTATTTAATGTCTCATCATCATCATCGTCATCACAATTATTATTATTCATTTTTTGCCTCTCTGGAAAGACGGGGCTCCAGTTTCCATTGAGTGAAGCTTTAAGCTGGCTCATAACCCACTTACTCTCTGCTCTTCTGCACTCCAATCTGCTGAGATGTCTGTAAATCTGTGCCACCAACTATGGTGTTCAGACAGTCTGAAGATTATTTCAACCAGACCAGAGATTGATTTTAGTTTCCCACAAGTAGAAACAAGCTCAAGTCAGCTCAGCAACTTACTTGACTTGGAGCCACTCTTTTTTGTTTATTCCTCTTCTTTCCCGTTGCAAACTCCTAATCTCTCTTGGCATCAGGACTTGGTCTTTTGCTGTAGGAGCCACACCAATGGATACCACTCAACCAAAGTGACCCTGGGACAGAGCCAGTATAAACACGGTCCCTCGTGAGTCAAGCGTCTGGGATAAGTGAACAAACACTGGGCTGAAAACCTGGGACTGGCTGGTTGTTTAAGAGCTATCACCTGCTCCTTCGTTCTCATTGTAGCCCAGGGCTGGCTGGGTCAGGGGGTGCATGTCTCATCCAGAACCACACAGAGGCCAACATTTTATCAACGCTCACCAACCAAGTAAACATTTGACCAGCTTACTTTTTCCTTGCTTTGCTCAACTTGATAACAGAGAAAGTGTTCTGGAGAGAGAAGGGATGGCAGTGTTAGCAGAAATAACTGCTCTAATCTCAGCAGTGGGAGGATTCGCTGCTTGGCCTTCCTCACGGGTGGGAAAGAACATTTTTCACCCAAATCAAGAGTGGTCTTTTTCACCCAGTGAAGCTGCTGTGTTTGACTTTGTTGAGGATGTGGAAGGAACTATTTAATTACTATAATGTGGGAAAGACTGAGCAAAAATATTGTTTAACAGCCCAAACGATTGAGGTGGTCCAATTAAAGAGCTGACCCTTCAGTCTTCTCGTGATTCCTGCCATTCCTGGAAGATCTACTTTCCTTGCTTGCAGGACATTTATGAGGCCAGCACCTCCTGAGGAAATGCTGGAGTTTAGCTTATAACTAAACTCCTTAGTTAGAAATAGGATTATAAATATATTGGTAACAAGGGATCCAGAGAGTATTATAGTAGACAGACTGGGTGCTCAATCAAAAACTGTGCTTCTGTTTCATTAGAGTCTTTGGGAAGTGGGAATGTTGAGATGGGAAAGATACAAAAAAATTAGAGAAGATGTTTGTGCAGGAGATTTTCCCTCCCAGCCAGGTCATAAACTCCTGGGTTGAATGTCTCCATAAATTCCTATTTGCTTTAGGAGATCAACTGGGGATGTAACATGTCAGAAGGAATCCAACCCATATTTCACAAGCAGGCGAGAGAGAGTGAAGTGGCTAATGACCAACATCTTTAGAGACAACTTGAGTAATACAGAGCTGATAATTTTTTCCTGGGGTGAAAGACCTGCCAACAGCTGCTCTTGGAGATATTCCAAGGCTGGCCCATCAGAGTGCAAAGAGCAAGTCAAGGAAAGAAACTGAGGGTAATAAATATACCTTGGTCTTTTCAGGATCCTTATAGAAACAGGTTCACCTGCCAAAACATGACACCTTCCAATCTTATTGTACTTGTCTGTGATTAGAAGAAGGTCACCAATTTGATGCATTGGCGAACATGAGAGTATATGATCAAAAGGAGAACAAGTGAGTGGGATGAGGGTAGCCTTCCTGTCTTGCCCAGGTGGCAACGATGACCTGCTAGGAAATATCTACAAGCTCTGAGAAATTAGAGCAGAAGAAATAAAAATCAAGGGCTTATGGTGTTTGGTGGACTAAAAAGTTCAATAAATGCCCTTTCAAGTCAGAATGATCATTCATGCCATCAATATTTATTTAATTCTTCTTAGTATTAAATAAATTATTTAATACTAAGTATTAGCCAGCAGCAACCTAAGCATTAGGGATAAAATAAGAAGAGAGGGTGTCTTTGCAGTCACTGAGCTAAAATGTTGCTCTATGGATAGGGGCTAATTGAAGACATGGCTACCACAATGGTGTGCATTTTTTCAAGAGTTTTACCAGGCTTCAAACCTTTTGGTGGAGAGCGTACAAGGTTTAAGAGGAAGACGTCTAATGCTCAACTACTTGGATAACTTCAAGTGCAAAGGCCCCAACTTCAGAAATGTCCCTTTAAGCCTCCTGACCTCTTCATGGCTAAGGTTCTTAATTTTGCTATATCCAGAGGAATGGGACCACTTGGTCACTCATGGGGCAATGCAGGCTCTCCCAGGTGGGTGCCTGGAGCAGCAGTGACTATCTATGACTTCACATCTCTGCCCTCACTTGGGGCCTGTTGCCTTTGGCCCTTGGTCTAAGCCCTGCCCATATATGTCCTCTGGCTCAAGCTCTGATGATCACATGAGACACTTTTCCTTAGACCCAAAAACAGGATTGTTGGTCAGCTAGCAGAATGGGCTGGTGGCCCCCTGGCAAGGATGCCGGCTGTGACTCAAAGGCACCAGGATTGGGCAAGGGAAAACCCCTTTAGGGAAACCAATGAAGGTCCTTGGGGGAAAAGAACGGAGACTTGTGGTGGGGAATTGGCGACTCTGGACAAAAATAGACCTGGAAGAAAAGCAAAGGCGTCACTACCAGGAACCAGGTCTGCTGGGAAGTGCTGGGGGAAGGCCAACCAGGAGCGCCTGGTCAGGAAGCCAAGGGCACTGCAGCCTCTGTGCTCTGAAGCCATTGTAGGCTGGGTAAGAAGGTGTGTGATTACTGGGACTCTGTGTTCTATACCCTTTCCCCAAAGAGAACAAGGTATCTGACAGTCCTACGTGATCTTCTGAGGATGGCAGATCAGAGTATTGGAATTTGAGGTCTACCCAGATAATCTGGAAGGTGTGGGTATCCTGTTGGAGAGGAGGTGGTGCTTCTCCCCCACCCCATGTGAAGGGATGTCATTATATATTTTTGTTGTCTCTTTGCTTCTTCTTTTCTCTTATTTATTAATTGCTTGAAAACATGGGCAGGCAGGAGGATATTAGTTTCTCCATTGATCTTTGTACTTTATTTTCCACATACACCTTAAGAGAATAAGGAAAAATCTATCTATCACTGTGTATTTTTGTAAGCTACCGTCCAAATGTTTTCATAAGTTTTAGAAAGTTCATTTCTTGGTAAAAAAAAAAATAAATAAGACAAATATGCAATACTCTATATGATGAAATAAAAGAATGATTGGTGACAATTAAATAAATGTTATGTGATTTGATAAAACAAGTTTATTGAATGAAACACACCAACTCTAAAAGGAATCTCTTAAGATTATCTGCACATTTTATGTAACGTGTTTTAAAGAATTTGGTAGTCCCACAAAGCATTTTATTCACATTTATGAGAACAAATGACACTAATCTAAATGGCTTTGGCTGTTCTACATTCAGAATATCACAAAACAGGTCTAAACATTATTTTTAACACCAAGCTTCACCATTAGCAGAAGTATCCCTCAGTTAGGGAAAGGCTGGAGGCCCTATGGCTCAGTGGGCCTTGATTAATTATGAAGATAGTCTTTTGAGACAATACTTCGATTCCTTTTGTAGAATGCCAGGTGTGTATTTCAACTAGGGTAATAAGCCACAGAAATATTTAAAGTAGATGAGGGGCACCAGTGTTCTACAGTGGGGAAAGTATATTCTGAATGCAGGCTCATTCTCAGATCAGTTTTAGAAAGGTTACTGTCTTATCATAGGTCCTTTGAAAGCAGACTCTGAGAGCTGAGTGCTGACGTTTATTGGGGAGTGTTCTTGGGAGATACACATGTAAGGGAGTGAGGATGGCAGAACTGGGCAGAGAGAGAAGCTGACCTGTGATGGTGCTATGACTGAGACCTCAGTTGCTTCCACAGGAGCTCCATAACCGGAATGATCCATCAGAGTTTTCCCAAATTGAAGAAAAGGGGCTGGACCTACATACCCATGCAGAAGCCAGTCATTGGCGACACTCGTCCCCTGGGAGGGGGCACGCACTTGGGCTAGACAGGTCTCTGTGTCATTGTTGGCCTCTGCTGCTGATGGGTTGGACATGCAGCAGCAGCCAAAGCTAGATCAGCCTTGATGAGAGGGAGCCCTTGCTGTTAGGTCCAGGCACAACCTGAATCTCCTTCTCTGTCACCTTAGCTACTCTGTGAGCTCCTTGTGCCAGAATTGAGATGGCTGATCATAGCTGGCTGAGTCATTCTGTCTATCTGTGCCATGGTGCCTCTTACAGACTAAATTTTGTCCCTCCGCTTTCAAATGCATGGGTTGAAGCCTTAACCTCCAATATGACCGTATTTGAAGATAGGGCCTTTAAAGAGGTAATTAAGATTAAATGAGGTTATAAGAGTAGCACACTAATCCAGTATGACTGATGTCCTTATAAGGAGGGGGAGATGCACCAAGGATGTGTGCACACGAAGGAAAGACCAGGTAAGGAAACAGTGAAAAGGTGGCTGTCTGCAAGTCAAGGAAAGAGGCCTCAGGAGAAATCTATATCAGTCCTACATGAAGGGGAACTACTTCTGGTCTTTTTTGCTGATACATAGGGCAAAGTACACATTTCCAGGTCAAGGGCAGCACCCCTGTGCACACCATGTTCTAAAGGCTGTGTTAATCTCTCTTTGCCACGTATGGCACACTTGCTACAATGGATGCTACTACTTGCTTGAGTTTGTGATAGCCCGTTGTCATCTCCATGACCCTCTGATTTCTGTAGTGGCCAGACTGATGGATTTGTTGCTGGAAAATAGGGTCCCAATCCAGATCTCAAAAGAGGATTCTTGTATCTCATGCAGGAAAGAATTCAAGGCAAGTCACAGAGCACAGTGAAAGAAGCAAGTTTATTAGAAACTACTCCATTACATTCCTCAGGAAGCAAGCAGAGGAATGTATCATCTTTATTTTAAGTTTAATTTTTTATATAGGGGTCTTGTCTATGTAGAGACTAAACCAAGTTGTGCCCACATACGGGTGGGCTGACAGCATGACAAAATTATTCTATTGATTTAAATAAAACTATCCTTGACATTTTAGTGTGTAAGTACATCAAAGCGTAACTATAATTATCTTGGAAACATATATGAGTATTGGGACATCTGGACTTTTTGTTGTTGTAGGAGTGTGTCCTTGTAGCATCACTAAGCTGCTTCCTTAGCTGTAAACATCTCAGGACCATGGGTCGTGACTGGCAAGAAATATGCCTTGCCAGTTTTAAGATGGAATTGATTTAAAAATGGTGTCACTTTGGCTCGCCTGGGCTCCTGCTTCCCTAACAGATTAAATTGGGATATGGCAATGATACCACCCTTGCCTTCTTCAAATTTTTGCTGGTACCACTAAGCTCCATTGTTCTCCTGGGGATGCATTTTGTTTTTTTAAAAATTATTTTGACCAAGGACAGGGGTTGGGTTTCTATTTGGCTTTCCCCGGTATTAAAACTCTTATGCTACAGGTCAAGGTTCCAATGTGAGACTTTTGACAACCACCAAGCATTTTCATTCCAACTCTCTATTGAGTGATTAGGAAAACAACCACTCAGTGGTCTATGAGTCAAACAAATCCACTGTAAGCTAGACCTGGGCCAGGACTCCATGTATTACCTGGCTCCCGTATGTCCCCAGCTATCAATGTCAATTCAGACTCTATGACCAACAATCCTACAAGGTCTGGGCATTCTCCTTATTCCAATGCATGCTTACTTGAGCTCATGGCCCTAGGCTTCAGAGTCCCCACTGGGACTGAGCCCCATGCGCCTGCAGCAGTAGCCCACTGACTAGCGTGTCCTCTACTGATCCCCTCCCCTTCCCAGCACTTGTTCCCCTCTCCCTCACTGTGCTTCCTGGATCCCTGCCCAAGAAACTGCTTGCATAGAAAATCTTTGTCCAAAGGTCCACTTTCAGGGGATCCCAAAGTAAGATACGCAGAGTCTTCTGCAAAGTTGGGACAATAGTATCCATTCAATTGCAGCAATGCCAGACTTAGCTCTTACGTCCAAGTTAAAGCATTTGCCACAAAGTCATATTCCTCACTCTCCTTATTCCTTGCCACCACAGGACACTTGTTTCCCTTGATGGGAGGACGTTCCCACCCTTCTTTGGAAAAGGTGACCCATCCATATACACTTCTTAGCAGATCTAGGGAGGGAGAAAGAACCTGGATGAGAGTAAAGAGCGCAGGCATGTGAGTGCACAGGGAGGTCTGGAGCACCAAGCTTGGGAATGCCTTTGGGCTTTCTTTGCTTTGACCGAGCGCCTTGCTGTATATAACAGGTAAGGGCAGGCCACATACTTTAGTTTTCCTCCAGGTGCCTTGCACAACGCTTCGCCTATAGAAGGCACCTACTGACTATTTGTCTTATAACTGAGCAAGAGCTTTGGGATTTGCCCTGTGCCCACTTGGCACAGCAGTGGGCCTCTGTGGGAGGGACTGAAAATCACCTGGAGATTTCCTTTAAAAAATAAAAAACAAAAACACAATCATGCCCCTCCCAGGATCTGTACCTTCCTGCCTGGGGAAAAGGCACCTGTGGGGGCCAGTAGGCATGAATCAGTCCACATCCCGAGGTGTGTACAAAAGAGAAATCTGTGTTTTTTATTTACTTAAATTTTATTTCAAGAGAACCATTTCTTCACCAAGCTGGATCATTTCCTGAAAGTTCCTCTTTGTAAAGGGCTGAATTCGGACTCCTAAAATTCTTCTGTTGAAGTTCTAACTTCCAGTACCTCCGAATGTGATGGTATTTGGAGACAGGACCACTAAAGAGGCAATTAAGTTACTATGAGATCATTAGAGTGGGCCCTAAATCCATATGATCAGTGTTGTAATGAGGATATTAGGACACAGACAGGCACAGAGAGAAGCCCATGTGAAGACACAGGCAGAAGACAGTCATCCACAAGCCAAGGAGAGAGGCCTCAGAAATAGCCAAGTGACACCTTGATCTTGGACTTCTGACCTCTAGAAGTGCTACAAAAAAAAAAGTCTGTTGTTGAAGCCACCCAGTCTGTGGAATTGTTGGGGCAGCCCTAGCAAACCAAGGCACTTTCCTTACTCTGTGACCAGATCATGGTCTCAGGGACATATGTAGGTTGTGGAACTGCTGAGTGGGGTGGGGGCAGGAGTGGATCCTCTGGTCCTCATTGGGCCTCATCATCAGTCTATATACATTACAGTCCATTGACTGGCCCTTGGGGCAATTAGGCCTGAGGTTCAAAGCCCCATTTGGGGTGAAGATACCTTTCTCAAGTACCTAAGAGGACCAGGCAGCTGCCGCCTTCCTGGGACCTTGCTGAGCTATCCCAGTCTCCTCCCCACACCCCAGGAGAATATCTCCCTGACCTGGGGAAAATTGCCTGATCTGGGGAAATGTTCCTTCTGTTTATTGGTCCAGTATTTTTTGTTTCTACTCTGATCTGATTTGGTTCTGTGTCCCCATCCAAATCTCATGTTGAGTTGTAATCTCCAGTGTTGAGAGAGGGACCTGGTGGGAGGTGATTGGCTCATGGGGGGTGGACTTCCCCTTTTGTTGTTCTCGTGATAGTGAGTTCTCATGAGATCTGATCATTTAAAAGTGTGTGGCACTTTCCCCTTGTCTCTCTCTCCCTCCTGCTCCACTATGGTAAAACGTGCTTCCCCTTCACCTTCCGCCATGATTGTAAGTTTCTTGAGGCCTCCCAGTCATGCTTCCTGTTAAGCCTGCAGAACTGAATCAATTAAACCTCTTTTCTTAATCAATTACCCAGTTTCAGGTAGTTCTTTATAGCAATAATGGGCTAATACATACCCCTAAGCCCTTTTATTTTGCCAGCTCAGTAGATTCTCTGAAATCCCCCAGGGGCTTAGACTTCCAGAAGACCAAAGCTGGGCAATTTCTGCCTTTATTTCTACTGCATCCCACCAGGGGACAGTGAACACAGAGCCCACTCACTTTTTAAATAAGGGACAGGAATAGGACGATGAAAACCTCTGGCATCCACACCTAACTGACTTTTCCCAGGTGATTGGAGAATGCCTCTCTGTCTCTCCATCTAGAGCTCTAGGGAGAGGGGTACCCCAGCATGGGAACTTCACACGGGAAATGCTCAGTGAGTGTTGGATGGCTCACCTCATACTGGTTGGCAGAGCATGAGAGTGGAACACACTGGTTTGGATTTGGGGCATGGGCAGGTGGACTCAGATGAGACCAGGGCTCTCATGAGGATGCAGCTGTGCAAATTAAGCACTTCCCCAGGCCTCAGCAGCCTTGGGGTGCAAATAGGTCACAGCATGTTAAAAAAAAATCAGGCTCAGCCCCTACTGACTCTTCCAGGACCTCTTTCATGTGCCTCCATCTCTCCCAGAGACCTCTTGGTGTCCTCCGGTTGGGCTCTCATGCTCATTACCAAGGGCATCCAAGTCAAGTTGCGATGTGGTTCTGTATTCTCCTCCCCACTCAGGTCTGGCTCATGGAGGGCACTTTTTACCATGAACACTGGCAAAGCCACCACCATGACTGATACTTGTTATTAGGGGCTGCTGTTGCCTATGACGTATGCCAGTGGCTAAGAAGCTGGGTAGTGGGTTGAATGGTGACCCCCAAAAGATACGTCCGAGTCCTAATCCCGAGTACCTGTGAATGTGACTTCATCTGGAAAAAAAACATCTTTTCAGATATAATTAAGGGAAGGATCTGCAGATGAGATCATCCTGGATTGATTAGGTGGGCCCCAAATCCAATGACAGGAGTCTTCAGAAGAGACAAAAGAGAAAACACAGACAGAAAGAAGAGATTGGAGTGACACAGCCGCAAGCCAGTGGATGCCTGGAGAGACCAGAAGCTGGAGGCGGCAAATGGCAGATTCTCCTCTTGAGTCTCCAGAGGGTGCCATGGCCCTGTGGACCCTTTGACTTCAGATTGCTGGCCTCTAGAACTGTGAGACAATACATTTCTGTTGTTTTAAGTCACCCTATTTGTGTTAATTTGTTGCTGCAGCCACCACCGTCCCAAGGGAAGGTGCCGATGTTGTCTGGGAAGCTGTTTCTGCCCCAAGGCTGCGGCAGACTCTGACTCTCCACTCACCCTCATGGCTCCATTCCAAGTGGAGTGGGGAGAATATTCCCCATATGGGGAATTGAACTCCTCCACTGCAACCAATGCTCCTAGTACTGGATGTATCTGTAGATTCTTCCGCTTCTTTGACCCAGCTTTTCTCCAGCCACAGCCCTGCAGCAGGTCTGGGTGGAAGGTCAGCTGGGGCACGTGATGACTAGCATGGACTCCAGATGGCTCTTGGCCACTGTCAGGGCCTGATGTCCCCGACGATGACCTAATGGCATGACAAGTCACCAGTTCAGCGGCCACAGGGGCCGGCGGGTTCTGTGAAGGAGGAATGGGGGTGGTGTGGCAGAGGGGACAGGGAATCCCAGCTGCAGGGGCAGCGGCAGCTCCTCCCCTCCATGGAGCCATGAGATCATGTAGGTCCAAAGCTGTCAAGTCTCCAGGATCCAGACAACAGTGTGAACTTTCTCAATGTTTAGACGTTGGCTCAAAACATTTAAAGAAAACATATGCCCTCTACAAGGGACCTTTGCACAAAGGATCTCAGTGGGAATCTTTATATTCTTAGGGACCCACAGATGGTCTCAGGTCGCTAGAAATCTCTAAAGGACACACAGACCTAAGAAATGTTTTGTGGTTTTTTTTTTTTTTTTCTGAGGAGGATCTCTGTAGACTACATCAGTGTTCAGAGAATCCAAAATATTAGGTGTCCCTGACTTATGATGAGATATTTTGTTTGTTCATTTTCTAAAAGGCTTCTTGAGCCTATGCACAAATCTCTCCTGGAAATTCTTCCCTTTGTTGGGTCTGAACTTGTGTGCATGTTGCTTAGGTTCAAGCCCCTGGCTGCCTGTGGTTTTTCTAAGTGTGGGCCAGAGAAGGTTCTAGAATAATCAGTGAGATTAATGCCATACATCGGTGCTTTTGAACTGGGGCCTATGTTCCCCCAGGGCAGCTACAGGAGAACTGTGGGTACAGCTTTCTGGGGCACCATTTTTTTCAGGTTTCGGGCAATTATTAATGCTACATTTAATATAAAATAGACATGGGTATAGCATGGAAAGAAATGTAAAATTCTCATGAATTATTAAGATAAATACAAGACTTCAAAAACATTCCATGCAAGTTATGGGGCTGCTTCGGGTTATCCCTCCAGACCCCCGGTGCTCATTTGCCCTACTCCACAGCTAGAGGGACCCAGTAGAACATTCTGAGAAGCTCTTCCCTACATAGCACCAAGGACTTGGCAAAACTTTGTCTACTCTTAATGGTCCATGGTTTACCCATGTTCCTTTACAAAAGGAGCTGAGGAGGCGACAGGCATTTGGGGCTTTGTAGAAATTTAAAGTATGGTGCAAAGATTCACAGCCTCAAGGACTCCTGGAGTCACCTGGAGATCTCTTGGCAGGACCTTCGTCTCTAGGATCATTTATGTTATGTGGGAGATCAGATCAAGTACACCCTGGCATGGACTTCCCCTGACGCTGTGCTGGAGCCTGGCCTCTGTGTCTGTCCTGGCATCTGCCCAGCGGCCTTCAACACAGTAAGGGCCTAAATTGGACCTTCACACTTGACACTGGCCAATGTGCCTGCCTTGTTGTTATCCTAACTGAGTCCTGAGATGAAGCATGTTCTATGCTAAGCACATCATCTAAGATACATTCTCTGTTTCAGACAGAAAATGCAGCCCCAGAAGAATATACTGCATTAAGATCTGCATTCACAGATACCTCTAAGTATTGGAAACTGTATAACTTGGTGTTGCTTGCCAAGTGTATTTAAGCTCCCAGGACTGTAGAAGATTGGCATTGACTCAGGGATCTTACCATAACAACTCATAGTTTGGTGGGAGGAAATAAAACTCAGTGATTTAACTAAACTACTCTCTTTTAAACAGGACCCTCCACTTTTCCACCAGTTTGTCCACCGGTGAAAAGGAGAAGCCAGCCAAGAACCAGGTTTGTGCTGATATTTCCTTGAGCCATTTTGCTAGAAGTTAACAGAGGCTGGGCTCCTGGCTCCACTGCTTCTCTTCCTGGCTGTGGAACCTCAGGCAATATTCCTATTACCTGCCCTCAGCTTCCATTTCCGCATCTGTAAAGTGGAGATGATAGAAATCCAATAGCGATAATAGTTGCAAGAATTAATTAAACTGGCATACATAAATTTCTTATCAGGGTGCCCAGCACATTAGAAGTGATTAATAATTCTGAGATTTTATTTTTTCACTTGATCATACAGCAGCTTCTGGCTACCTTGATCAGAAGGTTGATGAAGGCAATGAAACAAAGATGGAAAAACACATCACACAGGTAATTGCCTGTGCTCTTCCGCCTCCAGAGTGACACAGGTGCCTGGAAGGCATGTTAGGTTGGGGTGGAGCCAGGGGAGGGGTCCAGCCAGAAAGAGGATCTGGGATGAAAGGCTGTTGCTGCCTTCAGAAAGCTCAGTGACTGGGGAGACAAACATGTTTCAAACAAGGGGCCATAGTGGCATTTGGCATATTGTAAACTAGAGGCTTATAGAAGATGCTAAGAGAGGTTTGGAGAGTGCTGTGGTTTGAATGTCCCCTCCAAAATTCATGTTAAAATTTAATTGCCAGTGTGACAGTATTTAGAGGTGATGAGGCCACGAGGGCTCCACCCTCAAGAATTGAATAATGTTGTTACTGCCGGAGTGGGTTAGTTTTATGAGAGTAGGCTGCTTGTACTAGTGAATTTGACCCCCTCTTGCTCTCTTGCTCTCTCATGCTGTCTTGCCTTCCACCTTCTGCCATGGGGGTGACACACCACAAAGGCCCTTACCAGATGCCAGCATCTTGATATTGGACTTCCCAGCCTTCAGAACTGTGAGCATATATTTCTTTTCTTTATAAATTACCCAACCTGTGTTTATAGAAACACAAAATGGTTAGAAAGTTGGTACTGAGAATTGAGGCTGTTACTATAACAAATACCTGAAAATGTGAAAGTAGCTTTGGAACTGGGCAATCGATAGAGGTTGAAAAAATTTGGAAGAGTAGGCTAGAAAAAGCCTACATTTCCATAAACAGAGTAGTAAGGACAATTTTGGAGAGGGCTCAGAAGAAGAGGAGAGCTGTAGGGAGAGTATGAAACTTCTTACAGATTACTTGAGTGGCCATGATCAGAATGTTGTTAGAAATGCTGAGTGTAAAGGCCATTCTGATGAGGTCTCAGGTGGAAAAAGAGGGTATCTTTTTGGACACTGGAGTAAAGAGCATCCTTGTTATGAAATGGCAAAGAGCGTGGTCAAATTGTGTCCATGCTCAAGGGATTTACAGAAGGTGGAATTTAAGAGTGCCCGACTAGAATATCCAGTAGAAGAAACTTCTAAGCAAAATATTGGAGGAGTTGTGCAGCTACTTTTAACTGCATATAGTAAGATCCAAGAGGGGAAAAATGACTTAAAGATGGAATTTATAATTTAAAACAAAAGCAGAACAGAAAAATTTTTTAAATTTTCAGCCTGACCATTTACAGAATGAAAATGTGTTCACATGAGGAAACCAAGGGTGTGGCCAACAAACCGTTGGGTAAGGAGACTCGTACAGATGGAAGGGCTCATCAAGACAGTGGAAGAATGACCCCAAAGGCATTTCAGAGATCTTCAAAGCTGCCCTCAATGACAGGTCCAGAGCTCTCAGAGGACAGAATGGTTTTTGGGGATGGGCCTGGATGCCCTCTACAGGCTCACTGTCCAGGGCCACATTGGGTCTCTGTTTTTACATCCTGGTGCAGTGATTCTCCACTGCTCCAGCTGTGGTTCAAGTGGCCCCAGTTGTGGCTCAATCTACTGCTCCAAAAGGTGTAAGCTGTAGACATTGGCAGCATCTACATGGTGCTAATTCTGCAGGCATGTAGAATGCAAGAGCTGTGGGGCACAGTGACCTCCACCTAGATTTTAAAGGCTGTCACAGTCTACCTGGGGGCCCAGGCAAAGACTTGTCATGGAGGCAGAGCCATCACAGGGAGCTCTATTCGGGCAATGCTGAGTCTAAATGTGGAGTTGGAGCTGCTGCAGGGGCTGTGCTGTGCCTAGCGGAGCCAGGGTCATTTCTGAGACCCCAGAACTGTAGAGCTACCAGCTTGAAATATTAACCTGGGAGAGCTGCTGGTGCCACACTCCAACCCGTGAGACCTGCTAGGTAGACTGAACTCAGCAAAGCCATAGGAGCAAGGATGCCTGAGTTCCTGGGAACCCAACTCCTGCCCCAGAGTGCCCAGGACATGGAGTCAAAGCAGATTATCTCTTTCTTCTTGCTTATTCTTCCCTTTTGGAATGGGAATGTCTATCTTATGTCTGTCCCACCATTGTATTTTGGAAGCATGTAGCTTGTTAATTTCACAGTTTATAGCTGGAGAGGAATTTGCCTCAGCATGAATCATGCCTTGAGTCTCCCCGATTTCTAATTCAGATGGGACTCTGGGCTTTGGACTTTTGAGTTGATGCTGAAATGAGTTAAGACTTCTGGGGCATCAAGATAGAATGAATGCATTTTGTATGTCAGAAAAACATTAGTTTTGGGGGGGCCGTGGTTGGAATGCTGTGGTTTGAATGTCCCCCTCCTGCCTTACTCTGTTTTCTGTTGCTAAAATTGAATAACTGAGACTGGATAATTTATAAAGAAAATAAATTCATTTCTTACAGTTCTGAGGAAATCCAAGGTTGAGTGGCCACATCTGGCGAAGGCCTTCTTGCTGGTGGGGACTCTCTGGAGAATCCCAGTATGGCTCAAGACATCACATGGCAAGGGTGTGAAAATGAGAGCCACGCTGGCTTTTAAACAGACTCATTCCTGTGATAGCCCATTAATCCATTAATTCATGTATGGATTAATCTCATGAAGGCAGAACCCGCATGACTCACTGACCTCTTAAAGGCCCCACCTATTAATACTGCTACATTGAGACTTTTCAACATACTTTTTGAAGGGGACAAATAATCAAAACACTGCACTTCCAAAACTTGTGTTGAAATGTAATGGCCATTGTGATGGTATTAAGAGGTGGGACCATTAAGAGGTGATTAAGCCATGAAGGCTTCACCATCATGAATAGAATAATGTCATTATTGCAGGAGTAGGTTAGTTATCATGAGAGTGGGTTTGTTATAAAAGCAAGTTTGGCCATCTCCTTCTCTTTTGCTCTCTTGTCCTCTGCCTGGGGATGACACAGCATGAAGGCACTCACCAGATGCCAGCACCTTGACATTGGACTTCCTAGACTTCAGAGCTGTGAGAATAAATTTTATAAATATCTTTTCTTTATGAATTACCTACTGTATGGTAGTCACGCAACACAAAATCGATTGAGAGGAATTGAGGGTACAATCTGGAAGGAAAGAACGTGAACTTCAGCAACATGGAGAGCAAAGCACAGGACTGGGGGGCAAGAGTGTGGGGAGACCCAGTGGAGAGAGTACAGGGAGAAGAAGGGGAAGAGGTATGTGAAGGCAAGACTGGCCTTGGAAGGAAGTAGAGCTCATCGCAGGTTTTGAGCTTCTTCACAAGTGGAAGGAGGGGAATAAAACATCTGGCACAGGCAGCTGACAGAAGTACAGGCAGGCAGATGAGATGAACTGGGTCAGGACAAACTTTAAGCCTGTCCCAGGGCTGGAGCACAGTGCTGGATCAAGGGAATTAATGGATTCTAGTCCTGGGGGTTATCATAACATACATCATCCTGAGACCAAGGCCCCCAAGTGGCTCCAGTCCTGAAGTATATGAACCTTTGCATCCTGCTTTGAATGAAATCCTCAAAAAGCCCCAGATTTCTTCCATATACCTGTCTTTCTGTACATCCAGTTCCCTCTGACTAGGCTAGACCGTGGGCCTTTGAGGGTGACATTGTGATTGACAGTGACATCCATTAGACCTGGAGAAGGAGGGTCTGAGTCACTGGCTAAGCCCAGGAATTAGAATTTCATGAATATGCTGCTGGATGTAAGGACAGTCTGACTGTAGGAAAGAGCTTCCATGAGTATAACGAGAAGGTTGGGGCATACTATTAGTGCAAATCCACCAGCTAGAAGGCTGAACTAGCAGGAAACAGACCCAGAGGGTCCCACAGTCTTGCTTCTCAAAGTGTGATCTGAGCACCAGCAGCACAGACATACCCTAAAAGATTTCATAAATGCAGTCTTAGGCCCACGGCAGACTTTTTGAATCAGAAATTGAATTTAAACACAATTGCCAGGTAATTCATCTGTATTGTCAAAAGTTTTGAGGAGCTCTGTGTTGGAGAGCCTCTGTGAAAGTAGGCTGAGAGAATAATGAAATAATAATAGCTAACAGTCAATTGTGAGCTAGAAAATATTATACAATCTTTATAAATATTTAAGCTTTACAGCAGGGGTCCCCAACCACTCCCCCCTGCCGGGCCACAGATGGGTACCAGTCCTGGACTCTTAGTAACCGGGCCACACAGGAGGAGGTGAATGATGGGTGAGCGAGGGAAGCTTTATCTCTATTTACAGTCGTCCCCCACCCCCTTGCTCACATTACTGCCTGAGCTCCACCTGCTGTCAAATCAGTGGCGGCATTAGATTCTCATAGCAAACTCTATTTAGAACTGCACATGGAAGGGGTCTAGGTTGCATGCTGCTTATGAGAATCTTATGCCTTAGGATCTGTCACTGTCTCCCATCACCCCCAGGTGTGACTGACTAGTTGTAGGAAAACAAGCTCAGGGCTCCCACTGATTCTACATTTTGGTGAGTTGTATAATTATTTCATTATATATTACAATGTAATAATAGGAATAAAGTGAACAATAAAAGTAATGCACTTGAGTCATCCTGAAACCTTCCCCCACCCCCACACCCCTGGTCCATGGGAAAATTGTCTTCCACGAAACCAGTCCCTGGTTCCAAAAAGGTTGGGGAGCACTACTTTACAGCACCTCTGTAAAAATATATGCCCATTTTCCAAAAAAGGAAACTGAGACAGAGAAAAGTTTCTTGCCCTGGGTCTGGTTGCTAGTGAGTGACATTTCTGGGTATTCACCCACTGCCTAACTCTAGTGACTGCTGCTCAGAGGAGGGTGTTTGGCTGCAAAGAGAAAACATGACTAACAGTGGTTTAAACTTGGATTAATTGTTACTGAAATGAGGAGTCAGGAAGGGCAGTTTGGGGGTTGATTTAGCAGCCACATGAGGCTGAGTTGCTGTGTCCGCATCTCTGAACTTTCCCTCATGGCTAAAAGACACCTCTGGTTTCAAGCCTCAGGTCCTTCACTGGCTCTTATAGGAGGTAGAGGTTGGAGAGGATGGTGAGAGAGCTCTTTCGCCATGCTTTCTTTCTTTCTTTCTTTCTTTTTTTTAAATTTTATTTATTTATTTATTTATTTTATTTTTATCTTATTTTATTTTTTTTTTGAGACGGAGTCTCGCTCTCTCGCCCAGGCTGGAGTGTAGTGGCGTGATCTCTGCTCACTGCAAGCTCTGCCTCCTGGGTTCACACCATTCTCCTGCCTCAGCCTCCCGAGTAGCTGGGACAACAGGTGCCTGCCACCACACCCAGCGAATTTTTTTATATTTTTAGTAGAGATGGGGTTTCACCATGTTAGCCAGGATGGTCTCAATCTTCTGACCTGGTGATCCGCCCGCCTTGGCCTCCCAAAGTGCTGGGATTACAGGCGTGAGCCACCGCGCCCGGCCATTCTTTCTTTCTATCAGGGAGGAAACACTGCTCCCAGACTCCTCCTGGCAGATTCCCTCTTGGCACAAAGCCTGGAACGGGTCACATGGTCAGCCTAACTGCAAAGGGTGCTGAGGAAGAGAGTTTCTCCTTTCTTCCACTTGAGAGTGGGAGGTGTGCATGGGAGGAGGAAGTTGGGAAAGGGTTTAGGGAAGGGATCCAAGCAGGTTCTGCCCTAACCAACTTTGTGACCTTGGGGAGGCCACTTTACTTTCTTTAACCATAAAATGAAGGTTTTGGACTGAAAGAGATCTAAAGCCTCTTTTCTGTGTAAAGGAATTTATTCCAGAACATCAAGTCCCTTTGACATACCCAACATCCACATGCAAAAGGATGACTGACTGGTGCCGTCTCTGACCTTGGGAATTTGAAGCACCTGGGAAATGGTTGATCTGCTTGGATGGTTTCTCTTCCTCCAGGCTGTAGAATCAAAAGTGTGTCCCGAGCAGCTGGGCTTGTAAGCACTTCAGGGACCACTGATTAAAGTGTGAGGCAGAGCTGCTGCTGTTAATGGTCACTGAGGTGGCTTTATTAACCCAGCTGCCTTGCGGAAGGTAGCGGTGGGACTCAGGAGGTCACATGGTGGACAGAACAAAAGACTGTGTGTGTTTAAGTTGAGCTCTCTGGTTATTTGGGGTAGGGTGTTCCCCCCTTGTCCTTCTTTTTTCTTGATTCATGTCTAAGATGGGTTGTTACATCTACCTGTCCACAGTTGCTTATGAGGTCAGACTCTGAGAGTAACAAACCTGGCTTTGAATACCAGCTCAGCCACTTGCCAGCTAGCAAACACTGGGCAATTTGCTTGGCCTCATTTAAGCCTCAATTTCATGATCTGTAAAAAGGCTTAATGATATTTCATAGGAGTGTTGCGATGATGAAATAATACGATGTGTGTGTCATGTAAAGGCTGAAATTGAGGCGTGGTATAGTGTGCTGCCTTCAAATCTGGTCAAATCAGCAGTACCTCTACTGACCTACCCACAAGAGCCTCTCTCCATTCTACTCTTGCAGATAAGGCTCCAGTCAAGCAACCCACCTTATCAAGTGGACCAGGCACAGCTCCTACTTATCCCTGAGTAGTGGGTATCAGTTTCCTGCTAACCTCGGAATTGTTCAAAGCCCATCACATTCTCCTGCAGGAACCAGGGAGCACCTCACCCTCTTGTTGCTACAAAGCTTGCCACCCACAGCCCCTGCCTGTTCACCCTGCTCCTGAGGGCAACCCCTGTATGGCCAGCATCCCATGCTGTGTTCACCTCTCCCAAGCTGCGAGTGTATGTGAATAATAACTGCCGTCAATCGCATCTGTTAAGCATCGAGTGTAATGTGTTTGGTCATCCTCATAATTCTAGTGTGGAATGTCTCCCTCACCAATGGGGTGAACAGGAGGGAATGAAAACAATGTGTAAAATATTTAGACACCGCAAGATACATATTTAGAGCCTGGCAAATGTTAGTTAAGGCCATTATTGCTATTATTTTGCAAAAGGATAATAATTTGGTTTTCTTTTAACAAAATTTGTTTGGGCAGAATGCTTAGCTCATAGTGTTATTCTTAGGTTCCTCCAAACAGCTTTTCTGGAATTTTGTTTCCCTCATTAGCAATTACAAAGATATGCTAATGCTCTGCACCAAGTGGCAGCTACATGCTTGAGACCAACACTGAAAATCAGTCATGGAATCACTGCATATCTGAACAAGGGCCACGAGAGGAGGCACAGATGGGTCAACTGACTTGAGCAGAGCCACCCAGCAAATTCAGCGTCGGAGTATGGTAACTAGATCTCCTGATCCAACCATCCTTCCCTGCACCCTCCCATCTAGGCTAATGAGGAGAAATGTAATCACGGTGGTAATTGCAGGCAAAGATGAGCATCACTTGGTAAAGCAATATGTGTACTTGAGTTGGCCATATGGAAAATCCAGTGCAGGATATGGGGGTGAATGGTCAGTTGCTGTGTGTCATTGGTGGGATGGAATCTATGGCCTTCTTGGCTATTCTTTACATGAAACATTTCCTGGGGGTGATGGTCCAGTTAAAAGTCCTCTTAAAGATAAAATAAAACTAACTCAAACCAGTATGTCATGCTTCACCAGCTGGTGTTTCAACCAGGGAAGCCCATGCCAAGATGAGAAAGAAGTCTACCCTTCCCATTGCTGAGCTGTGGCTCCTCCTTATCAGTTCCTAGTAGGAGAAGCTATGTTCCCCCTAGGCTAGAGGACTTCACATTCTGGACACTGGCGGCTCAGGGGAGCTCTGTTGTACCACCACTGTGGCCCCAGAACCTGCTGTTGCTGTCCAAATCCGGGGAGTCTAAGGAAATGTCCCATTCTCACTGCTGCTAATAGTGATTAGCAAGCTAATGCAATATGTCCAGCTTTACCACACTCTCCCACTGTCCCCAGTGGCTGCTTTTTATGGCTATGCAAGTAAACACCATCAGCCTGAGAAGGAGTGGCATAAACTGAGCCTTTATCTCTGGTCCTTTCCCTGCCCCATGGTGCAGATCCCACTTTGGGCTCAGCCAAGAGTGGGTCATATCATAATTGGATTAGATCCCAATGTTATTGTTTCATAGGAACTCACACAACCATTTCCTCAGGGTGCAAGGCTGCCATCAGTATGGCTGGGCTGGTGAATTTTCTGGCATCAGGAACCTATGAGACCTAGAACTCCTGTCACCCTCTTATGCCACCACACCTTCTTCCATGGTAAATGCTAGCTCATTCAATTAATTAAAAAATACCAGCAAGGTGCTTTTTATTTAGTGCACACTTATATAGGCACTATGAATATAGGAGGAAAGATGAAAAATTCCAGCCTTCACAAAGCCAATATTTCCAGTGTTACTGCCATTCCCTGCCATGGGCTAAGATCAAGATCAGCTTCATTTGCACAGGTTTTATGCAAAGGGAAGAATTTCTCTTTCTGTAGGATCTATCTTATCCTCCTCTGCAAACTCCCAGGGTTTCTATCAGCAATTAGCACACTATGTAGCGCCAGGCAAGCTGGGAGGTTGGGAGGAGGGGGCTATGTCAGAGGACAATGCCGGAACTCACCTCCCTATACAGCCAGGGCAAGCCTGGTTACGGCACAATGTCCTGTTTCATGAGAGTTCATTTCCTCTGCATCATGTCTATGCACAGAGGTAAGCAACCAGGAATTTCTCTGTGCTCCCTGTAGAAAATCCCCATCTCAAATTACCTTGGCATCTCCATATGCAGATGCTTGTCAGGGGCCCAGTCCAGGCTGCTTGAATAGAATTGGCTGGGTTCCCTTCATCCGCTGTTGCGATTAAGGAATAATGTAAGATAGGAGCAGTCACACCATTACACTCTATTAGCCTGATTTATGTTGGGTCACTGAACCCCCCACCTTAGGTGCCACCCACCATTCTACCCCCTTAGCTACCTACAAACCCACTCTGGGGTAATGGGGTGTACCCACTCTGGGGTAGTTTAAAATCTGTTCACAAATTCTTTGAAACCCTCTTGAAAAGCTGTAACCTATTCTCCTCTTCTTGAGTGTGGCTAGACTGAGTGACTTACTGTTAATGAATAGGTGGGGGAGGAAGCAACATGAGATACTAGGCAATAAAAGATTCTGTGGTTTCCTGTTTGCTTTCTCTCTTGGATTACTCTGTCTGAATGATGCTAGCTTCCCTTGCCTGAGAATCGTTACAAAGAGGAGCATCTGATGAGGAAATGAGAACTCCAGCCAGAAACCAGCAATAAATTGAGGGCTCCTATATGAGCAATGCATTCTCCAGCCCCAATCAAGCCTTTGGATAACTGCAGCTCCTGCCAGCATTTTGACTGCACTTCATGAAACACTTTGAGTCAGAGCCACCTACCTAAGCCACTCCAAAATTCCTGACCGTCAAAAACTTTGAGATAATAAATGCTTGTTGTTTTAAACTACTACCTCTTAAGGTAGTTTTTAATATAGCAGTAGATTACTAATATAAGGCACTACTATATTCTCAAAAACTTCTGAGAATCTTACCCCAAACCACCAGCTTTATTACTATCAGGGTATCATAATGACAGGTTGTAAGTTTACAACCTGTATTAGTCTAGTTAACGCTTGTGTTAATCAGGCTAGTTAACACTAGCCACTGTAACAAACAAGACCCCCCACCCTCGCCCCCGCCAAATCACAGTGGTTTTACAGAGTAAAAGCTCAGTTCTCCTTTGTGAGAAGTCCAGTTTAGCTAAAACATCTGGGCAAATTGTAGACCAAGATCTCTGAGGAGGGGAGGGAGGAATGGAAGAATTGACTATCTTGGTCAGAAAATGCCACACATCATTCATGCCCACACCCTGTTGGCCCAGATCAATCACTGCCACCAACCTAACTACCTGGAAGGCTGCTGGGAAATGTGGGGGAGTCCCAGGAATATTTGACAACTCCTATTGTCACTGCCACACAACCCTACTTGGGTTTTCTAATTTAAAAGCCAGAAAATACATGGCTTTAAAGAGATATGTAATCCATGTTTGTGCTTCCTGCACCAGCCTGGGGATTTAAATGAGAAGCATATTCATCGTAATAAACATTATTCTTCAGATTGTATCAATAATTATTATTGCTCCCTGTCAAATCCCCATCTTAAATTGCTTTTCTGGGAATCCCCAGGGAATGTCTCCTGGGCATTTGAGACAAACGTAATCAGATACCACAAGGAGTTGCCTTTTCCTTCTTCTCTCCTTTTGGGCAGTGTCCATTGCTGCACTCTCTGCCAATGACACTATGAGCAGAAGTCTGCCTGTCGGTGATGAGCAAGCACTGTGCTTCCAGCACAATACAAACAGACTGAGCTCCCTGAGAGATGGGATGACTGCGTCTCTCCCGCTTGTGTCTTACTTGGTCCTCTGGAACCGAAAGCTAAGCTTTAAGTAGAAACAGCTCTTCAGGGCTCACACATAAGTCTGTGGTCAGAGTCATTCTCTAAAACAAAGATGGCGCTGGGCACTCACTCCACCGCCTGCTCCCACCCACCCTCTGTGGTGCATTTCTTCCACCCTCTCCTCTTGCCATCCCTCCACTCATGAGCATCCTATAAGCACCTTTATCACAAGTCTTATAAAGAGAAAAGACATCTGAAGAATGGTGGAGTTCATGCTGGTGGATGATACAAGAATGCTATAGTTCTGCGTCATTAGATTTATGGCTGCTAGGAATACACTGCCTGGCTATTAGAGATGAGAAGCTATTTTAAATTATGTTGTATTTTTCAGCCTTTCCTCAAGCTTGTCCTTATTGAACTTTCCCACCTTTCCCCTCACTTTTCAAGAGATTTTCAAATATACTCGTTGAGCACATTGTGACTGCACACCTAACATGTGCGTAATTCTGGGACATAGAACTCCCTAAAAGTGTGAACTTCCACCTGAACCCACCTTCTCTTTTGTAGGATTTTCCAAACTTCCCCATTGTTTCCTTTCCTAAATAAAATAGTTTGGAAAAAAAAGTTATAAATATTTCTCAGACTTCCTGGAAATTTTATTTAGCATTTTGATAAGTGAAGTGTAAAGAAGTTGAAATATGCAGATCAAATTTCCGTTAAAATACACGAACCCTCATATGAATGAGAGGAAACGTGCTTTGCAAAACCATGGTTTTGGTTTTTCTGAACCAAAGATACTTGAAAAAAATAGTTTGAGACATTCAGCAATTCCACAGTGTGGCTGGGCTCACCCATCCCTAATTTCAAGGGACATTAAATCCATCTGTTTCTCATTCATTGATTCTCAGCTCACCAAAATGCTATTTGGCAAATGTGATGGGACGTCCAGGAAGCTGTGCAGGCTGTTTTTAAGCCATGTTGTTCTCAACTGCGAAGTGGGCTTGGCCAACGTTCCCTTGGATCAGCTTCTTTATCTTCGATATGGTACTTGCAAAGTCCTATCGGATTTGAAACTCTCTGAAGTCAACTTATAGATATATAAGGGCTCTGGCAGCTCAATGGGTCCAGTCCCCTGCCTCAGGGTGGATTTATATCCGAGTTGTTGTGACTCCAGTTTAGTTTTGTCTTCATTGCTCACCTGTTCTTGTGATCAACAACTTTCCTGCTCAGGAAACTCCTCCTTATATCTCTCCTGAAAGGCTCCTGTACTGTAGTGGACACTGTTAATGCATCATGCAGCTCTCCTAGGAGAGCCTTTGCTGGGTCTCTGTCCCCATCACTCAACTTCTGCAAGACTTGCTGCAACAAGCTAGCACATGGAGCTCACAACTCTGAAGCCCTGGGTTATGTTATCCTTATTCCAGGAGAGGGGTCAGGAGTCTCTCACTCCCACTTGGTCAAGGAGATGGAAATGTTGACAGGTGATATGGTTTGGATTCCTGTCCTTGCCCAAATCTCGTGTGGAATTGTAATCCCCAGTGTTGGAGGAGAGGCCTGGTGGGAGTGACTGGATCACAGGGGCAGGTTTCCCCCTTGCTGTTCTCATGATAGCGAGTGAGTTCTCACTAGACCTGGTTGTTTAAAAGAGTGTAGCCCTTCTCTTTTCGATCTCTTCCTCCTGCTCCAGCCATGTAGGACGTGCCTACTTCCCCTTCACCTTCTGCCATGATTGAAATTTTCCTGAGGCCTCCCAGCCATGCTACCTGTCCAGCCTGCAGAACTGTGAGCCAATTAAACTTCTTTTCTTTATAAATTACCCAGTCTCAGGTAATTCTTTATAGCAGCATGAGAATGGAATAATACGACAGGCCTGCACGAAGGAGCTCCAGATTCAGCTCTACCTTTCATCTCACTGACAGCTGTCATGCTTTAGTTTAAATGAATTTCCTCGAGTTGCAGGGATATCTGAACAACGCTCCATATTTCTGATAGTCAGAGATCACAAAAGCACAACAAAACCCTAGATGCTCATAGCCTGGTTGTCTCATAGCTCTGGCTCTGACACTAGGGAAACGTATGAGGCTGCTTCTGCTCACCTGTGACTCCCCCAGTGGGAGAATGGAGGGAGGTGGCAAAGTAATGACAGTCAGCATTCTTGGCAAACAACCCACAGAGTGGGCACTGCCAATGCTGGGTTAGTAGGCAAAGGATTATATGTGTTTTCAGGGAAGTATGCACAGAGCAGACCACCAACTCCTGGGTAAATCCCTGACACATGGCAAGTGCTCAATCAACAATGTTTGATGTTGAACCAGTAAAGCCCTCCATAAAGTGTGGCAAAGCAGGAAGATTTCCTCACTCAGAGGATTATAATTCCTCCAAGGAGAAGCCACAGAGCACAGTGCTTAAGAGTTTGGGATGCTTAGGTTTGAATCCACCTCATCTGCTCATCAGCTGGGTGACCTTGGGCAAGTCCCATAAACTTTCTGGGCTTTTGTTTTGACATTTGTCAATATGAGATAGTAATAGTACCTGCTTTTGTATCAAGGATTAAATGTGTAAATTCATGTACAGCTGTAAGAACGGTACCCAACACTTAGTGTGTGCTTTGTAAATGCCAGATGTGATTGTTATTAGCAACCTCACAGAGTATTAATGTCGCGTCAGGGGAAGTTCCGGGACATGACACAGCTCTAAAAGCATGAGAGAGGTAATGTTAATCACACCCGAGAAGAGAATTCATAAAATGCTCCTCGGCTTCATCATTTGGGGATTGAATAATCGTAGTCTGAAGCTTCTCTTAAGTGTGGAACTCAGACCATCAGCATGGGTATCACTTGGCAGCTTGTAATACATGTGGAAACTTAGGAAACTCCCAAATCTAATGGATCAGAATTCCATTTCAACTAGCTCCCTAGTGATTAGCATGCACATTAATTTTAAAATCCAATTTATTGTGGTAAAAGTAAGATAAAGATCTATTTAAACTGTCCTGGTTGATGTGCTTTGAGTGATGTATAAACCTGTGAATCGTCGTTGCAACTAAGATTCAGAACATTTTCATTGCTCCCAGAGTTTGCTCAAGGTCCTTTCAGTCCATTTCTCCCTCCACTCCTGACCCCAAGCAACTTCTGATTAACTTTCTGTGCATGAAATCATACAGTATGTACTTCTGGCTCATTTTGCTCAGCAGAATGGCTTTGATGTTCATCATATTGTTTTTCTCATCAGTAGATCATTGATTTTTCTTGTATTCCATTGTATGGGCAGACCATATTTTTTTATCCATTTACCGATTGATAGATGTATGTGTGTGTGTATATATATATATATATATATATATTTTTTTTTTTTTTTTTTTTTTTGAGACAGAGTCTTGCTGTGTCCCCCAGGTTGGAGTGCAGTGGCGCGATCTCGGCTCACCGCAACCTCTGCTTCCCGGATTCAAGCATTTTTCCTGCCTCAGCCTCCCCAGTAGCTGGGATTACAGATGCTCGCCACTATGCCCGGCTGTTTTTTTTGTATTTTTAGTAGAGATGGGGTTTCACCGTGTTGGTCAGGCTGTTCTTGAACTCCTTACCTCATGATCTGCCCACCTTGGCCTCCCAAAGTTCTGGGATTACAGGCATGAGCCACCGTGCCCGGCCACCAATAGATAAATATTTAGGTGGTTTACAGATATTTTGGCTATTATGAAGAAGGCTTCCATGAACAATATTGTACAGTTGGCCCTCTGTGTCTGTGGGTTCAACCAACCATGGATCAAAAATATAAATAGCAAAACAATACAAACTAGAATACAACAATAAAAATAATAGGTTTCAAAATCAAATATAGTAAACAACTATTTACATAGCATTTACATTGTATTATGATTATAAATAATCTAGAGATGGTATATAAGAGAATAGATGTAGGTTATATGCAAATGTTATACAATTTGATATAAGGAATTTGAGTATCCTTGGATTTTGGTATCTGAAGGAGATCCTGGAACCAATCCCCTTCAGATGCCAAGGGATGACTGCCCAACCAAGTCCTTGAGTGGACAGATGTTCTCTTTTCACTTGGGTAGTGCTTAAGAATGGAATGTCTGAGTCTTACAATATGTGTGTTTAACTTTTTAAGAAATTGTCAGTCTTCCTTAGTGGTTGTGCTATTTTGTATTCTGTTTAGCAGTATACGAGAGTTCCGTTTGCTCCATGTACCCATTAACAATTGGGCTAGTCTTTTTATTTTCTGTTCATGGATTTATCGTGACATCTCATTGTGGTTTTAATTTGCATTTCTACAACGAATCATGTAGAATAATGTATTCATATGTTTATTGGCCATTCATATATCTTCTTTTTGTGAAGAATCTGTTCAAATCTTCTGCCAATGGAGATCAAGGCCATCTTGGCTAACACGGTGAAACCCTGTCTCTACTAAAAATACAAAAAATAAGCCGGGCATGGTGGCGGGCGTCTGTAGTCCCAGCTACTCGGGAGGCTGAGGCAGGAGAATGGCGTGAACCCGGGAGGCGGAGCTTGCAGTGAGCCGAGATGGCGCCACTGCACTCCAGCCTGGGCGACAGAGCAAGACTCCGTCTCAGAAAAAAAAAAAAAAAAGTCTTCAGCCTACAATTTAATTGACTTTTTTGTCTTCTTATTCAGTTGCAGGACTTCTTTATATATTCTGGATACAAGTGCTTTGTCATATATATATATAGTTTTGCCGAATGTTGTGGTTTGTGTTTATTAGCTTAATTGTTTCCCTTAGGAAATTTTAAAAAATTTTGATAAAATCCAATGATCATCTTTCTCCTTGTTTATACTAGTTACGTCCTGTTTAAGAAATGTTTGCCTACCCCAAAGTCACAAAAATGTGTTTGTATGTTTTCCCAAGAAGTTTTGTACTTCTAGCTTATACCTAATAACAAAACATAATTGAAGTTTTGTATTTCTAGCTTATACATTTAGGTCTACAATCCCTTTTAAAATTTGTGTGTGATGTGAGGTTCTCTGTAGTGTTTTTTTCTTCCGTATGAAGATTTGGTTATTCTAGCACCATTGCTGGAAAGGCTCTCCTTTCCCCATTGAATTTTTTTCAGGCATGTTCACCAAAATTCAATTGGCATTATATGTGTAGGTCTACTTCTGGACTCTATTCTGATCCATTGATAAATGTCTACCCTTTTGTAATTACATACCATCTTGATTACTACACCTTCACAATAAATGTTGACATAATTAGTACAAATCCTCTAAAATGATTCTTTTAAAAAAAATCTTAGGCTATTCTGAGTCTTTTGTATTGTGACATCCATTTTAGAATCTGTTTGATAATTTCTCCAAAACAGCTGGTTGAAATTTTGGTTGGGATTGTAATAAATCTATTAATCAATTTGGGGAAATTGACATTTTAACCACATTGAGTCTTCCAACCTATGAGCATGGTTTATCTCTCCATGTATTTAGGTGCTCTTTAGTTTCTCTCTGTAATGTTGTGTATTTTTCAGTTGTAAGTTGTAGATATATCTTGTCAAATATATTCCTAAATATTTTATTTTTGAAGCTATCATAAATAAATTTTTAGCTTTTATTTTCCAAATTTGTGCTGCTGGTATTTAAAAATACAATTGATTATAATAATCTTTTACCATGTGACTTTATTAAACTAATTTATCAGTTCTAGTGGTTTTCTCTGAAGATCCCATGCTCATTCTTAACTTTTCAGTCTAGTTCGAGTTAAACTGTATCATTTTATATGAATGTAAGAATCTTACAAGTGTGTATATCCATTCACTACCCCACTGTCTTTATGCTATTATGTGTGTATACATACATATATGTATAATCCACATACATATAGATGTATAATCCACAAGATACTTTTAGAATTATAAATATATCCATATGTGTTTTAAATAAATTAAGAGAAAACAGGTTTTTCCCTAGATATTTACCATTTCTGACGCTTTTTCTTCCTGCTTGAAGATGAAAGTTACCATCTGACATTTTATTTCCCTTCAGCCTGAAAATCTTCCTTTAATATTTTTTGTGCTGTGGGTCTGTAGAGACAATTTTTCTTAGTTTTCTGTTATTTGGAAAATGTCTTCATTTTGTCTTCATTCTTGAAATATATATATATATATTTCAGAAGAATATATGAAATATATATAGAAATATATATATATTTCATATATATATATATCTGGAAACAAACATATATATCTGGAAATAGAATCTAAATTGACAAGTTTTTTTTTCCCCTTAACATTTTAAAATATTGTTCTACTATCTTCTACACCCCATGGTCTCTTTTCAGATTCTGTGATCATTAGAATCATTGTTCTCCTGCATGTAATGTAGAATTTTTTTCTTGCTCTCTTCAAAGGTTTCTCTTTATTGTTGGTTTGTAGCAGTTTGATTTGATTATTTTTAAAATGGTCTTCTGCATATATAATCTATATATATTGATATAATACAACATCTCCTGTTTGGGGTCCTCTGAGTTTCTGGAATCTGTGCATCTTTCTCTTTCACCAAATGAGGGTTATTTTCTGTCATTATTTTGCAAATATTTTTTTCTGCCCCATTCTCTTTCTGGGATTTTTTTGCCAGTACATTTAACATTATACCGCAGATTCCTGGTGTTTGACAAACTTTTTTTAGTCTTTTTTTCTTTCTTGTCTTTAGTTTGGATAATTCTATTGATTTATATTAAAACTTACCTATCCTTTCCTCTTTCACCTCCATTATGCTGTTCAGTTCATCCAGTAAAAGTTTTATTTCAAGTATTTTATTTTCCAGTTCTAAAATTTTAATTTGGTTCTTTTCATGTTTCTATGTATTTAGTGAGATTTCTTAAGTTTTCATTTATTGCATATTTTCTTTAAATCACTGAGCATAGTTTTAACAGCTATTTTACAACCTTTATGTAATAATTCCAACATCAGGATCACCCCAGGGTTAGGCTCTCTTGACTACCTTTTCTCTTGAGAGTAAGCCACATTTTCCTGGTTCTTCATAGGTCTTTTAATTTTGAATTGTATCCTGAACATTGTCAAAGATATGTTGTAGAGATTCTGAATTCCATTCTCTTTTTACAAAGTATGTGGATGTTCACTTAGAGGGCTAGTTAGAGTTAAACTTTGTTAGAGTTAAACTTCAAGCTTGGTCTTGCCAGTGGTTACATAGTATTTATGATCTTAGTTTGGACTGGTGCAGTCTGCCCTCTCTATGCACGGTTCGGTGGTCACCCACTGACTTGTCCAGAGTTTATGCACAAAGTTAGGGATTCCCATTTCATGTGCTCTTCTTTCTTGGATTTCTTCCACCCTCCAGTAGCCCTGATTGCCCTTGGGACCTTCTCTTTTTTTTCATGAGCCAGAAAAATGGTGAGCTATTTACAGGAGCTTTAGTTGACCTCTGACACAAGCCAGCTGCATCTATCCTTAGGGTAAAGCTGAAAAAAATGAGAATTTCCCCCATGCTGGCTGCTTCCTGTGAACTTCAACTCTCCTGTGAAGTGTGCTTGCTTTGGTTCACTCTCTAGGGTCCTTGGTTAGTTGGTTTTATGTATTTTTCCAGCACTTATAGTTGTTATCTGTGGGAGGATAATTTTTTTTTGCTGGAAACAGAACTCTTGTTAGTGTATTTCCTATTTCCTTGATTTCTTCCTTCTATTTTGGGTTCAATTTATTCTTCTTTTTCTGACTCTTTAAGGCTGGAGAAGAAACCTTTTTTTTCTTCTCAAACACCCGAAACTATAAATATTCCTTTAAGCACTCTTACTGATCCATTAAAATAGAATCTTGATTACTGAGTTTTTCAGCAACCCACAAATATTGTCCCTGAGGCAAGTGTCTCCCTATCTCACTCACCACACCCCGGTCTTATCAGAAGAACCAGTGGGGAGCCACTTACCAGAGTGGGCAAGGGCCTGGGAGCAGCCCAGTTGGAAGGCCTGGCTCCAGAGATGGAATGCTACCCAGAGGCATGGCAGGCTAGGTCATGATGTCAGGACAGCCTTCTGAGAGGTGGATGTGAAACCGGAGAAGTTCCCTTATCCCCCTTGCAGGGCATGTAACAGGGGTGTTGCTCGCTTCTTTGGAACCCCACTGTTCAGCCCCATAGTGGGAGCATGCAGATGAGCAGGTGCAGAGGTTGCGGGGAGCATGTTTGGGTTCCAACCCCATGGCAGTACCTAGGGGTGAGTGTTTACAACTCCCCATTACAAGGACAGAGGGCTTTCTGTATCCCGGGTTCTTGCCCTACTGTACTGGAAGAATCAGATCACACGTGGGCTTAGATGAGTGCAAGCTTTTATTGAGTGGTGGAGGTAGCTCTCAGCGAGATGGATGGGGAGTCAGAAGGGGGATGGAGTGGGAAAGCGATCTTCCCCTGGAGTCTGGCCATCCAGCGGCTGGACTCTTCTCTGACCACCCCTGACTGAATTCTCTTCGTGTCTATGTCATTCTACTGTCACTGGCCTGCCAGTGTCTGCTGGTGTTTGCCAGTGTGTTCTTCTGCTCCTCTCAACGTCTAGCCACTTGTGTCTGTGCCTGCTACAGTCCTAGATTTTTATAGGCATAGGATGGGGGAAGGGGTGTGGCAGGCCAAAAGGCAACTTTTTGAACTCAAAACCAGAAATGCCTATCCTCATTTAGGTCCGTGGGCACAGGCCAGAGGGTATAGCCCTCACCAGGGACTCTGCTCTTCTTTGCCCGGCACTTCCCTGCCCCCCATCCCATATCAGGTCCTGTGCACCATGGGGAAGTCAACAGAGTGGCAGGATCCCTTCCTCTAGAATCACATAGGCACTGTCAAGAAAGCCATTCAGACAGACAGCCAGCAGACCAAGCAGGAGTTGGCCAGGGTTGGGGTGGTAGCATCCCAGAAAGGAGAAGCATAACCAATATCCCAGAGGCTGCAGGAGGAGGAAAAACCTTCAGCACTGGGGGATTGCAAAGAGTTCAGGATGTTTGAAAGTAGAGCGCAAGGGAAAGAGATGACAAGGGAGGAGGTTACCAGGAGCAAGATCAAGGAGAGGCATGAGTCCAATGTCTGGACACTTGCCCTTTATCTGGAGGTTGGGTTTTGAGTGAAAGAGTAATATGATCGGACTTCTATTTTAGAATGACCACACTGGGTACAGTGTGGAGAATAGATTGGGAAGGAGAAAGACTAGAAACAGGGTAGCCAGTGTGAAATGTGCCTTTTTAAAAACATATATTGTGATGATGATGATGATGGTGGCCAGAACTAAGCACCGGGAGATTAGAATGGAAGAGAAGAAACTGACTTGAGAGCAATGCCAGGGGTAGCGTGGACGGGGATTTGTGATGAATTAGATACAGGTGATGAGGGAGTGGGAGAAAGCAAGGGTAGCTCTCACGTTTCCGGCACTGGATGAGGAGAGGTTTGGGGAGAAATGCAACACATAAGAGCATTATTCTCAAAACAATGGGGTGCGACTTGACTCAGCAAAGCAAAGCAAGTGTGGGGACCTCAGCTGGTGGTCCAGTGATGGATGCAGAATCACCTTGAGGCAACATACCTGAGTTGCTGGCTTGCCAAGCAAGGGTTTTCCCTAACCTTTATAGTAGGAGACACAAAATGACGACAATGGCAGAGCCAGAATTATGAAAGGCATCTAGAAATCAATTATTTTCAAGTATCTCAGTGCTATTGAGAAATCAGCAAGCTTTGTGAGAGCAGTTGAGAGAGGAAGCCCAGTATATGATTAACTTGGAGAGGGCACAATTAGTCTCTGGCTGTTTGAAAACCAGGTTTGAAAAGTCCTCTCCTGTTTACAAAATAGTGGAGGCAATTTCCAAGGAAGAATGTTCTTTGCTCTCTGCACTAAGAACCAGAAACTGTCTCCAAAGGAATGTCCACTGGCATAACTTCCCATGTGGCTATGGTCAAACTATAATAGAATGTCTGCTAGAAGTCAGCTTTTTCTGTCCATTCTGCAGAAATAGGAAATTCAGGACAGTTACAGTAACCCAGAGAAAGCTTCTGTCTCTTCCAAAGCAAAGAATCTTATTCTGGTTTATTTATATGAGTATGATTCTGATTAGAAGGAAGGTTGAAGGTAGATCAATTGGTGATGAAATGGATGGGAAAGAATAGTGTTATGGGTTGAATTGTATCCTCCCAAAAAGATATGTTGAAACCCTAACCCCCTAGTACCTCAGAATGTGACCTTATTTGGAAATAGGATCTTTAGAAAGGTAGTCAAATTAAAATGAGGTCATTAGGGTGGTCCCTAATCCAACATGACTGGAGTCCTTATAAAAAGGGGGCAATTTGGACACAGAGACAGGCACAAAGGGAAGCTGATGTGAGAACACCATGTGCACATGAAGACAGAGATTAGAATTATAGAATTATGCTCCTACAAACCAAGGAGCTCCTGAGCCTACTAGAAGCTGGGAGAGACCAGCGAAAATACCTCAGAGGGAGCATGGTCCTCCTTCAGACTTTTGACCTCCAGAAATGTGATACAATGAATTGTTCTAAACCACCGTTTGCAGTTATTATGGCAGCCCTCGAAAAATACAAATAACATAGCTCTTTTAGGAATCTGCTTTTATTTCCTAGTACAATGTCCATCGCTAAATAAATATTAATGTGGAGACCACAACACTCCACGGACCTGTCTCAGAGATCAGGTGGTTGTTAAAGTGACTGGGTAAATAATAAATGATGCGAGAAACCGCTTCATCTGATGATGAAATATGCACTTCAGGCTGTGATGATGTGCTTGCCTTCTGGCTGCCAATTCTTGCCCTGGGAAGCACTGAAATAGAAATTGTGGTTTCCGGCTCTGATTCCTACTGAGGAGAGATGAAGATGTTACGAGCCATTGACTCCTTAACAAGTGTACCTTGTCCAGGTCCAGCTTGCCACAAATCCTTCTTTCCAATGAGGAAGCCCCAGTATTTTACCCAGTTCCTTTCCTGTGTTGGCCAGCCTCTTTGCACTTGAGTTCCAGCCTTCATTTTTCTGTCCCTGCAGTAGGATTTTTGTCTTGCTTCCCTTCTTCCTGACTCCTATTAAGGACAGAGTCCTGCCCTTGATTTGAAGGCCCTGGGTCTGGGTCTCTGCTCCTGAAGCTCTACTTCCTTGATCTCCGTCATGTGTTGTGGGTTCATACTCCACTCCTCTCCTATTTGCCCCTCTTTATTTATCTGCTTGTGAAATGGAGAGATTTGTAGGCAGGTCTTCCCTAGTGCCAAGAGCAATCTGTCAGAACATCTTTCTAGAGTCAGCTTCTAAGACCCCTTGTTCTCTTGCCCTGTGTTTCTAGCTTTTCTTGGTGTCTGGGTCTTGAGCCTTCCTTCCCCGGGCCTGGTCACTGTAATTGCAGTGACTGCTTGTGCTGGGACCACTCACCTGCTCCCTTTAGGCCCTGTAAGCTCAGTATCGGATTCCAGCCAGCTGCACTGATTCTGCAGTGTTTGCTTGTCTCTACAAAGCTCTCTTTGCCGCTTGACTCAATCAGCCAAGACCTTAAAATAATTACCTACCCTAAAGCCTCTCTGAGAAGCCCAGTATAAATCCTTACAAATCAGGTTTTTAGAACTCAGCAAAACATTCAGTTGAAAGCTCACTGCTCTATTCACAATGGGAGGCACACTGGCACAATCCCTTATTATTTGCATTGCATGAATTCAACGCCCGCAAGTCGTCTGTGGTGACACCGCAATTCAACCATGGCTTTGTTTTCACTTGATGGAAACACTTGAGCACAAAGCAAATGCTGCTTTGGCTCCAAGAGCATCAACCACCAAATCACCTATGCTTTTTTGGATGCACCCTGTAATGGCCCACCTGGGAGGCAGGACAAAACATGGAGAGGAAGCCAGGCTTTTATGTTGGCCACTCCTGGCTTTACGCCTTGGTAGATGGGTAACTGGACAAATTACTCAACTTTTCTGAGCCTCATATGATGCAATCATAATGAATGTGAGGACTTGAGAACTGAATGCTTGTTCATCTTGACTTTTCTGTAGGATTTCTTAATCTTAGTCACCCCATGTCTAGTCTTTGGTCAACCGTTTGTCTCTGCTTAGATGAACAGCAGGGATGTGGATTCTGTTTCTGTCTTGATGAATGGCATTCTTACTCCTCTGCCTTTTCCTTTTCAATTGATCACTTCATATCTTCTCTACCTTCGGGATATTTATCTCATGTTGCCAGCCTCTAAATAACAGACCTTTTGAAGCATGTTAGGCCTTTAGGCAATTTATCCAGACTCCCAGTCTCATGCTTTCACCTGGGTTATCTATTCTGCTATCACTTTTGCCCTAATTTTGATCCATCTCACATGGAAATCTGCTCCACCATGAGATTTCCATGTTGTAAATTTTGGAGATAAAACACTAGGCCAGAAGGAAAAAATCCAGACTGAGCATAGTGGCTCACACCTGTAATCCCAACACTTTGGGAGGCCAAGGTGTGAAGATCGCTTGAGCTCAGGAGTTCGCCATCAGCCTGAGCAATAAGCTGAGACCTCATCTCTACAAAAAAATTAAAAAATTATCCGGGTATCGTGGCGCACACCTGCAGTCCCAGTTACTCAGGAGGATGAAGCGGGAGGATTGCTTGAGCCTGGGAAGTTGTTACAGTGACCCGTGATCACGCCACTGCACTCCAGCCCAGGTGACAGAGTGAGATCCTGTCTCAACAAAAAAAAAAAGAAAAGAAAAGAAGGAAAAGACCCAGATTGCCACCAATGGCTCACTGGGCCACTCTGGAAGTGATGTCAGTGGGCTACAGGGTCTTCTGCAAAGTGTAGATAACTGCATATGTCCTTCCTCTACCCTTTCATGGGGTATAACATGGACTATTGAATATTTGAAGTTGTTTTTAGCATTCAGAGCCCTACAAATATGAATATTTCTTGCTCTCTGGATATCTAAGATGTGACCAGATGTCATGAGACTTGTGTGTTTGGGGGGTGTGGGGCTTGTATGAGCAGAAGAGGCACGCGGGCAATAGAACATGCCACAACATATTTGAACATGTAGCAGGTCAGCCAGACTTACTGTGGGGGTAGGGGTAAGGAGAAGCACACTGTTCTGGGCTGCTGTGAGGCTGTGAGTCTGTTGGTCATAGTGGACTTATTCATTGCAGATCTTTAAATCACATGCTGAGTGGGCACGTTAAACAGAGTTTACAGAGAGGTACACTGTCAAGAGAAAGTACAACTGCTAATAGAGTGGGTTTTAAATGCTCTCACTACAAAAAAGAAAATACGTGAGGAGATGGATATATCATTAGCTTGATATAATTATTCTAAAATGTGTATTAAAATATCACATTGTAATCCCTAACTATATATAGTTATTATTTGTTAATTAAAAATATGTGTGGGCTGGGCATGGTGGCTCACACCTGTAATCCCAGCACTTTGGGAGGCTGAGGTGGGCATATCACCTGAGGTCAGGTGTTCGAGACCAGCCTCACCAACATGGCGAAACCCCGTCTCTACTAAAAATACAAAAATTAACTGGGTGTGGTGGTGGGAGCCTCTGATACCAGCTACTTAGGAGGCTGTGGCTGGAGAATTGCTTGAACCCAAGAGGCGGAGGTTGCGGTGAGCTGGGATTGCGCCACTGCACTCCAGCCTGGGCAACAAGAGGGATACTTCGTCTCAAAAAATAAAAAAATAAAATAAAAACGTGAACAAAATCTTAAAAAGAGTAAGAGTTTCTGGCAGACTCAATAGAGGCAAACTAAGAAAGATGCAGAAAGCAGCCCTTAGGACGGGTGAAAACACATTTAGATCACTCAAATACCTTATCAGCTAAGATTATTATGCAAGTGTTAAATTCCAGTAAAGGAATAGACTAATTTAGAACATAATCACTTGAACAATGTAAGAGTTTCTGGGAAGAATATGGACTTTTGCATGAAAAATTAAACCATAAAAGTTGTTTGTCTAACATTTATGAAGACAGGATTTCTGAGAAGGGAAATTATGCCTGCCGGGATGTTGCGTATCCAGCCCAGAACCAAAGCTTCCCATGTTGCTATGACAAATTCCCTTATTCTCTGCTCCAAGGACATGGTGTGGTGAAAGCAATGCTGCCTTATGGCTTGGATGTGGTTAGCTCAGTTCTCAGCCAAGGTCATCCTGGAAGGACAATTGACGTTTGAGATAACGGGGTAGAAAATAACATGTGTCTGAAAACTTCCATGCAAATTAAAATTAATAAAATGTGTCCCACCGGCTAGCTTCATGACTGTGTTTCAGATGACTGTGCACTTTCTAGAAAACATTTTGCCTTTTTGTTCAAACAGTATCCTCAAAGATGACTTCCTACTATCTGCATCAGCCTTGTTTATTTCCAGCTGTCACATGCTCCCTCCAAGAACAAAGCTTGGCCACCCCTGAGAATGTTACAAAGAATGAGCCAAGGCTCCAAAGGAGAGGGCTCTAAGAGAGACACTCTGGAATGTTCAGAGCTGTGGCAACTATCTTGTTGCATGTGTGTGTAGTTTTCCCAGGAAACTGCTTGGAGGATAACTACTGCCATTTGGATGCACTCCTTGGCTACGTGGGTTTTAATTAGGTGTGCGGCTTTAGGGTGACACCCATACTAATGCCTGTAGGACTTATGTAGTTAAGTGTTTTCTTTCTTTTAATCCATCCAAGTAAAGGAGCAATAGCACAAAAGGCACTTTGGTAAGGGTTGCAGTGCTGAAAGGATGTTTGTTATTAAACGGTTGCTTGATTTTTAATCATTGACTAAAATGAAATAAGCATTCTGGAGCAGGAGAGCATCAGGCAGAAAAAGAGAGATGAGGCTGGGCGCCGTGGCTCATGCCTGTAATCACAGCTACTCAGGAGGCTAAGGCGGGCAGATCACTTGAGGTCAGGAGTTTGAGACCCACTTGGCCAACATGGTGAAACCCTATCTGTACTAAAAATAAAAAAATTAGCTGGGCGTGGTGGCACACACCTGTAATCCCAGCTACTTGGGAGGCTGAGGCAGGAGAATCATTTGAATCCTGGAGGTGGAGATTGCAGTGAGCCACTGCTCTCCAGCCTGAGGGATGGAGTGAGACTCTGTCTTAAAAAAAAAAAAAAAAAGGAGCGATGAGGCAGGGATTTCATTTTCTATTCAGTGATTGGAAAGAAGCAAAATACATTTCTTTACGTACTGATATACAGTAACACCTTGATAAGTTTTTAGGACCTAGTCATTCCCACATTATTGTGATTGCCATCACTGGAAAAGGTTATTTCAAATAAGTTCCCCTCTGAACTTTCTAAGGACATATTAGATTTTTTGTCTGTCAGAGCACCACTGTAACACCATTACCATTCCAGTGAAACAAAAAGAAACTCAAGACTGTAAAATTAGCTTTATAGTGTTTGCCATTGTTTCACAAGTTACAGTAATTCCATTTATCCGGAGAGAAAAAAAAGGTGATGGAGACACATATGGAAATAAAGGATTTGACAAGTAAACGGATGAATTCATAGCATACAAAAGTAGGTATTTAAAGCTGTCTGGTCATTGTATGATTGGGTTCAGTGATGACAGAGTATCCACAGTTAGTGTGAGATTTCCGACATGCACCAAATAGTAGCTCAGCCTTGAGAAACACAAACCACCATTCTGCTGGAGCAAATCCAAGCTTAAGACTCACTTAAGAACCATGGGAAAGCAAGGACATATATCTTGCAACACTGTATAAGGATCAGATGTGGTTCTATATATAGCAAGAGACCTAAGTGTGATCAAGATTTTGGTAAGTACACACTGCCAGGAGTTACAAGCAGTGGGATTGTTTGCATATAAAATCTACATGTCATTTGGGATTTCCATCACCATAACATTCCCATGAATTTCATTAAGTAGCATTTTGGAGTCCGTCCTTCTGGAATGGAGATTCTGTTTACAAAAGCCTTATTTTTGTAACTTACAATTCCATGACACCTTACAGAAATAATTCCTCAAAAATGGATCCAAGTCGGCTGCTATCCTTCCTCTCCTGGCTGCTACGTAACACTTCGTGTCAGTACACAAACACAGCTTCCTTTTGTGATCTGGAGGTTTGTTTTTGTAAAAAGCCGCTGATACAGTCATACTTCCTGTAATGATTTGATGTAATACGACATCCTTAATCCTGAGATTTGATTGCAGATGAAAGAATACAGCTAAAACTACAGTGAATGAAAAAAATCTTCCCTTTGAACTTCCCTCCAATCACCTTCTTGGAAGCTCTTTACTCTTCTATAATATTAAGTAAATTTGCATAAAGTAAGTCAGCTGAGAGATCACGCATTTCCTAGCTCAGAGTCAACAACTTATGGTTTTTTTTTTTTAAGGAAATAGATACTCTATAATCAACTATAGTAATTCCCTTGGAGTCTAATTTTGAGTAGATCTAACTTTTATTTACTGAAATATTTTTGAGGGTGAAATTTGAAATTTTAAGTAGGTGGGAAGGCATGGACACCAGATAAGATTTGGCCTTGAATAAAAATAAAATTATAGCTAAGTACTACATCATGTGGCAAGGGTTGCTAACCAAACAAAACTTAGTGATGGACTTTTAGGAGGACTCTTTTGTAAAACCATCAGCCTAATTCTGCAACTGGGGCTTGAGAATCTGGGCTCCTGTGCACCCACGTGGAGGGCGACTTTGAGCCCATCCTTCTAGGGTGATGCCCCAGGGAAGACCATTCCTCACTATGGAGACTCAGACAGTGCACGCTGCTCCACACTGCACACAGGAGTGTCAAAGACTGGGTTCCCCGTGTTCAGCTGAAATTTTCCCTTGATAATTGGGCAAGCCAGGGAAATATGTTTCTGGAATACTCCCTGACTCTACTACTAGTTGTATGAATATCATAAACTCCAAATAAAGAGGCATGTATTTCTCTTGTAGAAATGGGCATAGTTTGGGATTATGTGAACACTCTTTGTAAATTTGTCAGATTTGGCAAATAACTATTCAGGACAGGAGTTTCAGTTAAGTTTGAAGATTTGTCTAATTTCCAAGGCAATTTTGTAATATATGGGGAAAAAAAGGTTGCATGTAAGACATTTAAGGTATCCTAAAAAAGTCTACACAAATAAAAAATTACTCCATATAGGACATATTCTGCACATACAGAGTGCCTGGCAGCCCTAGCTCTCTGGCATTATATTCAGATTACAAAGACTTTGCCTACATATATGACATCGTTGGCTTTTATACTCGTGTATCAGTTCTGTCCTTTGACTTCCACCATCCTTTCTTGTAATTTTTATTAGCTATTAAGTATCAACTCCAATCAACCGCCTTCTCTTGGTCTTCTATTTTTACACACTGCCAACATACCAATTGAAAAGTAAAAATTCCTGCCCTCAAATATGTGGATATCTGAATGTCCATAAATTCCTAATTTGAATTTGAATTGATTATTTTTTAACCCACCAATCTATTTGACTTTATAGAATGAACAGCAAATATGAAGAAACAGTCAACCAAGCATGTATGATGTTGAAAAGAAATTGGGTGCAAGATAAGGAGGGCCATAGGGTTAAGTGAAGTGAAGTGTCTGAAGGTCTAGTTTTGCCACGTTTATTTTCTTTTCTTTTCTTTTTCTTTTTCTTTTTTTTTTTTTTTTTGAGACGGAGTTTTACTTTTGTTGCCCAGGCTGGAGTGCAGTGGCGCGATCTTAGCTCACTGCAACGTCCACCTCCCGGGTTCAAGCGAATCTCCTGCCTCAGTCTCCTGAGTAGCTGGGATTACAGGCACGCACCACCACACCTGGCTTGTAGGCGGGCAGATCACGAGGTCATGAGATCGAGACCATCCTGGTTAACACGGTGAAACCCCGTCTCTACTAAAAACACAAAAACAAAATTAGCCGGGCATGGTGGCGAGCGCCTGTAGTCCCAGCTACTCGGGAGGCTGAGGGAGAGAATGGCGTGAACCTGGAAGCGGACTTGCAGTGAGCCGAAATCGCGCCACTGCACTCTAGCAGCCTGGGCGACAGAGCGAGACCCAGTATCAAAAAAAAAAAAAAAAAAAAAAAAAAAAAAAGATAAATTGAAGTTTACAAAGGGTAAAGTGTATGCAGTTAACCATTTAGAAGTGAATGTTAAGCTTTTGACCTTTAAGTGTAAGTAAGTCCTCCTGGGAGGAAGAAAATTAAGAGCCTCTTGTACCTACCCAGAGTTTAACAATCAGAGACTAGATTTCGAGTGCACACCACAAAACTTGGAAATCAAGACTGGAAATGTTAGTACCTTTCGCTTAAAAAATTACATCATGGAAAGCTATGATAAAACTAGTTATTGGATGAAACTGGAAACCATCATTCTCAGCAAACTATCTCAAGGACAGAAAACCAAACACCGCATGTTCTCACTCATAGGTGGAAATTGAACAATGAGAACACATGGACACAGGAAGGGGAACATCACACACCGGGGACTGTTGTGGGGTGGGGGGAGGGGGGAGGGATAGCATTAGGAGATATACCTAATGCTAAATGACGAGTTAATGGGTGCAGCACACCAACATGGCACATGTATACATATGTAACAAACCTGCACGTTGTGCACATGTACCCTAAAACTTAAAGTATAATAATAATAAAATTAAAAAAAATAAAAAGCTGATTTTCAAGTTCAAAAAAAAAAAACTAGTTATTTCAGAAATTTAATAGAAGAAAAGTCTAGCAAGAATGAAAGCCAAAATTGAGAGCGTGAGAGTATTCACTGTGCCATGTGGTCAAATGTCTGACATTTTGAACATCATGACAGCATATAGAACCAAACCTAGTCAAAGGCCTAGTGCTTTCATTTTTCTCTTCTTCTCCCTCCAGCTGGGCATATATATTGAAGACTCAAATAAGGGAGACAGAATAATGCTAGAGTGCAAATGCCACTATTTTTTTCATGCTGGAGTAGAAATGCCACCTTAAAAATATATCTTTGTTTACATTTCGATAATATTGAAATCACAGTCTATTAAAAATTGGGAAATTTAATTCAAATAAAAATCCAACAAAATAGTTGTTTTGATTTATTAAACATCTGGTTCATTCATTCATGGCATTTTTTTCACCTTAAACCAGCTCTTTAGATTTCTGGACACTCTGCGTTGTGTTGTAATTTCCCCAGGATGAAAAAGGGAGCCAATGCATGACTCCCAACCCCATCCCAAAGGAGTGGGGTTGGGTGACTCAGTGCTTTGCTGTCCAGAGCCACTGTCTGCCAGGCACCATGTGAGCACTATTTTATTGCTGAATAAGACGTGGCTTGTGGGGCACACTGATTTACTGCTGTTGACTCTGGTTTCTCAAATGGAACACAACGTTTTTTAATGGTCTCATTGAGAAAACCTAACACATTAGAAATGTTTCAAAATTCAAAAGCCTTTTTGGGTCAGGAATACTCCACTACTTTGGCTCCTCCTTAGTTGGGTGTTGAGTGTGAATCTGTTTCAAGCAGAAGACCGACCAGATATAATAAATTAAGTTGGCTACCTAAATCCTTTGTTAGCATAGTAACATGAAAGTATTACGTACAAAGTAATAATAGTTAAGGTTCCAGGAAAATGGTAAGTTTCAAATCAGATACAACTTCAGAGCTATTTATTGAATATTATATGATTTGTTGACTTATACATATATTGGTTTTTAAGACACTCTTAAAAACGAGACACTCTTAAGGCACTCTTAAGACCAGATATTTAGATAAATTGAAACAACTATTTTGTTTGATTTTTATTTGAATTAAATTTCCAATTTTAATAGACTGTGATTTCAATATTATCTAAATATAAAATAAGATATTTTTAAGGTGATATTTCTGCTGCAATATTTGTTTTGAGTGTGTAGAGCAAAAGATAAGATGATCAAGTCTTCCAAATTTGGCTGAAATTGATATGCTAAATGACAATACAAAATTTTTTTTGGATCTTATGCTACGTCCTTGTACCATATACAATATAAATGAACAAGATTTTTAATTGGCATCACATTCAAATTAGCATTGATATGAATACTGTGAAAAGAATTTAATAGTGCAACAGAAAAGGTGTAAACATGCCCGTGGCATTATTTTTTGTTGATTATACCACACTATACAGTAAAAATAGCAAGTATAATAACTAAAAGAGATAATATCTAACTACACTGACATGTAATATTTTTTTAAGGAATGGAGATCTAAAGCAACCTTCCATAAAATTATCAACAGACAAGGAAAAAAAAACCTTCTAAATAATTAAAGACAACATCCTCCCTCTCGTTCATGGATTGAGGGCATTCTTTAAACTTTCACAAACTTTCCTCCCACTATTCTTACACCTGCCTTAAACTAGTTCAGTTCCAGGCCAGGGATTTTAGCCACATTTTCTGTTTAATGGGAGGACATTTGCAAATGCAGTAACATCAATATATATCCAGATTTGCTGTAATCTATACCATCATTTCACTGATAACCTGAATCCACTTTATTTTCCCCATTTTCTCTGAGTCCCAATGTTCATATTTTTATAGAACTAGAACCAAATAGACATGAACATATTTGTCAAGGACTTGCTGTCTTAACCTCAAATGTCTTTCACTGATGACTACCATGATTATGCTTGAAGAGCCAGGGCCTGTGCAAGTGTGTGCGTGTGTGCATGTGTGCGCGTGTGTGCATGTGTGCATGTGTTTACGTGTGCGTATGTGTGTGTGCATGTGTGCGTGTGTGCACGCGCGTGTGTGCATGTGTGTGTGTGTGCGTGTGTGACTGTGTGTGTGCTTGGTGGGGGGAATCATGCGTACATCTTTGTATGTATGCAGGGGCTGAATATTCATGGCCACATTCTGCTTGAGTGAATGCGCAAATCTGTCTTTGTTTGAATGAAATGAGAATTCACCTTTTGGACATTTAACCAGTCATAGCCCATTTATTTTTTGCCTCAAAGGAATGCAGGGCACTAGACCCCTGAATTTGGCCCGGGGCAAAATGTTACCTCTTGGTATGAGCTTTATTTAAATAGCAGGGGTATTCTTTACAGGCTTGAGATTTTCAAATCTTGTTCATGCATCAAAGAGTCATCTTGTTTATGAGTTTCTTACCTTCAGCTCCTCTTCTTCCTCATGGCCCCACCGGACCTTACAAACATCAGCATCTGAGAACATTTCCTGTATTGTCAGGCAGCTGAATTTTTCTTTTGTGCTAACTGTAATCAGCAAGCATGACTGAGACAACAATTACTCTCAAGAGCTTTATTTTGCTCTTGGAATGTCAGGGGATAATCCTATGCAGTTCCTTTATGGGCAAGCCATTTTAATAGATAAGAAATGAAATGGCTGAAAGAAATATTGGCCAATAATAATGAAATGAAGAGAGGCCAGGTCTGGATGCCACAGGGATACGGGACCCACACAGAGTCAGTTTTCCACACGGCTTCAGAAAGTTGCTTTGAGAACACTGTCCAGAGCACAGCTTTCGAACTTTCATTTGTACACAAATCATCTGGGGTTCTTGTTAAGATACAGACCCCAATTCTGTAAGTCTGGCTGGGACATGAGAATCTACACATTACTAATAAGCTCTCGGATGGTGCTGATGTGGCGGGTCTGTGAACCACATTTTGAATGGAAATATTTTGAATGGAAAGAGATAGTGGATTCAAAAATAAATAAAATAAAATAGAGGAAACAATGGCATCAGCCCCATTTGTGTAGGTTTCCACAGTTGTGAATTACAGATCTGATCAATTTCCTTCCATACAATTCAGTCCACTGAAGAAAGGTAAAAATGAAATTACTATATTTTGTGAACATAGAGTCTCTCTACCTCTTTTTAGGTATTACCACATAGACATAATTAGATATAATATTTTTCCTGCTTGAACAAAAAGAGCATGTTTTAAAGCAGTGAGATCAATGAATACTGAACCACAATTCAACTCTCAGCCATAAGGTCATTGGTTAAATAAATATCTTGTATTACAGCTAATAATCTTGTATAGAAATACATTTCCTTTTAATGTCAGGATTGCTAAATGTCTGTTTATCTAACAGGACATTATTCCAATTGCCCTACACCAAGCTCTTAGAAATGTAGCTTTATTTTATACAATTTGAATTATGAGAGTTCACTTTCAGACGAAGCACCTAACAGGAAATCTCTCAAACACAGAAATGCTGGTTTAGCCACAAGATCAAAGGAAAAGATTGATTTTGTATGTCCGTGCAGTTTTTGAGAGTGCGTCTACACATTTTCGTTTTCACAGCAATCTTTGTGTTTGAAGGGAGTTCTGATGTGGAAACAGCTTGCAGGGTTAAACCTGGATGGCGCCCCTGTGATCAGACATTGCTCTGTTGTAATAAAAGTGTCCTCAGTTCTCTTTCCCTCTGATCCTCCTGCCTGTACTTCTCCTCGAGTTGCTGTTTCTCAGAATCTGCACAGTAAAATGTGCAATCTGGGCTTTTCCGAATCTGTTCAAACTGACTGAAATCAGCCACATATTTTCCATTTTTGGAGAGAGATACCACAGGCACAAACTCAAAACCCCAGTAGATTTCCTCTGGGATATAAGATGTTCGGCTCTGGCAGACAGCGCTGGTGGATTCCACAGTGGCATTGAGGAGGACCACAAGCTCAAACTCCTTCTCCTTTAGGTTTTGGGGTGTGAGGTCTCTCAGGGGGCTCGTCTCATCCAGCACATGGTAGAATGTCATGGGCAGAATGAGGAAGGGGCTCTCAGAGGAGGAGTCCACGTGGAATTTGACAGTGGCTTGGTTGAGGAGAATCCGCTCCCCCTCCTTGGTGACGTGGGTCTGCAGGAGCTTGCCAGAGAGCTGGCACTGAATCAAGAGGCTCTTCCTCATATTGGCTACCTGAATCACCAAGCACAGCTTCCCATTCTGCTTGGTGATGACTGCACAGTGGCTGAACTTGATGGTCTCAGCCCGCTTTTTGGGTCTGGCGATTTTGGCCAGGAAGGTTCCGGTGATGAAGATCTCAATCAAGGTCGTGATGACCAACTGAGCAACCAACAGGAAGATGGCATGAGGACATTCCTCTGTGATGGAACGGACTCCATAGCCAATGGTTGTCTGGGATTCCAGGGAAAAGAGAAACGCCCCAGTGAGAGAGTCCACTTTCATGATGCAGGGGGTATGATTTGAAATGGGCTCACCGGGTTCTAAGTCCCCATGAATAAACGCGATGGCATAGTAGATGACTCCAAAAAGGAACCAGGTCATCACAAAAGTGGCAGCGAACAGGGTGAGTTTGTATCTCCACTTCATGTCGATAACTGTGGTCCACAGGTCTTGCAGGTAGAGTAGGTATATGCCATCCACTTTGTCAATTCTCACGTTGCTGTGCCCACTCTTGGACATGACGCGGGGTCTGTTGGCCTTGAGCCCAGCCCCAGCAGTGTGCTTCACCAGGGGGGTGCTGGACATGCCGATGTGAATGGCATCCATTGCCAGGCTCTGGAAACACTTAGAGAAATGACAAAGATGTTTCATTATCGCCATATGTGGTGGAACTTCCAGAAAATAGAATCATCATGTGAAGTAAGTATGAATGTACATGGAAGTACACAAGAAAGGAGAATTCTGAAGGCAAGATTAACTGATCTATACTTAGGTGGTCGGTAGGGTAGAGTGAGGAGCAGAGGCTTTGCAGAAAAGCAGACCGGGGTTAAATGCTGACTCTGCAATTCATCAGCTGTGTGACCTGCAGAAAGCTATTTAACCTCTCTGGACCTTTGCTCTCCAGTGTTTAAAATGGCAATACAACCTATTCCTCAGGGGTTTTGTTACTATTAAACAAGGTAAAGTGTTAAAACAGAGCCTTGTGTTTCAAAAAAATAATGTTATGCTGTTTTTTGTGATAACAAACTCTTATGCATTTATTTCATAGAGTAATATGTTTGCTTATATTCAGCTACCATGTATTCCCAATTATAGAAAATTTAAAATTATTTGACTGAGTGTAAGTCCAGTACTGCTATAACTAAAATCTACCATCCATGAAACAGTTCTTGATATGGAGAATGTTAGTATACATTTTTAAAACTCAGTAGTAATGCATTTTTTAAAACCTATTTTTTGCATGATATTCTTTGTAATAGCAATTCGTTTTCCCCCTAATCTAATGAATAATTAAGAATCTACAGCCTCTCCTAGTTTTGTTATGACTTTGGAAAAAACTCAGTTTGAAACAACCAAAAACATTCTTAAAGCAAATAATTAGGCTTTATTAATGGCTTGATCAATATGCTGGTTATTCTTGGAAAAGTGCTACCAATGTCATTTTAGACGTGATATTTAGGTATGGCACCAAAATTCTACCTTACTCCTTAGAACTAAGCAGAACCAGCAGAAGAAATCTATTTTAAAGAGCAAATGAAAAAGTCAATAAGTGTAGGCATCTAATATTATAGTAGGAAAGACCTACCTATAAGAAGTGCTGGGCTCCCATGCTCAGCCCCAGGGAACGCTCTGCTCCATGTTAACAGCCGGGAACAAGCTGTCTGTGAGGCCCCTAGCATCTTCTAGTACCTGCCTGATGACTGACATAAATTTCCCCCACATTCCTTGAAAAAGATAATGCGGGTGATTACAGAGTAACTTTACCTGGGTGGCATGTTTTTCTTCACCTCATTGGTATTTTAGGAACTAAAAAAATCTTCCCTTTTATTAAGGAACTGATATACAGATTCATGCATTGCTCTTTCTGTTAGAGCAGTATTATCTCAATAGAAGTTGTGAAAGTAATCCTCTGGGCAAATCCCTTCAAGGAAATGGAAACTGTATCCATTAGCAGCAAACACCTGTTCAGGAGGCAATGGGTCTGCTGGGCATTTTAATTTTCCTGTTACTTTATTAAGAGTGTGTTATTTACTAAATGCCCCCTTGTAATTGACTTTTCTTTAGAAAGTCACGTTTTCATTTTTGTTGAAAAGAAGGGCCATAAATTATTCAAAATTTGTTTACCTTGAAGCAAATTCCACTGTTCTTGGGATCAAGTTAGAAGAAAAGTACAGGATATAATTGATGAACTAGGGCCTTACTATACCCTCAGCAACACTTCTCAGTGTAACGAAGAGGAAAGTGACCACAATAAAGGTTTGGAAATGAAACGCCATTCTGGCATGCCCAAATGCACAGACAAACTTGTAACATGAGCACCAGCAGAGACAAATGCAGCCTGTCTGCAAGTGACTGCATGCATTTTTTTTAAGCTGCTGAGGAAACTGCATGCCATTCAATCCACTGAAATAAAAACAGAGGATTAAGTTTTCCAGTGTGAGTGATACACAAGTGTCCTGCGGGCACTCAGCCCTCTGCCAGATTCTGGAAAGCTTGGCCCTGTTTTTATGAAGGCAGCACCATGAAGCTTCTGTTTGAAACTCTCTTTCAAAGGGGCAGCAAGCCAGGCTTGGGATGAACTGTATCTGTTTCCTCTTTCTGCTGAGAGCGCTTTTGCTGCAGTCCTGTGTATATAGTGCTGGAGTTAATGGCATCTATCATACCTCCTATCAAGTCTTGGTGGACAGAAATCACAGGACAAGACCTAGAGCCTCTGGGTGTGTTGGGGGCAGCATTTCTCAGTGGGAAAGAGAGCAGCTGGCACTCAGCAGTCAAAGGGTGCCATGGCCCTCTCTGTCCTCCTCCCTCCCTCAAGTGTGTGATGCCCTCAGAACCGTCTACTACCTGGTCACTCACTCCGCAGGTCAGGTGTCTTCTTCAAGGCAGGTAGAACGTCCTCGCTCCCCTTCACCCACCTGGCTACCATGGGATTCTGCTACTGCCTGAAAGAAAGAGGGACACATGGATTCATAGATGGTTACCAAGTGCACCCCAGTAAAACTGACCCCCGATGATTTTCTAAGAGTTACGCAGTGGCATTTACCTTCCAATCCCTGGAAATCGGCACAGTGCACAGAATAGGGTAAAGGTTCAAGGAACGATTTAAGAAGGAAGCTGAACCCCAACCACAGCCCTCACCACACAGTTCCCAGCCCCTGGAGGGAGCTCCGTAGCAAAACACCCTGGAAAGAGAGGGTTAACCCACCCTCATTGAGGCCCGCTATGAACTGACCGGCACACGGGGAGGCAGGAAGGGGAAGTGCAGAGGAAGTAAACAGTGAGCGCTGGAAGGGAAGAGTCTAGAATATTTTTACCGCCTGTGGAAATGCATTGCTACTGTTGAGTCATAGGACATTAGAGTGGAAAAGATTGTCAGAACCATCCCACTTGACACAGCTGGGTCCTGGCAGAAAGAACAAGGTCCAAAGTCTTTGGAAGCTAGCCCAGGGTTCCTGTCAGTCCACCACAAAATCCCCTTAAACATCCACAGTTTCATGTAATCTCCTTTAAATTCAAGAGGTTCTTTTGCATGTACTTTTTGAAAATAATTCTTCCTAAGCTATCTGCCTATCTATTATCTATCTTCTATCAATCTATTATCTATCAATTATCTCTCTAATCTATCATTTATTATATATCACCAATCAATCTATTATCTATCAATTATCTATCTATTTATTACCGGTCTAAATATCTACCTGCATATTATCTATCATCTGTCAATTATTGATCTATTACCTATCAATTATCTATGATCTGTATCTATCTATCAATCATCCATCTGTCTACATCCATATATTTTTATGTCTCTCACACACACACAGGCACACTTATACTTCCTACGTTTCTTCTGATCTGCCAATTATTTACAGTTATTACTCTCTTATAGTTAAAGTATTCCCAATTAACCTGTGCATCCTCTTACAGGCTGGATCCTGCCAGTGTGGCCACAGCATGTTTGGCAAATGACCTCTTTGTCATTGCTCTATTAAGACCCAGAATCTTCTTTGTGCCCATCAATCTTACCCATAGGCTTTATGAATTGCACTTCATCATAGGCTCTTAATTTATAGAATTTTATTCCTCAGCAGACTTCTTTCATGAAGTTTGAATCAGTGTTGATACATACTCTTATTTCATATAATTTTATGTTACTGCCTTAGGTTATATTCCCTTAGTGATTCTTCAATAGACCTGGCTTAACTTCTAACATGGTAAGCAACAATAACAGTTTTCCAAAAGATAAAAACACAAAGAATGAGAGAAGAATAGTTTCTTCTAATTTCCCCTATCTTAACCTTTTTCCCATTAAAAAAAAAAGTGCAGCTTGCCACCAGTACTCACTTAATTTTACATAAACATGCTTTTCGAGGCTGAAGCAAATCTGATTGATTTTCAATGTGAAAGTAAAACATAAAAATTGTTCTTGGAGTTATTTCTAAACAGAACTAACATCAGAATCATCTGAATCATCAGAATTGTCTATTTCGGAAAAATTGGATTCATCAAATGAATCTCTGGCCAACAACTGTTGGAGACCAATGTTAACACCATGTGTAGGAATGCTGTGTTTTCCAGGATTTGACATTTTCAGCGATCAAGAATTACTATATTTTGTAAATAAAAATACCACTACTAAAAGCAGAATGCTCTAAATAGAATGTTGTCTTTTGTTTCCAAAGTTGATATACTAGAGTGATATGAAAATAATAATAAAAGTAATATACTGTGTGGCAAAATCATCTCCAGGTAAATATTGCAGCCTCAAGTGCTGCCAGTGAGTATTCTCAGGGCAAATGAGAAAAGGGTTAATCCTCCCAGCTAAGCAATATTTCATATAAACCATTAACAGTTTTCTTTAATTTCTGGAAATAATGTTTATTTCTGCAGTTTTTGTTATATCGTTTCAGTTTGTGGGTTGGGGTTGCAATTTTTAGAATGGCGATATCTACCTAAGTGAAGTTCTTACAACTATTGAATGGATAGGTCAGTATTACTTTCTCCTACTTCAAACCAGTAAAAGATTAATGGTCTGAGGTCACTGAGTGCTTATGCTGTGAGCATTAGTTTTCTGAAGTTAAAGGAAAGAAAATAAACACACTCTGAAACAGAATGGAACAGAAGGCACATTGAAAAAGGTACTTAGCTATATGGAGAACTACACTTCCAGTGTTGGGGACACAGCAAGGATAATGGGAAATGGAAGGGTAGTACCCATTGCCATGTTGATGATGGCAATGTTTAAAGACATTGATGTCTTTAAAACTTAGAGCTCTGTTAGGCCAGATTTTGAAGATTTTCAATTTGCCCATCTCGAGAAAACTTCATTCTGCGTTTCACAGTGAACTAACAAAGCAAAGGCCCCTTAGAAAAAACATTTCTCACTTACAGAAAAATGGGGAGACAGTGGCTCCCCAGAACCGGGGTTCCTCAACTAGGCCTTCAGCGAGCTCATTCCACGTCTTTTAACCAGGGTGATGAGGCATAAAGAGTGAAATCTAAATCAAATAGTAACTTTGGATTTCTAGACTAAAATTAACTTGTGGTGGATCTCACTTTTAAGCTCTGAAAAAACATAGCTTCCTGTTTGTAAGAAAAGTTACTTAAAAAGCTTTTTGCTTTTTTGCGTGTCATATATTTCTGACAAATTAATTTTTCAATGATCTCTTTGTCCAGAAATAAAAAATGCCTGGATTAAATTTGACTTTAAGTATCACCGTTTTAAATATTAAGTAGAAAAAAAATGCTTGACAAGA